>NC_000016.10:50926136-51229166 GCF_000001405.40 Homo sapiens
TTGATCAGGGCCTGTTTTTCTTATGATTAATGAATGACTCACCTTGAGCTGCTTTCTGCGTATTCCATACTCATTATGAATTTGAAGCAGTCATGTCAAACTTGGCACCCAAAAGAAATGCTCAGGAATTTAGGGAAAAAATGTTGATAGCTCAGAAGCCTTTCAGGGGTAAAAGGATGTTGGGAGAGCACTTTCCCAGCCTGCAAGTTCCCAACTATGATCTCTAAGTTTGCAATTATCCCAAAGCCATGAACTTATTGGATGTGTATCATATGCCAGGTACTGTTCTGTCCTCACAGAAGGCTTGAAATAAATAAATGCAGTCACCATCAACATGCACACACAAACAAGTCACATTTTAGCTTGAGCCCTTGTTCTGCCTGAAACTCTACTTTCTGAGTGAGCTTGGCAAGTTTCTTCCCTTCTGTGGCCTCAGTTTTTCCTCCTGTATAATGGGGCTTTCTCTAAGGTTCTTCCAGCTCTTCTATGCCCAGATTTCCTGAGCTGAAAGAATAAACAGAAGATGTTCTAGGTGTGGGCAGAGCTGGGCTGGCTCTCCTGCTGCTGCTGATCCCTTACCACTAGGCCCTGAGGGGACCCCATGAGTTTCCATCAGGACAGTCAGGGAATTGGATTAGATGGACATGAGATGGAATCTGGCCCACCAGGTGCTTTGTATTTTGTTCAGCATTAAAGGTAATGATGACCGAATGCATCCAGTCTCCAAGTGGGTCCATAGGCCAACCACTCACTGGAGGCCAAACACTACTTTGTCCAGTCACCCATACTGCTTACCTGTCTGGTCCTGAGTGTGTGATCCCGGATTAGCCATCTCTTTGAGTCCTCACTTCTCTATCATTTTGTGGTTCTAAGAAAGGGTAGAGAGAGGTGTCAGATCTGGCATTGCCCTCCCTGCCAGAATGAAGGTCTGGATTCCTAGTGGAGTATCTGCAGGGCACCTCTCCAGCTGTCAGGTCCTCCTGTCTGTGGTCTCCACTCACCAAAGCTCAGGGGTACTCAGCAGCTCCCAGCCACCTTGCTCATCTCCTACCTGCCTGCTCTGGAGGACTGCACAGCCCGGGGACATGGAAAAAACCTGAGTTCGGAATGAATGGTGAGCAGTCATCCCTGCTTTTCCAATGGACCTTCAAACTGGCTTCTTTAGGGCAGAGGCTGGGCACAGGGATCCCTGAGGCCTGATGCAGGTGTGCAGCGAGGCTGGAGCCAGTCTCCAGATGCAGCGTTGGAACATTGCTCTTCCATCCCTGCTCCAGAGCCCCCTTGATCTTATATAAGCCTCAGGGCTTCTGTCTTCCTATCTGCTATAGGAGGGGCTTAAAATTGACCCACTCATTCATTCCTCTAACAGTCCTGGAGTCTGAGTGTCAAGGTAGGAGGGGCCTTGAAAGTCCTTTGGCTAAAAACACTCTTTTTTTTTTTTTTTTTTTTTTTTGAGACGGAGTCTCGCTCTGTCGCCCAGGCTGGAGTGCAGTGGCGGGATCTCGGCTCACTGCAAGCTCCGCCTCCCGGGTTCACGCCATTCTCCTGCCTCCCTCAGCCTCCCAAGTAGCTGGGACTACAGGCGCCCGCCACTACACCCGGCTAATTTTTTGTATTTTTTTTTAGTAGAAACGGGGTTTCACCGTTTTAGCCGGGATGGTCTCGATCTCCTGACCTCGGGATCCGCCCGCCTCGGCCTCCCAAAGTGCTGGGATTACAGGCGTGAGCCACCGCGCCCGGCCGGCTAAAAACACTCTTATCCTGGAGGACCTAACACACCCCGCTGAGTGCCCACACAACTCCAGCTTATTTATTAAGTGCCTACCATGTGCCAGGCAGGGGCAAGACACTTGGACTAAGAAGTTCCTGCCTTTTAGGATTTAAATTGCAAATGATTACCAAAGGCAAAAATCTATGTGATGTCAGGGAGAGGCATTCTGTATAGGACTGAAGTTTCGGAGAAGAGAAGAGCTCCATCTTCTTGGCAGATCAAGGCTGTGGCATTTGAGGGATGGGTTTTCTGGTGTAGGTAGGGAATGACCTGAGCAAACGTGTGGAGGCAGCCCTATGCCCAGTGTTTGCCTGGAAGGGTGAAGAGTTCAGTCTGGCTGGAGCCCAGGATGTTTGGAGTGGGTGTTGCGAGGCAGCTGAAAGGTGATTTAGGGACCCGAGGACTTGCATAATAATCTGCTGAATGAATACAACACACTCCAGTTTCCTAAGTTCTTCGCAGACATTCTCTCATTTGATTTCTGAGGCAAGACTGTGGGATTTGGGGCTGGGCTGGCTCTCCAGTGGAAAGGATTCCCTAGAACCACAAGACTGATGGTTCCTGGAGCCAGGCTGGCTCCTGCATGTTCAGGACTGATGGTTCCTGGAGCCAGGCTGGCTCCTGCATGTTCAGGACTGATGGTTCCTGGAGCCAGGCTGGCTCCTGCATGTTCAGGACTGATGGTTCCTGGAGCCAGGCTGGCTCCTGCATGTTCAGGACTGATGGTTCCTGGAGCCAGGCTGGCTCCTGCATGTTCAGGACTGATGGTTCCTGGAGCCAGGCTGGCTCCTGCATGTTCAGGACTGATGGTTCCTGGAGCCAGGCTGGCTCCTGCATGTTCAGGACTGATGGTTCCTGGAGCCAGGCTGGCTCCTGCATGTTCAGGACTGATGGTTCCTGGAGCCAGGCTGGCTCCTGCATGTTCAGGACTGATGGTTCCTGGAGCCTAGGGGCTGCCATAACAAGGGATGGCACACTTCCTTGTTGTTGTTGTTGTTGAGACAGAGTCTTGCTCTTGTCGCCCAGGCTGGAGTGCAATGGCACGATCTTGGCTCACTGCAACCTCTGCCTCTCGGGTTCAAGTGATTCTCCTGCCTCAGCCTCCGGAGTAGCTGGGACTACAGGCGTGCAACACCACACCCAGCTAATTTTTGTATTTTTAGTAGAGACGGGGTTTTACCATGTTGACCAGGCTGGTCTCGATCCCCTGACCTCAAGTAATCCACCTGCCTCGGCCTCCCAAAGTGCTGGGATTACAGGCATGAGCCACTGCACCCGGCCATGGGATGGCACACTTCTGATGTCTGAAACTGAGGTGACAGCAGGGCCATGCTCCGTCTGAAGACTCTAAGGAACAATCCTTCCCTGCCTCCTCCCACTTCCATTGCATGCTGGCAATCTATGCATTTCTTGGCTTGCAGCTGCATTGCTACAGTCTCTGCCTCGGTCATCACATGAATTTTTTTTCCTCCTCTGTGGCTGTCTCTGTATGTCCTCTTCTCTTCTTTTAAGGACACCTCATATTGGATTTAGGACCCACCCTCAACCAGAATGACCTCATCTTAACTACAGTGGATCCTCATTCTTCATGAATTCCATATTTGCTATTTACCTCCTCACTAAAATTTATTTGTTAAGCTCGAAATCAATACATGTGGTCATCTGCAGATATACACAGAGCAGTGGAAAATGTGGGTTGCCCACTGTGCATGTTCCCAACTGAGGTCCAGTAAGGTGGTGCTCTGCTTTCTTGGTTCACCTCTCTCAAAAACAAGTGCCTTTCTTGCACTTTATTTAGTGCTGTGTTTTTCGCATGTTTGTACTTTCTGTTGGTGAATTCGCTGTTTGAAATGACCCCGAAGTGTAGCGCTAAAGTGCTGTCTAGTGTTCCTATGTGCGAGAAGGCTGCGATGTGCCTTATGGAGAATATACGTGTTAGAGAAGCTTTGTCCAGGTACGAGTTATAGCGCAGTCGGCTTTGAGTTCAATGAATGAATCAACAATATATATTAAATAAGATGTCCTCAAGTGGAAGCACGCAAAAAAATGCACATGGGGCCAGGAGTGGTGGCTCATGCCTGTAATCTCAGCACTTCGGGAGGCTGAGGAGGGCAGATCACCTGAGGTCAGGAGTTCGAGACCAGCCTGGCCAACATGGTAAAACCCTGACTCTACTAAAAATACAGAAATTAGCCAGGTGTGGTGGCAGGTGGCCTGTAATCCCAGCTACTCCGGAGGCTGAGGCAGGAGAATTGCTTGAACCCGGGAGGCAGAGGTTGCAGTGAGCCAAGATGGTGCCACTGCACTCCAGCCTGGACAACAGAGCTAGATTCCGCCTCAAAAAAAAAACAAAAACAAAAACAAAAAAACAAAACAAAAAAAAAAAAACAACGCATGATTGGTTAGAGAAAACACTGTGACCAGAGGCTTGAAGGAAGTTAACTCTGTTTCACCTAGGAGAAGTGGTTTAGAATTCTCTAACTCAGTGTTTGCGGTGACTTCATAGAGCATAACTACTATAATAACAAAAACAGACTGAAATCACATTTCCAAAGGCCCTGAAATAGGATAAGTTCCCATTCTGAGGTTCCAGATGGTCATGAATTTTGGGGGGACATTATTCAACCCAGTCTAGACTCCAATTTTAGGCTCTGTCTCCGTTACACCAGTAATTTTCTGAACTGGCCAATCATCCAAGTCTCCCTGGGACCTTGTTAAGAATGCAGAGTTTTAGGGCTCACACCCAAGATTATAATTCAATCAGTTCGGAAAATGCAATTGAAATCTACATTTTCACAAAACCCTGGTCAGTGTGATGACTGCTACTCCAGCCTGGGGACCCCTAGATGTCACTTACTCCTCTCTGGACTTCAGTGTCTCTTTCTGTTTCCAATTCCTGCAAGAGAAGGACACAGGAACAACCCTCTCTCCTGGGGACTCTTGGGGCTCAGCCTCACCCACTGAGTTTATGATGAGGAGGAGATTCTAACAGTCCTTTGGACCCCACTTCAGTCATAAATGGACATAAAATTATGAGCTCAAGGATCTCAAGCCTCCCAAGCCAGTCCTGCTATCTCCGGACAGTTGATGGCCTCGTTTTTGCCAGGGTAGGTTCTATAGGAAGTGTAACCTGTGCTGAATTCCTCCAGGGGAATCTTGGGTGCCAACCATGAGAAACGCAGCAGCAAGTGCTCCAGCTCTGTGACAGGGATCCGGTGTACCAGTCTCAACTGAGCAAGCCCCTAGCTCTTGCTGAACTGGCGTTTATTTCTGTAATATGAACATATTGATACTAGCTGTCACAGAGGGTTTTGTGAGGATTAAATTAGAAAATGCCATAAAATCTCCTTGGCAGCATCATGAGCTTGGGATAAAGGTTAAGCACTGGCAGCAGTACCATATTCTTAAATATCTGTATCTTCACATTGCTCTATTTTTTTCCCAATGTACTTTTGTGTTTATTTTCTCATTTGGTTCTCTTGGGAACCCTATGAAACAGGCAAGTTGGCATTTTCTTATCTGAATACCACCTCTTCCCCGCATTTTAACTTTCTGGATTCATTTCCTGAAACCAAAAGAATTTGTAAAAAAGAAAGACCTCTGGAGGAATCAAAGGAGATTGCAACTAATTCACAAATGCCCCTTCTTGCTTAGAAACTCTTGACTCTCACTTTACACCCAATTTTAACAAGAACTGTTTCATGTTAAAAGTAATTAGAAGTGGTTCCTTAGAGATGAATTGGTGTTAGGTGAAGGTTCCTCAATGACAGCAGCAAGGAAGGACAACTGAATATGGAGGCAGGGGAGAGGGAGATCATGCTTCAAAAATAAGACAAAGTGACTCAAGAATGACTATGGGGCTTTTTTGTTTAAGGGTATGGAGTTTCAGGCTTGTGAATGACCACAAGGACCTCACTGCACAGTCACTTTTTGGAAGATGAGAACTTTGGAAATGGTGTAATTTTGGGAAGAGCATATGCCTTCAGTTAGGCTTACCTGGGATTGAACCCCACCCCTTCAGTGTCTTCAATACCAGCCCTGTGATCTTAGACAAGTTAATCAACTTCACCAGAGCCTTTGTTTCTGCATCTGTACAATGGGAGAATAGTACCCATGAGGCAGAGTTAGATGATTGGAGGTAATGATGTTTGCAAAGCATCTATCACAGTGCCTGGCACTAGCATTTTACAATGACATATTACATTAATATAATATTCAACAATTTCCAAAGCATTTCCACACATGCTGTCTCATTTGATCCTCACAATAATCTTGTATCCATCCATCCACCCATCCATCTGTCTGTCCGTCCGTCCATCAGTCCATCTGTTCATCCATCCATCCATCCATCCATCTATCCATCCATCCATCCATCTGTTCATCCTTTTATCTATCCTGTGATTGGCACTGTCTAGTAATGCAGTTGTGAACAAAACACACAGTAAACCCCCACCCTTGAGAACTTAGCAACTGGTAGGAGAGACAGACCACAGACAGGTGAGGAATCAATTTAATAGTTATATGTAAGGTGCAAATTTTGTAACAGAACTAAACAGAATGCTGAGAGAGGGAAAGAGATAATGAATGGGGAAACCCTAGTGAGAGAAAGTAGGCACAGATGGCCTGGCCAAGAGGATCATATTTAAGCCAAAATCAAGAAGGGGCAGCCTTCTTGATTGCAAAATCAAGAAGGGGCAGCCTTCTTGATTGCAAAATCAAGAAGGGGCAGCCTTCTTGATTGCAAAATCAAGAAAAGGCAGCCTTCTTGATTGCAAAATCAAGAAAAGGGCATTTTAGGTAAAGGAAACATATCCAAAGGCCCTCCAGTGGAGAAGCTTGGATTATTGTATTCATTCATCACCCAGCTACTTAGAATCACTAAGGCATAGCTAGTCTGTGAGGCTTTTCTTTTCTTTTGTATCTGAGGAACCCAAGAAGTTACATGTGAGCTCAAGGTCATGGGCCAGGAAATAGACCACTCAGTACTTGAGCCCTGGCTATTGTTCCCTAGACAGGCCACTGCAGGAGATCAGGAGTGGCCTCTGAAGGCATCAAGATGCCTTCTATAATATTATAAGAGATTTCCATCGTTTGGCTAGAAAAAGATGAATTGGGGCATCTGTTGAGGATAAAAGATATCGTTGTCTGGTGTATTACCTGAAGGGTATAAATGTCCCCCTCCTGATCTCTCCCTGGTATATGATGTGTTGCTTTACAATTATCCCCTTGCGCATGCGGGAGAAGCTGAGGCCAGGAGAGACAAAGAAACTTGGCCCCATCACGTGGAGGGTTTCAGATGGGGTCCAACCCTGGCTTCCGGCTGCTTTTCTAGGATTGCCTCCTCCACTGATCAAGCGACAGCTTACCTGCCCCCTTCATGAGAATCCCAGAAGGCCAGCCCCAGTTGCCTCCTGTCTCCAACCAGTGTGGCTTTTATCACATGTTCCTTTGTTGGTTTTCCAACCCAGACCAAACCAGGTCACTTAGGTGTTAGTATGACAAAGTACAATGGCCTGCATTCGTGTCCTTTCTTCCAAGAACGATGCAACCAGGATTATTGATAAGCCAGGCTGCCTGTTGATCTTTGCTGATGCTAGTCATCCTGTGGTTTCTGACTTTTCACCAAAGTTGTCCAGAATGATTTGTGGTTTGGCCATTAATCTGTAACCAAGTATTTCCCTGCTGATTTGAAGAAAGCAATGAAACCTACTGTCTGTGCAAAGGGCTAACAGTAAAGCAACACATCAGTACATCACTTACTTGGCCAACATGCGGATGTCAGCTGCTCACAGGAGCCTTTCCTAGTGTTTCCAGGGACCCTGCTTCTTTCCGAGAAGGGAGCCTTCAGGGACAAAGATGTAGGAAAGGAACAGTGGTAATGACCCCCATCTGTTTTAGTCTAACTTAGCTCTTGCAGCAGATGAATGCCAAATTTTGTGTGTCCCTGACATGCCCGGCTGTGTTCCAAGGCAAGAGAGCAATGATGTCCTGACTTGTGGCCCAGTGGCGCATCCACAGGCTTGGCATGCCTTGGTCAAGCCATTGCACCTCTGTCAAAGCGGTTGCCCTAGGCCCATCACTGCAGACCCCAGATCCCCCGCCTCCTTTCTGACCAGAGATCAGGGGGATGTGTAACTCTGACATCAACTCTGATTGGATCTGTACCCAGATCAATGGTGATTGTGGCTGTGGGTGAACGAGGTACTCCTGGGATGAAACTTTGGGCTCCTGGCCTCGCCTGCTCACAGGGGTTTCAGAGGCTGCCCTGCAGGGATCATTCTTCAGAGCTGCTCGGAGTTGAGCTTCGGACTCAGACAAACCTAGGGTGCTCTCTCTACCACGTGATGGTGAGTGAGTTACCCCTCCTTCTGGTGTCTCAGTTTCCTCATCTGCAAAATGGGAAACTTGCGGCACTCATTGCTCAAGGCTTCTGTAAGGATGAAATGAAATAACATACCCATTAGCTGGTATAGTAAGTTGTAAGCAAATACCAGTGAAGAGTCTTATTTAGGCTGGGCACGGTGGCTCACGCCTGTAATCCCAGCACTTTAGGAGGCCGAGACGGGCGGATCATGAGGTCAGGAGATCGAGACTATCCTGGATAACATGGTGAAACCCCGTCTCTACTAAAAATACAAAAAAATTAGCCAGGCGTGGTGGTGGGCACCTGTAGTCCCAGCTACTCGGGAGGCTGAGGCAGGAGAATGGCATGAACCCAGGAGGCGGAGCTTGCAGTGAGCTGAGATTGCGCCACTGCACTCCAGCCTGGGCGACAGAGTGAGACTCCACCTCAAAAAAAAAAAAAGAGTCTTATTTAAGGGTCGATTTTCCCAGCCCCTGGCTCCTGGCCACTGGCTTTGAAAGGGGTGATGAATGAGGGAGAGTTGGCTTGGCCTTGCTGCTGTCCAGCAGCCCATGGCCCTGGAGACATGGAGCCACCCAGAGGACACACAGGAGCTGAACCCACAGCAGTGGCTATTGACTCAGTTCAAGATGCCGTATAACTGCCCCAAGTCCATGATCACAGCAACTCTCTAGCAGATTCTGTGGATGCCTCATCCTCCATCCCCTTGGCCCATCTGAGCTGACTTGAAGTTGCAGATAGCTCCTGGTAGGCAGACAGCATCCACCCAACACTGTCTTCCTCTTTGTCTTTCTTCTTTTCTTGGGCACCAAGGGAGCTTGCTTGGGTTAAATGCGTGTGTGCACCCCGGCAGTGTGTGTGTGTGTGTGTGTGTGTGCGCGCGCGTGCATGCACGCACACATGCATACACATGCATGCATGCCTGCGTATGCTTCAGCCAATGGGGATCAGAGTCAGTGGCTAAATGGTCCAGCCTCTCCATCCTCCAGGACATGATTCTGAAGTGTCTTTCACACAGTTCCACCGAGTCCCAGTGGGATCAAGCCCCAGTTGCTCACGGCAGTACCAGATCATGGACAGACCTAATATGGCTTTCCTCCCTTCATTGTCTCGGTTTCTCCCTGCCTTGCTTGTGCTTCCTGGGATCACCTCCCAAATAAACCATCTGCATCCAACTAGGGTCTGTTCTTAGAGGAACTTAAGACAGCCCTGAAAGTCCTGCCCCAAGTTTCTGGGACCAGGTGTCCCCTGGAGCCTCAGCTAAGGGCTTCACCCTGGCCCTTCTGTGGGCTGGCTGTGCCAGAAGACAGATATTATGTCAGCCTCCTTCTAACGGGCACTCAGCACCTCATCCCTCCACACTGTGTACCATGATTGGGCCTCTTGCTCCAAAACTGTCCCCTACCCATGCACAGCAAGGCCACTCTGTGACCTGGCTGAACCCTCAGGGTTGGTGCACAGGTCAGCAGACACCTGGTGGGAAGGTGATACTTCTGCTCCTCTCACCAGAGGAGAGAGGGCAAAGGCCGGAGATGCCTTTCTGTGTACAGACTCGTGGATAGACGGATGTCTTCAGAAGCCTGAATTCCTGGGTTTTTAAAGGACTATGTGAAGCATGGCCTACATGAAGCATTTTGAAGTACGCAGAGCTACTCTCAGCCCGACAGCCTCTTTCTTATGCCTCCATCTAGCAGTGTTCAGGTGTCATGTTACTCAGAGGGGGGTGGTGGAGTGAAATTGGGACATGTGGAGCTAAGAAGGCGTCACATTGGAGGGCTTCTCAGAGACAGACAACACCTGTGGCTCCGGCTGCCACTCCCAAGTCCACTCTCATGATCAACACAGCCCATTGATTCCCCCTTTTCCCCTCTGGGTCCCATTGTCACTTTAGGGTCTCCTTGGACAATGAATGGGAGGGCAAGGCCAGGAAGAGGCGGGCAGAGCTCTGGGGAGACAGGGATGAACAAGACAGACATGTTTCCTGCTCTGGGGCAGCTTGCAGACTAATGAGAGTAGATAAAAATGAACACACATGCAAGATCATTTCAGGTCGTGTTGGGTCCCATGAAGAAAATAAACCAGAGTAATGTGAGAGAAAGTGATGAGTGAGGGAAAGAGTACTTTAAGTAAGCAGGCCAAGAGAGATCAATCCGAGGGGGTGACTTTGGGCTGTGGCCAGTGTGACCTGGTGGAGTCAGCCAGGTAAAGATCTTGAACGGTGTTCCAGGCGAGAGGCATAACAAAGGCAGAGGCCTTGAGGTTGGAGGCTTGGGGTGTTCCAGAGCTAGAGAGTAGGACAAATGGGGACAAGGGGTGAAGGTCATAGCAAGAAATGAGATCAGGAAGAACAGCAGGCCAGGTGACCACGGGCCATGAGGACGAGCTGCATAATTCCATCAAAGGACACAGAGAAGTCACTGGGGGAATTTGCAGCAGCGGAATTATATGACCGTATTTGTGTTATTTACCTTTTTCATGATTAAGAGTTGAGGTATAAAATACATTCAGGAAGTGTGTAAGTGCACACATCTTAGTGAGCATGCAATAAATTTCCATCATATGTGCACTTGTGTTGCCTTAGGGTCAAAATCCAGGATATTTCTAGCACCCCAGAGATTAGTGTTTCTAAAAGATCCCTCTGGCTGCTCCATGGAGAAAGCATTGCAGGGGGCCGAGAGTTGAAACAGGGACACCAGTTAGAGGCAAAGTTTGGTCATCTAGGCTTAAATTAGGGCAGATGCAGGGATACAAGGGACTTTCAAGACTTTTTTGCTGATAAAGCCAAGAAGAGTTGCTGATGGGCAGACAAAGATGACTAAGAGCAAGAGGATTAGAGAAGACAATCAGATTCATTTGGCTTCAAGAATTAGGTGGGCTCGTGCACTGTTGTTAGGAATGTAAATTAGTACAGGCATTAGAGAAAACGGAAGGCTCCTTAGAAAACTAAAAGGAGAACTGATCCAGCAATTGCACTTCCGAGTTGATACGGTTCGGCTGTGTACCCACCCAATCTCATCTTGAATTATTGCTCCTCTAATTCCCACCTGTTGTGGAAGGGCCCCAGTGGGAGATGACTGCATCATGGGGGCTGTTTCCCCCATACTGTTCTGGTGGTAGTGAATAAGTCTCACGAGATCTGATGGTTTGATAAGGGGTTTCCCTTTCACTTGACTCTCATTCTCTCTTGTCTGTCACCATGTAAGATGTGCCTATCACCTTCCGCCATGATTGTGAGGCCTCCCCAGACACGTGGAACTGTGAGTTCGTGAAATCTCTTTTTCTTTATAAATGACCCAGTCTCAGGTATGCCTTCATCAGCAGCAGGAAAACGGACTAATACATAAGTATATGTCCAAAGGACGGGAAATCAATATGTTGAAGGGATATCTGCACTCCCGTGGTCACTGCAGCTCTAACCACAGTAGCCAAGATATGGAAGCAACCTAAGTCTTCATCAATAAATGAATGCATAGAGAAAATGTGGCATATTTGCAGTGAAATACTATTCAGCCTTAAAAAAGAAGGAATCTCTGTCATTTGCAATAATATGGATGAAATTAGAGCACATGCCAAATAAAATAAGCCAGGCCCAGAAAGACAAATACTGCATGATCTCAGTTACATATGGCGTCTGAAACAGTTGAACTCATAGAAACAGAGTAGACTGGTGGTTTCCAGAGGCTGGAATGTGAGGAGATTGGGAAGATGTTGGGCAAAGGATACAGAGTTTCAGTAAGACAGGAGGAATAAGTTCAAGAGATCCATTGAATATAACATGATGGATAGTGGTGACTGCAGTTAATAACAATATATTGTATACTTGAAAATTGCTAAGAGAGTAGATTTTAAGTGTTGTCACCACGAAAACAAAAGATGTGAGGTAATGAGTATGTTAAATAGCTTGATTTAATTATTCTACCATGTATGCATATATGAAAACATCATGTTGTATACCATAAATATGTATAATTTTACTTGTCTATTAAAAATAATTGTAATTAAAAATGATACAGCAAACTATGGAAAACAGTTTGGCAGTTCCCCAAAAGACTTAAAAAAGAAAGGAATGGGCCAGGCATGGTGACTCACACTTGTCATCTAAGCACTTTTGAAGGCCGAGGCAGGAGGATCGCTTGAACCCAGGAGTTCAAGACCATCTTGGGCTACATAGTAAGACACTGTCTCTACAAAATATTTAAAAATTAGGGCATAGTGGCACATACCTGTAGTCCCAGCAACTTGGCTTAGGTGGGAGGATCACTTGAACCCAGGAGGTTGAGGCTGCAGTGAGCCGTGATCATATCACTGTACTCCAGCCTAAATGACAGAGAGAGACTCTGTCTCAAACAAAACAAAACAAAACAAAACAAAACAGAAAAAAAATAATAAAATAAAAGAACAAGGTGAATTGTAGGGCCATGAGGCAGATAGAGGAAGGAATGCGTTGGGGTCAGATGCAATAGCTTAGGTGGTTAAGGTAGGTAGTCCCTCGAACTGGCTAATGCAGGAGTGCCTCTGGCCACCCTCTGCCTCCCCCTGACCCCAGAGCAGAGTCCCCAGGAGATGAGCCCCAAGATGGTGGGATCTGACAACAGAAGTCCCTGATGGCCTTTAGGACATAAGAACACAGCCCCTGGCTAGCCTGATGGCATCAGCAGAGGTGGGGAGGACGGCTTTGAGTGGACACTGCCTCTCTCTCGGCTGTGTCCCTTGGAAACCTGGGTCACTGGAAGGAGAGGTGGTGGGCGGGAAGGAACGTCTGCTTGTCACCCATGAGCCATCTGCTCACTAATGCAAACAGCCCTGTTTGTCAGGTGAGGCAAGGAAAAATGACTGGGGCAGCCCCACCGCGTAGCCCAGGGAGAGGGGTCTCTGGACCCATGAGGTAATCCTGCCGATGATGTATGGCCCGGAGAAGAGTTGGGTTAATGATCTTCCACGGGACCCGGGAGTAAAACACAGTAATTTCATAATACAGCCTGTGATGGATTAAGGCGTGTTAATACCAGGAGTATACATTAAGGGAAATGATCTCACTGGCATACTAAATGGCAAAATAAAAGCACTTTTAGAAACTTCCATGATTAATTAGTCTGCCCTTTTAGTTCTGTACCATGATAAAGTAAAGCTCACTTCTCCTGGTCACCTCCCAGGCAATTCCTCTAAAGCTCCCTGGCCCTCCCACACCCCCGAGGAGGCCAGCCTGGGGTGAGAGCTCAGACCTGCAGGCTGGGACATAGCCTCACATCCTCTGCCTTGGATGCAAGTCATCATCATCATCATCTTCATCATCCCCATTAGGAGAAGTTACCAAGCTCTTAGTGTGTTGATCCACCTGAAACTGCCAGTGTTTGATTATTTGAGATTGATTTGAGATTCCACAGAGATCGCAGTTCAACCTAATCACATGGTTTGGTTTATACTGTGGGTGAAGCTCTTTGCAAAGGAGAGGCATGCAGAGCTGAGAAATGTGGACTCTGCTGTCATGCTGTCTAGTGTGGACCTCAGCTCCTCTACCTGCCAGCTGCGCAATCTTGGGCAAGGTATAGAACCTCTTTATGCCTCAGTTTTCTCTACAAAATGGGGATAATATGAAAACTACCCCATGTGGCTATGGAGATACAAGGAGGTGATTTATTTAACACGAGTTCATATGGTATTTACTGCATAGCAGGCACTGCAAATGCATGCCCAGGACTTTCAGCAGCCCTGCCACATAGTAAGTGCCCAGTCAATGTTAGCTACTGATATGCTGGCTCTGTCAATACCACTCAGCTGCCCAGAGAGGCAGTAATCATTGACATCCCCATTTCACAGGTAGGAAAAGCTGAGGCACAGAGTTCATGGGTTGCTGAAGCTCCTATTAAAGGGCAAGGTCAGAATTAGATCCAGACAGGCTGACCTATGAGTCTTTCATCAGTGTGCTTCCCGAACACCCTTGTCCCCAGCTCCCTCTCCTTGGGAGGAAATGTCTGCTTTAGTTCTTCTCAGAGGTGGCAACTCTATAACCTGAGTCAGGAAGAGCCTCTGAGCTTGCATTGAGGCATTTCCCATCTGGATGCTGCTTTTGTTGTTGGAAGAGCCTCCTGGAAGCCAGATCCACACCATTGAGGATCCCCATATTGGAGACAGCTGCCAGAGATCCAGAGTAAAGGCTCAACAACGCCACTTACTCACTGGGATACTCCGGGTGAGCCGCCTGCCTTAGTCTCCTCACCCTCCAGGGTCATGGTGAGACATTAAAAAGACAAGGCAAGAGGAGGCTTTGCAGCCTTCACAGTAAAGAACAGATGTGAGGTGGGATTAACGATCCCTGCTGACAGGCCAATGGGGAGCCTTCCCCACAGTCTTGCTGCCCGCCCTCTGCTGCAGGAGCACTAAGGAAAGTTCTTTCCTGAGCAGCGGCGGCCATGGCAAGCAGCTGGCTTCCAGCCAAGCCTACCTTCCATCTGGCTCTTCCCAGGCTCCCAGTCTACCTGGCTGGCATCCACAGGAGTCTTCATGCAGATTGCTTCACCTGCTGAGATGCCAATAACTGATGGCTCATCAGACAGCTCCCCTGTGTCACCCTGGAAACTTCCTGCATCTTATAGACCTCATTAGCCTCCTTCTTAATCATTCATCCCTTTAACAATGACTGGGTGTCCACTCCTGCTTGGGCCAGCTGGGGTGCATCAAGAATACAACAGAACAGTTCCTGGCCCTTGTGGAGCTTATATTCAAGTGGCAGTAGGCAGATACTGGCCACCCATTTCAGGGCTTATTGAGAGAAGATAGGAACAGAATTCTATCTCCAGAGAATATCCAGGGCAAGCATGGTAAACTCCTACACTTCCCACGTCTGGGCAAGGAGCATCAGTGGATGCAGCAGGTCAGATGGGATGCAAAAGGGAGTGGTGAAGACTGCAGTGCTCTGAGATCACGTTTCTGTCTACAGGAGGTGGCTATTGCTCAACTCCAGCCAATGGCTGCCACGTGGGAATGTAGGCCCAGTGGTCCTATCTAGAGAATTTGGAAATCCTGATATGTTTCTGGAAATTTTCTGATTTTTAAATATTAGCAATTAATTCAAAAATGTTTTAACATCATTGAGTTAAGTGAAACCCATCTGCTCACCAGATCTGGACCACACCCTGGCAGTCAGTAACATCTGGTTCAGGGCATCGTTGTGCACCACTGTTGATTGACTGGGCCCTTTGCTTGTGTACAGCACTCTACAGTGTGTACAACACTTTCCCAGAGAAGACCTCATTTTGTGCTCGTAACAGCCTGGGGAGGAACAGTGTCACCAGGTGTCCCTTCAGTGAACGTGATCTGAGACCAGACATGCACCAGTCATTCTACTAGGCAAGGGTATATTTGGCAAATGATACATCAGAGGAGTTGAGCGACTCAAATGTGCTGTGACCAGCAGGGAATTCTTTCCGGTATTGAAAAGAGTTTCTCTCTTATCTCTGCAAGACCCAAACATAAATCCTGTAGCTGCCGCTGAGATTGAGAGGCCCAGAGCTTGACTCCCTGGGTTCACTCCTAGCTGTAGTGTTCTGTCATGAGCATGCAAAGTGGCAACGATAATAGCAACAGGACCTACGTCATAGGGCTGTTATGAGGATACACCACAACGATGCACTTAAGTGCTTCCTTCAGTGTCAGCACTCAGTGAGTATTGCCATTCTCGTGGGGGATTTTACATTTTTGGAAATGGTGTTAATTGGAAATTTTAATGATATGAGCCAATGCCTATTATGCAATGTTAAATTTTTAAAAAGCAGGCACCAGATAGGCTAACTTTATTTTTGTATTCATAGGCCAAATGCTGGAAAGAAGCAGAAAGGGAGATGCATAAAAACAGGAGTAATTTGAGGTACTAGGATTCTGGCTGATTTTAATTTTCTACATTATAACTTTCTAAGTTTTCTATAGTAAGCATGTGTTGATTTGAAATCAGTGCAGGATAATTTATTTTTTAAAATTAGGTTCCCAGTCTTCCGGAAAACAAAAAAATTCAGCTTTAACCTTTCCCTCCCTACCCGGCCAACTGCTTTCCAGAGAGCCCCCTACTGTCAGAAGTCCCACTCTGTCTTGCATTCCCAAGGCCATCTGAAGGGTAGGTTCCTGGGCACCATTCTCTCTGCAATCCCTGAGGAGACGGGTCCCATGACTTTCTGACCCAGTCCCCAAACCAGAACATACACAATCCAGTCCCAAACCCAATCACCCTTGCTTGCCAGTAGGTCCCACCAGGGCAGGGGTCTGTCAGAAGAAGTCATCCTGCCCCACCCTCCACAAGCCAGAAGACAGAGGAGCCCGTTGCAGATTCATCCTTCCCACTGCCCAGGGCAGAGGCACCAGAATTGGCCTGTTAACATTAACGTCTCAGAAAGTCCTTAGATTATTTGCTGGCATAGACTGAGTACTATACAGTTTGATTATTTATTTCCTACTTTTTACAAAGCTCCTAGGAGTGCCAAAAAAAAGGAAAGGAGAAAACCAGGAGCAACCTGTCTCTTTTTCTACGTGCATGTGCACTAATGAATGAATGAACGGATGAATGAGTGATGCAGGCTGCTGTGGAATCTTTGCCTTTGCTGTGAGACCATGGGCTCCTGAAAGCGAATTCATTTCCTCTAAATCACATACCTGTTGGGTGGGGGGACGGGGGAGGGATAGCATTAGGAGATATACCTAATGCTAAATGACGAGTTAACGGGTGCAGCACACCAGCATGGCACATGTATACATGTAACTAACCTGCACATTGTGCACATGTACCCTAAAACTTAAAGTATAATAATAATAAAATTAAATTTAAAAAAAGAGGAAAAAAAAAGAAAAATAAATCCACCGTCTGAATGTGCTTCTTTTAAAAATATGGAAGATGTGCAGATTGTACAGACAGACAAATATAGCTTTTAAGAGTATAAAGTTCTGGCCTAAAATTACATTTAATCATTGTTACCTTTTAGACTTTGTAGGAAATAACAGTACAGAAGTGTGGCTTTCAAATTAGCATTTGAAAGTGTCTGTGAGGTAGGTGAGGGTTTTCACAAACTTTTTTTATTTTTCCTGAGCCTTGAACCGCATGCCAAAAACCATGGGGTTTTCAGCCTAAAATTGTATGACATTTATTTGCAATAAAAAAATTAGGTTGATCAGTTATTATTCAAAGTCATTGGTTAGACTTTGAATACAAATTTTCCACCCACCCACCCCAAATTTATTTTTTTATAAAGGGCAGGTAAATTTTGAGCTCCACTCCTCGTCTTGACCTATCATTGGTGCTGAGGCCCAAGAAGAAATGCAAAATACGATGGAAGAGTCATTCACCTCATTATAGGACAACATCAGTGGTGCTTCCTTAGCCTCTTAATTCATTTCTTCTAGTCTTTCTTGTCACATCCACTTGCTTTATAGCTTACTAACTTGCAAGTTATAGTTGTAATTTATGGTCAAAATTGAGTGGTAGCAAATCAAAGAATATTTCCATTGATTACCCTAAATTGTCTAATCTCCTGTATGTTTTTAGAACTTGATTGGGTGGTATTTACTGATTGCCTTCATCTGATTTAAAAATCAATCAATAGCAACAATGAGTGCTGGGGGATAAATTGAGTCTAATGCAGCCTAACCGCGGCAAATATCCATCAGCCAGCTACGCACAATCACATCTGCGGGCAGTTTTAATACATAAACCAAAACGGCCTGGAGCTGGGCGTCCTGGGCAGATGCTCTGAAAATTTCTGCTGGCGTCTCATGCCTCTTGCGTTGTCTATTTAGGGTGATTGCCCTCTGTTAAAATGAACATATTTCACTACAATAAAGCTGTAGCAAGGGAGATAAAAACGAGATCTGATTGCATTTCAAGTCTTGCTAGTCCATCTTGTTCTCCCACACCCTCTGAGGATATTACTGGGAATTAACATAACTCCAGCCTTTTCTTGTTAACTGCACTATCCCAGAGAGAAACACTCATGTGCTCGTGCGTTAATTCATCCCTTCGACACTCATGCACATCTGTTTTTATTTTCTTCCAGTGTTTTCTGAGCATTTTCTATGGGACAGTCACGGTGCAGGGCATTTTGATCTGTTACAGCATTTAGTACTTACACAAAACCATGGGAGGGGGTGAGTTCCGTAGTATAGATGAGCAACTGAGGCTCCAGTGAATTCAGCAGCTGGCCCAAGATCGTGTGGTCAGGTAAGTGAGAAAGCTGGGTCTTTGGGCTATACACCTAACCATGTCCTAAATGCAGGACATCCTGGAGAATGAAAAGGGGACCAAGTCCAAGTCCTCTGAGGAACTTAAATCTAGTTGGTAGCCAAGCCTGTACATAATTCACAATAGGACAAAGTGGGATGAAATTGTGCTGCAATTGTCATGTGAGTCACCAGTCATGGGGCAATAAGGAGGCAGAAAGAGTAAATTGTAACTCAGGGACTGAAGAGTTGGAAATATCATATTATGGTTTTTTGGACTGTCTAGAGATGGCTGGGCCCTAGTTAAAAAAAAAAATCAGGCTGTCCAGCAAGGGCAGATGAAGCATAATTTTTCCATGTGTTTATCTGTGTTGATGTGCAAAGTGGCTGAGCCCCCTTTGACCCCTAGGCCTGGGAATTTGTTCTGGTTCCCCCGCCACACTCATCCACCCCTGGGGAAACCTGGGAGGTCTGTGTGCTCGACCTGTTCTTTATAATAGTGAACACCTTTAACCACGGGACTCTGGAGGGAAGCCCTCTGATGTTACAATAAACTTTAGAGGGGTTTTGAAGACAGGAATTAGGAAGACTCTCACCTACCCATTCTTTAATTGAGAAATGCCACTTGACCTCACTGGAAGTCTTTATATATAAGTACAAGCAAATACATCAAAATGCTCAATTTTACCCTAAGTAAAAGCTTACCCATACTTGGAGAGAATTCCAGGTAATGCTCATCTGCCTCGGAATCAGAGTCAAACTAATTTCCCAAGAAAATGACAAGTCCTTGAGAACTAGGGCAGCACTGGGCAGAATGTGCATGGGATTAGACCTGCCGCCTCCACGAGAGCCACTTCCCAGGCCTACAAAGCTGCTCCAGCCAGCTGGTGAACATCAGCTTATCAGGCCCAAGAGAATGGCTTCATATGCATTAACATTAGATACCAAATGGGACAGCCCCACAAGCCAGGAGCTGTTCTGTGTTGTAGTTCAAAGAGGATCAGTGACTTTGCAAGTGAAAAACCTGACCTAACTTAAGGAATGATTCATGGATCTTGGAATTGGTAGAAACTTCCACAGGCGTCCACCCTATTCCATTAGATTGTTAGAGATCTCAGAACATCACATCACCTTTTCTTCTTCAAAAATATGGTTAGACCCTTATCACAGGGCTGTAAACCTCAGCAGGGCCATGGTTCCCACCTTGTTCCTTGAGACACTCAATATGTCTTTTTGAATGAGTTATTGAACATTTTCCCACCACCAGGCTCTGTTTTATAGACACATTGATGATTGGCCACGCTTTTCCTGGTACCCTCAGTGGCAGGGATTGGATACTTGGAATTCACTCTTTCCTTTATACTTGCCTGGTACTGTCTGCTTCTTTCCCTGTTAAGTCCCCTTGGCTGAGACTGCTGGTTGTCTGCAATATATCTTCTCTCTCTTCTTCTGTAGTAAGAAAAACCTTACATTTTAGCTGGGCATAGAATAAAGTGTACATTTACCAGCCTCCCTTGCAGGTAATTGTGGCCAGGTGAGTAAATTTAGTTTATAAGACAGAGGTGAAATTTTGCAGCTTTCTCTGAGTCTTCTTTTAAAATGAGTTGGCATGCCACATAAAAACATGGACGTGTTTACAGCAGCTTCATTCATAATTATTGGAAACTAGAAACAACTAAGATGTTCTTGTGATGAGAATGACACTTTATCTCTGTTGTCTCCCTCCCCAAATCTGTAACTCCACTCTAATCATGAGAAAAACAGCAGAAATTTCCAGTTGAGGGACATTTTGCAAAATACCTGATCACTGCTCCTCAAAACTGTCAAGGTCATCAAAAACATGGGAAGTCTGCGAAATGGTCACAGCCAAGAGGAGACTAAGAAGACATGATAACTAATCGTAAAATTGTGTCTTGAATGAGATCCTGGCACAGAAAAAAGAACATTAGGTAAAAACTAAGGATATTTAACAAAGTATGGAGTTTAGTTAATAATAGTGTATCAATCCTGGTTTATTAATTTTGAGAAATGTACCATATGAACATAAGATGTTAATAGTAGGGGGAATTGGACTGTGGATGCTATGAGAACTCTCTGTACTATCTTCACAACTTTTCTATAAATAAAAATTTCATAATTAAAAAAAAAAGAGTTGGCCTGTACTCTGTCCCAATATCTCTTGTCTATTTCTTTGTGTTACTTCCTGGAACATTGGATCTGTTGGCCGCCATCTTGGAACATACAGACAATGCAGCCCCCACGACCCCAATGATGGTGGAGCAGTGATTGGGAAGGAAACTGGGTCCCTGGGGACTTTGTGCTGCTGAGCAGCCACACCAGGCCCGGACGGCTGACTTCCCGGCTTTTATGTAAAAGAGAGATAAAGTATGACCTTGTTGAAGTCTTGTTATTTTAGGTCTCTGTTTCTCACAGCCAAATCCAATCCTCATGGACACTGTCCTTTGCTTGTTTTTCTTTTGGACACAGGTCCCTTGGGTGGAGACACAGACTCTTCTGTGGGGATGGGGGGCTCAGGGCCTAGCCCACTTGACACTCTCCACTCAAGAGGCTATCGAGGCCCTTCTGCATGATGCACAGCGTGGAGACCACCACTCTGTGCCATTGGTGTTATGACTGTTTGGTTTTATGGGAGTCAATGGACCACAGTGCCTTAGAGAATCTGAGAGGTGATGTGTCGTCACCTGGGGAAATTGAGGCCTCAAGAGAGGAATAGACCCAGCATTTTAGAACTGGAACTAGAAGCCCATTGCCATGCCTCCTGACATCATCATCTGTCCACTGCACCAGTAGTTTCTGGATTGGTTCCAGAGAGCCCTAAGGGCTCCAGAGACACAAAATGGTGGAAAGGGAGCATGACCGGGGGTGGGTGGCCAGTTGGGCAAAGCCCAGGTTCTCAGCCTTCATATAAGGCAGAGCAGCTGACTTTGTCTATGTCATCTATGTCATATATTATACTTCTGCTAGGGTCTGATGATAAAAGTAAAAATAATATGTAAGTAACAATGTGTCAAACTCACTGCAGTTGTTATGTTGATGCTCAATGTTTATTGAGCATCTACTATGCCTGTAGAGATTGTGGAAACATCACTGTCACGCTGCCAAAAAGTCATACTAATAATACTTCTACCTGCATTATTTCATCAAATTCTCATCATGAATATGCAAGGTAGGTGTTAGTAGCCTTATTTTAAACATGGAGAAACTGAAGTTCCAAGAGGTGAAGTAACTCACCAGCTGCAACACTCAGATTTGCTTGATCCAAAGACTGTCCTAACCACTAAACCACACTGCCCTCTCTGTTGTGAGAAGTTAGGAGACCTGGGACCCTACCAATAGCTGGCTTGCCATGTAGCCCCATGCAGGATCCTTGCCTTCAGTGCCCTTCAGAGTCTATTACCACCTGTTACCAAAGGGGGTGGCATCTGATGGTCCCTCCATCAATCAGTGACCAGAGGCCCAAGAAGTCAGCTTGCAAGGAGCTTGGAGCCTTCCCTGCTGTCACCTCCTCTTCTTTTCTGCCCCAGCCACAGTCCCAGCCACCAGCACCTCTGGGTGGCACCCACCCTTCTGTCTTCCTCACAGAAGCCTGACAGAAAGGGTCACCTTCTTGCTCTGCTATAGAGTCACCATCAAGTGTGAACACTTCCAGGTTGGCGGAGGGCTGTCCATGACCAGCACATCCATCTATCTGCCATCAAGAGGCATACCCATCACTTACATGCACTCACCCCCAAGATGTTGGGGTGGGCGTCATTTTTAAAAAATTGCAATAAGGCCATTACCATCATTAGGCCCACCTGAGAGAGCCTCTCTTGATGATGGAAGAGGTTTCAACTCTCCAGCCTCCTCCGCGGCGGGTCATTAGTTAAAAGGGGAGGGTGTGTGGGGGTGCGGGGAGGGGCGCTGGGGTGGCAGGCCAGGTCTGGACCACAGGGCTCCCTTTGGAGAAAGGAGCTGGAGACAAATGATTCGAGTCTGAATTCCATATACACCGGAGATTGCTTATCGATCCACATCAGAATATGCGGGCTGGCCCCGAGGACCGGCTGAGTATTTTCCCAGGGAGTTAATAACGTGGCGGCCGAGCTGTCTTGTCCAATTCACTGAAGCCAGGCCTCTAATCAGGACCGAGTTTCTTATTTTGAGAATTCTTGCCACTTGTGAGTGCTGCCTCCCTTCCACTCTGCTGGCCCCTGTCAGTGATTGAAATGACAGCCCGTGGATGGGGAGGCTAATCAAATTGTTTATTATCGACCTAAATCAATATGTATAGATTGTCGAAACATCACTGTCACACTGCCAAAAAGTCATACTAATAATTCCCTGCCTGCAGATGTAATCCAGCAGCGATTTCTCCGACTTGAATTACATCTGAATTTAGAGGAGTGAAAACAATTATAATGGGAAGTGGGATGAGGGGGGTGCGGACGGAACCCTGTGCTAGGCAGCGTGTTTACACAACTCAGTAGAACTGCATTAGGTATTAATGATGAAATGTCACTTTGGCCTGCTTAAATATGAGTCCTCAGCTGGGAAGAGAGTCAAAGAAAACCTGCAAGAGGAAAGCAAGAGAGAAAGATCTAAGGGAAGTGCTCTCCAAGGGCCAAGGGCTGTGCTCTGCAGGGAAGGGTGGAGGGTGTGGGCTATCAAGACACAGTGATATATATTGCATAGTTGTGGGCTATATGTGGGCTATCAAGACACAGTGATATATATTGCATAGTTGTGGGCTATATGTGGGCTATCTACTGGGGAGACACAGCCATGCAGGCAACAGCAGCTGCATGAACACACTCTCCTTTTCCTTCTGGATTCAGTAAACTGGCATGGCTTTACTTCTTCCCAGAGGGGAGTTTGAGCAGGGAGACAGGGAGAATTCAAGGGACTAAACACCAGGCTAATTGAGCACCTTGAATGTGTGTGCTCTTTAGAACCAGGCCACTGCTAGCCAATGCGAAGTGAGTCTTGTTAAGAATTGGGCCAGCCGCCATGGCTCACGCCTATAATCCCAGCACTTTGGGGGGCCAAGGCAGGAGGATGGTTTGAGGCCAGGAGTTTGAGACCAGCCTGGGCAACATAGCGAGACCTGGTCTCTACAAAAAATTTAAAAATTAGCCGGGCATGGTGGTGTGCACTTCCAGTCCCAGCTACTCTGGAGGCTGAGGTGGGAGGATTGCTTGAGCTCAGGAGTTCCAGGCTGCAGTGAGATATGATTATGCCATTGCACTATAGCCTGGGCAATAGAGCAAGACCCCACCTATAAAAAAATAATAAATACATAAATAAAAATAAAAAAAGAATGTGGAAAGGTGCCTCTCCAGGTGGATGCATTAGAAGGTATCCTCTCTGGGCTGGTATAAGCACACAGATGCAAGGCCTGACCCTATGAGCTTTGTGGGGGTTGCAGTCTCCTCACCTGGAGGAGAGCACTACACAAATGGAGCACTGCCTCTAGGAGCCTGTCCACGCTGGTCCACAGGGCTTTCCCTGCATGAGCTCCTTTAATTCTCATCATGATCCCATGAGGTCGATGGTGTTATTTTCCTTGATTTCTAGATAGGGAAACTGAGGCACCACAAAGTTAGGTAATTTGTCCACAGTCATCACTACCAAGTGGCAAAGCTGGGATTTGAACTCTGGGAATTCGCTGCCAGATCCTGTTCTCTTAACCAGGACAGTCTGGGTCAGGGCTGGCTGTGGGGAAATTTGTTCAGCAGGCAATATGGAGGGTCTACCCTGGTTGGCCTTTGCCCTTGATGGCATGGTCTCCCCTTCTCTGCCTTCCTCAGCCTGCTCCCCATCTGGGAGGGTGCTGAGACGCTCACTAGACATTTAGCTATGGCTTCAGGCCAATTGTTATTAAGCATCCAATTTTCCTCTGTAAGATGGGAGGAATTGTCCCAAAGGCTGCCTCCCAGGCCTGTCAGGAGAGTTGAAGGAGATGAGATGAAACGCCATGCTTTGCAATCCCCAGAAACCACAGGACAGAAGGAGGCTCTTATGAGCATTGTGGGACCCTCCAAGGGAAAGTGAGTTCCTTCACTTGGAGGTAGGGAGAGGGCCAGTTCCAGGGCGATGGCCTCACCCACGGCCACACATGGCCCCTGCAGGCCCTGCTGCCTTGTTGATCTGTTAGAGGTTGGGATGCTCCCCAGAGCTGCCAGTGCCCATACCTGTGTGAGGTGGATGCTCATAAACTCTCCAGTCACTCTTTCAGAGTGTGCCACTTGTTTCCCACGGGAACTCATCCTCACTGGCACATGTAGCATGTCCCTTGTGCTCCAATTCCATGGTACCCAGGAATTGGTACCCAGGTATTCCAGGTAACCACGGCTGTGAGGTGTCACAGCACAGAGAATGTCCCAGGGCCAAATATGGCTGGTATATTCCACCCCCACCATTTTCCTTGAATCTGGGCCTGGTGTCCACATTCCATCTTTGCCCTGGGAGCCACTTCCAGTGCAGGCATTAGGTGGAGGCATTGGAATACATTAGGAAAGGTACCTTCATTTGTAGGTGGGATTGTAGAAGGGGCCTGATTAGGGAAAGCTCAGCCCCTGTGCTCCTTCCTCACTGTGAGTTGCAGGAATAACATCCTCCTGCTTCCTGTCTTGGCTGCCGCTTACAACTGGAAGGCTGGAGCAGACAAGCCAGGAACCCCAGTCTGAAGTTCACTGGCACATTCTGTGCATAGGCTGAGCTGTGCCACATAAAACTTATCGTGGGCTGTCCCCTGCATGGGCAGAGTTTGCACTCAACAGCAGAAAGAAACACAGGCAGATTTTCAGAATTCTTTTGGTACCCTGACAAACCTCGGCCATGACTTCTTAAGACTTCAAGTCTTAAGAAGTGACCTGCTTCTGGTTTTCCCATGCCTGGCTTGAACAGATGCTATTTGCCCAGATGCCATTTGTGTGTTTGTTTTTTTTACTGAAACATGGAAAATCACCTCTAGGCTGCCTCGCACTCCACTTCATGTGGTCCAAAGTAGCCGAAGGGCAATTTCAGACCCCAGAAAGCCCGAGTTCACTTTGCAATTTCCCAGCCTTTCAGGTTCAAGTGGGTTCTAAACTTGGCAAATGCATTTCCCCTGTCCCTAGAGGGAAAAAATAAAAACCACCAGCAAAAATACATTACACTGGGCATTATATTTCTGTGACGGAAATAACTCATTTTCATGACACACTATAATAATAGCAAATTATGGTACACAATGAATCCATTCTCATTAAAGTCTGTATGGAGAAAAGCAAAGAATACAAAATGTATACAATTGTTTAAAGGAAAAATGCCATGTAATATAAAAGATATTCTAATCGCTATTTCTAATTACAAAGAAGAGAAAATCACTAAAAAATTTTTACAGCATCTAATTACCAAAAAAAAAAAAGCCAGAACCACAAAATAACTCTCTATAAAATTAATAATGAAGGAGGACTTCAAATGACTGTAGTTTCTCAAAATTGCTCTTCCTCCAATTGAGAAATGTACAGGGAATAGTTGGCAGAACTGTGTGTGACATTGGCTTTCAAGCGGTTCTTTGTGTGAGATTAGTTGTGATTACCTCTGTGTGCCAGGTGCCCGGCTAGGAGTCTGCATGCAAAGGACCTCGTTTCATCCTCAGGCAACCCTACTTGTTAGGCTTGGCTATCCTCCTTTATCCTTGGGTAAACTGAGGATCAGAGAGATTTAGTAACTTACCCAACGTATTGGCTATCCCTACATTGTGGTCGGCCCACCACAATGCATGATATGCCTATTGTCCTATGATGATCATTACAAAGGCATCTTTTTTGTCAGGTGGGACAATACATTCTATGGTCACCCAACCATAGTCACTCAGCCAAGAGGGCTGGAAGTCAGGACTTGAATCTGGGACCTTGGCTTTAAAGGTCTAGAACTTTTGTGCTAGAGATGACTCCCTCTGAACCACATGACAATGCAGGAATACCACCTAATCCTCCTTGAGCAAGTCTTTCTATGTGACACCATCAGCTGAAGGAAGATACCTGAAATGTCCCCTTGAAGCTTTCATAACCAACCCCCAAGCTGCAGGATGTGCAGTGGAGCAGAAGGGACAAGGCCAGGAGCAGGAAGCTGGCAAGGAGGCCACTATAATCAGGTGGACACAAGATGGTCATGTGGACAAAACGAAGGCTGCTGGGAAGAGGACAGTGGAGATAGAGAGCTGTGGATCGATTGGGTTGCATGTAACCAGCAGAAGTCTCATGACTTGGTGACACTTTGGAGGGTGGTATTGTCCCCAGAATTTCTGCTTGGTTATCTGGGTGAGTGGTGGGACCACGAACAGAGATGTGGAAACAGGAGGAGGAGCAGGCCTGGGTATGGAAAGCAAAGGGTTGAGATCTGGACATGTTGAGTTTGACAATGCAACTCTCCACGCGGCGGTCACTTGGATGGCAGCTGAAACTTGTGCCCAGGCAGACTCTGGAATCACTGCTGTCCACCCCACCACGAACCTGCTCCAGCCCCTTTGGTCACTAGCTCAGTAAATGGCCACACAATTCTACCTGGATGCTCAAGTCAAAATGCAAAGTGTCATCCTAACAGCTATTTCTTGCCTTCACACATGACCCCTGCTCCATCAGCAAATTATTTCAGCTCCTCCTTCACAATGCATGCAGGATCCAGCCACCTCCCATCTCCTCTACTGCTCCCTCCTGCTCCAAGCCATGGCTGTGGAGCACCTGGTTCCTGCAACAGCCTCCAAGTGGGCTGCTGGTCCCATCTCAGCCTTCTAGAGTCTATTCTGCATGCAGCAGGTGAAATGATATTTTTACAACATAAATCAGATTATGTCATGACACTGTTCACAACCCTTCCCTGGTTTCTCATATCACCCAGTTTTGTGGGTTTAAATTGTGGTCCCCCAAAAGCTATGCTGAAGTCCTAACCCCCAATACCACAGAATATAATGTAGGGTCATTGTAAATGTAATTAGTTAAGATGAGGTCATACTGGAGTAGGGTGGACGCTTAATCCCATGATGAGTGTCTTAGAAGACTCGGACACACAGAGAGAACACCATGTGATGACAGAGGCAGAAATTGGAGTGAGGCAGCTGCAAGCCTGGGATTCACAGTCACCACCAGGAAGAGGCAAGGAAGAAGTTTACCTAGTGCTCCACAGGGAGCATGACCTAGTGACACCTTGACACAGGACTTCCAGTCTCCAGAAGTGGGAGAGAACAAATTTCTATTGTTTTAAACCATCAGTTTGTGACGCTTGCTACAGAAACCCTAGGACATTAATATGCCTAGAATAAAATCCAAAGTCCCCTGGCTCCTAAGACTTCTTGTGAAATGGCCTCTGCCCACCCATCTGCCAGGAGCTCCTCCCGCCACTGCCTCCCTCCCTCTTTCCAGCTGTACAGCTCCTAGACAGAGCCTGATCCTGCCTGGGGCTTCTGTGCTCCTGCATGGGATGGTTGCCTCCACCTCTCTTCAGGGCCCATACTCCCTTACCTCCTCCAAGTCTCTGATCTAATGGCAGCCCCAGCCAGAGGCCTCTAGCAGCCGCCATGTCTAAAGCTGCCTAGGACAGCTGCCAGTTCTACCAGCCTTTTGATGAACTTTTCTCTTTCTCATAGCAATGATTATTTTCATAGTCATTATCATTACCTGAAATTATAGTTT
Source organism: Homo sapiens (assembly GCF_000001405.40). Lineage (NCBI taxonomy): Eukaryota > Metazoa > Chordata > Mammalia > Primates > Hominidae > Homo > Homo sapiens. The sequence continues at coordinate 50,954,146 of NC_000016.10, forward strand.
TAAAGTCTTAATAGAAATGTATCACCCCCATTAGAATGTAAGCTCTTGAAGAGCGTGGTTTTTGCCTGCCAGGACCTGGCATACAGGGGTGGCTATCCACCAGATAGTGTGGACTGTGCGTGTTGTCTCATTTAATCTTCACAACATCTCTGTGATGAAAGCAATTAAAACTATCAGTTACAGTGGTTTTATTCCATGTCAGGTGGTGTTCTAAGTGTGTTCATTTAATCCTCACAGCAACCCTATTAATGTCCTCATTTTATAGATGAGAAAGCTGGAGCACAGAGAACTTGAGAAACTCACCCAAGATCACACAGCTACTAGTACGTGGTCAAGTCAGAGTTTGCGTGGAGCCAGCTAGGATACAACATGCCCTTCACTTCGACCTGATCCCGACTCTGGGAACATCAGGAACTCGGCTCATGATGTCACAGCAGCACTAAGCTACTAAGACTACCACGTCTCAACCCCCAAAACAAAATAAACAAAACAAAACGAAAAAGCACCCACAGCATTTTCTCTTCCTCTTTTTATTTCCATCTGCATTTGTCCTGCTGGAGATCTCCCTAGAAAGAGTCTCACAAAGGACTGGAATTTTCTAAAGGAATTCTGACAGCAGAGGTGGGCACTGGGGAATGGAGTCCAATAGCCTCAGCCCCGGGTATGGCTTTATGGCCACACGGTGACAGAATTGTCCTGACCTGTTCTCTTCCATCCTCTATCACTATTTCCTTCCCCTGCCTTTTATCCACATCTCCACTCACATCCTGGGCTGATGGGACTGGAGCTTGCCTCAGCTGAGACCTGTCTGCTACCAGTAGGAAAGCAGAGACCAAGGGACCACGCATCTTATAGCTAATGTGTATGTGTAATGTAGTTGAGTATTGTTATGTATCTTATTCCTGCTGAAGAACTGTTATGAAAAGGATAATTATCATACAATGAAACAAAGCTACCTGGTAGCTCAATTTGGCCCTTTAATACAGTTGCTTTGTTTTGCACAGCCTTCCTGTGTCTTCCCAGATTGTAAACACCCTGAAAGCAGAGGAGGGGGCTTTCATTTCTACATGATCCACCAAACTCCATGTTAAGAGCAAATGCATTTCCCCTCCAATGTGGTAACCTGGAAACCGGCTCATTGCTTACAGCTTGAAAATCAGCTCCTCTGGAAAAGCCCTACTCACTTGTCTCAAAGACCTTTGGGTGTCTTTGAAGCCCACTCTCTCACCCCATCCACTGCTCCCTCCAAACCTTCCCACTCCGTGTGCTGACCTGACCTCTCCTCATCAACATGGGTGTTTCTGCAAGATGATACTGCCCATTGCTCACTGCTTGGTGACAAAATATTGTTTTACAGTGATAAGCATCTCGTAAGACAATATTTGGAAAGTTATTATCTCAATGTCTCTGGTTGAGGACATGGAATGATATCACCCAAAACCAGATCTGCTCTGTTTGCAGCCAGCAACTGGGGCAGCTGGGGACAAGATATATGAGGTATCAGGGGGCTTGATCTTCCAGTGATTCACTATGGATTGGTGCCCACATGCCTGATAAGGTCTTTTCAGAACCTAAAGGGGAAACTGTGACACTTTGCAGGGATCCAGGGAGGAGAGAATTTGAGTGGCGAAGCTTGGGTAATACGATCCCCAGTGACAAATAAATTTCTTCAGAAAGCTGTTAATGTTTATATGGCCTGCTGTTGGGCTGGAGAAGATATATATATATATTTTCTTTTTTTTTTTTTTCAGATGGAGTCTCACTCTGTCGCCTAGGCTGGAGTGCAGTGGCGCGATCTCGGCTCACTGCAAGCTCCACCTCCCGGGTTCACACCATTCTCCTGCCTCAGCCTCCAGAGTAGCTGGGACTACAGGTGCTGGCCACCACACCCGGCTAATTTTTTGTATTTTTAGTAGAGATGGGGTTTCACCATGTTAGCCAGGATGGTCTTGATCTCCTGACCTTGTGATCCTCGGCCTCCCAAAGTGCTGGGATTACAGGCGTGAGCCACCGTGCCCGGCAGAGAAGATATTTCTTTTAGTGACCAGCGCCATGTTTCTGTTGTCCACATTCAACAAGTTCTTTGGACTCAAACTCCAGGGAAGGTTCAGAGACCTTGGGGGTCTGAGATCTTTTCTTGTCACTTCACCTCCAAGCAAGAGCGAGGTCCCATCATTCGTCACCTGCCTCAGGGTAGCCACTGACAGCTGGCCTTGTCTAAGTCACACATCTTGCAGACTCTAGCACAGGGTTCCTCAAACCTAGCACTACTGACATCTGGGATGGATAGTTCTTTATTGCTTGGGTGGGGAGGGAGCGGCTGTCCGATGCATTGCAGGACATTTAAGCAGCATCCCTGGCCTCTACTCACTAGATGCCAGTAGAGACTTCCTCTAGTTGTGACAACCAAAACATGTTTCCAGATATTTCCAAATATCCCTTGGGGAAGGGTGGGGTGGGCAACATTAACCCCAGTTGAGAACCACTGCTGTAGAGTGACAAAGCATCCTGACTCTCACCATCCCATCTGAACAGTGCAAACATTCTGGCAGAGTGTTTAAATAAGAATCATTTTCCTTTTTTAAACAGCATGTTCTGACGTTCAGAGAGATTGGGTGAGCATCACTAGGTCAAATAGCAGTTGAGTAGAGGAGCTGAGTGCAGAAGCCCAGCCACAGGCTAATTTTGGTATGACTCTAACCCCTCTTTCAGTAATGGGCCTCTGCTGGAGTTTGAGTGTTTGAGGTCCCACTGAAACTCATGTTGAAATCTGTCATTGTGATGGTACTGGGAGGTGGAAGCTGTAAGAAGTTTATCTCCATGCTCATGAATGGACTAATATTGCTATTGTGGGAGTGGGTTTGCCTGTCTCCTCCTCCATTTTGTCCTTGTGCCTTCGGCCACAGGATGATGCAGCGAGAAGGTTCTCACCAGATGCGGGAACCTTGATCTTAGACTTTCCAGCCTCTGGAGCTATGAGGAAATACATTTCTGTTCTTTATGAGTTACCAAGTCTGTGTATTTTCATTACAGCAGCACTGAAAGGACCAGGACAGCCTCCCTCACTGTCTTGCCAATGCATCTTCAGCTTACCTGCGCTCATGCCCTATCTTCTCACAGATCCTGAAAATTCCACCTGAAAAGCCTCGTTCACTCTTCTGATGCAAGAGCCATCATGAAGCCATAAGTAGGAAGTGAGGGGAAAATCTAACCCAGGGCACTTTCTGGAGTCTTCCTGGCAGCCTTCAGTTAATGATTCCTAAGCTGATTCCTCCAGAGCCTAACCTTTACCCTCACCTTTTCTCTGAATGAGAGATCTAAATCCTAGAGGAGAGAAAAGACCACAAGCTGCCTGGAATACTAAGGGCACTGCCTGATCAATAAAGAAATGGAACAGAAAATAAAATAGGTATCTTCTACTCTTAGATATATTTGTTATAACCAGGAATGTTTCTGTAACTTGTATTGCCCAGGTCCTCCCAGCGGAGGTCACCTCCTCAGCCACTACCCACGTTCTGCTTCCTCCTGATGATGCAGGACCCAGCCCTCTGCAAAGCTCCACTCCCCCAGGTGTTTCTGGAAGGTTGGCAGGGGGTGTATCACTCATGCTCATGAATCAGTGAGCCCATGTGCCCACCTGACACCACTAACCTTTTGCTATGACCATTTTAGAGCCCTGGCTCATCCCAGGGATCATGGAGAAGAATATGTATTATCTTAGAAGAATATGTGAATTATAGATTAAACATCTATCTTACTTGGGATATTCATATGTGTTTCAAGGAGTGGTTTTCAAACTGGGTTCAGAGAAACCCTCAGAGTTCCCAGACATGCCTCAGTGGTTACCTATTGGGCCCCAAGTGTAGAGAAGATGGGGAATGGATAAGCTCCAAGTATCTGCTTCCCATGCACTCAGAGCTCTGCTTTTTATACACAGTACATCCCGGGGGGGTGCAGGTCACAGAGCATTTCACTTGAAGACAGGTTTCTGCTGTTTCTAGAAAGTGGGAAAGCCACTGTCCTAAATGATAATGTCTAACTAGTTAATCAAATAAGATTAATATTTAAATTAAAAGAAAAATGGTGAGATATAAGAAATTATAAAAATTATAAGAAAAAAACTTGGAGTCCATCAGAAGTAAGTTGAGTCTAGTGGATGAGAAGGGGACACATAGGCTCTTGGGATGCTATGATCTTTTATTTCTTGAGCTGAACAGTGGTCACACAGTTGCGCTCAATCTGTGATAATTCACTGGGTTATGCCAGGGATTAGTGTCCTCCTTGGTGTGGGCTGGTATAACAGCACACCATAGACTAGATGGCTTAAACAACAAACGTGTACTTCTCAGAGTCCTAGAGGCTGCAAGTTCAAGATCAACGTGCGGCACATTTGGTGTCTGGTGAGGGCCTCTTCCTGGCTTATAGGCAGTCACTGTTATGTCTGTAAACCCCCATAGCTCATATGTCGAAACCTCTGATGTATGTGTACCCCATAAATTTATATGTTGAAATCGAATCCCCAACATGATAATGTTAAGAGATGGGCCTTTTGGAGGGGATTAAGTCATGAGGGATCCACCATCACGGATGGGATCAGTGCCCTCATGAAAGAGGCCTGAGGGAGCTTATTTGCCCCTTTGGCCATATGAGGACACATAGAAGGCATCATCTATGAGGAACAAGCCCTCATCAGACACCTAATCTTTTCTTACCTTGATCTTGGACTTCCCAGTCTTCAGAACTTTGAGCAATAAATTTCTGTTGCTTATCAATTGCCCAGTCTAAGGTATATTGTTATAGCAGCCCTAATGGACTTAGACAGCCACCTTAGACAACCCTCATATGGCTGAGAGAGAGCTCCTGCGTCTTCCTCCTTTTATTTTTATTTACTTGTTTATTTTTATTTTTATTTGTTTTTATTTATTTTTTGGGACAGAGTCTCACTCTATCACCCAGGCTGGAGTGCAGTGGCATGATTACAGGCATGCACCACCATGCCCGGCTAATTTTTGTATTTTCAGTAAGGATGGGGTTTCACCATGTTGGTCAGGATGGCCTTGAACTCCTGACCTCATGATCCACCTGCCTTGGCCTCCCAAAGTGCTGAGATTACAGGCATGAGCCACCATGCCTGGCCTTTCTAGATCTTTTATAGGTTTTTTTTTTTTTTTAACCTGTAAAATGAGACTCCATTTCTATTTTTATTTGATGAAACATGTTTTGTCTATTTTATTTTATCTTTTGAAACAAAGTCTAGCTCTATCACCCAGCTAGAGAGCAGTGTCATGATTGTGGCTCACTGCAGCCTTGACCTCCCCAGCTCAAACAATTCTCCCATCTCAGTCTCCTGAGTAGCTGGGATCATAGGGGCACACCACCATGCCCAGTTAATTTTTTTTTTTTATGTTTTATAGAAACAGGGTCTCACTTTGTTGCTCAGGCTTGTCTCAAACTCCTGGGCTCAAGCAATCCTCCTGCCTTGTCCTCCCAAAATGTTGGGATTACAAGTGTGAGCCACCACACTGGCCTTAATTTTATTTTTAAATCAAAGTATAATATACATACGGAAATGGGCAGGTATCATACACATATAACCCAAGGGTTGGCTTTCTTTCTGGAAAGAGCCAGGTAGAAAATATTTTCTACATTGCAGGCTATACAATCTCTGTTGCAACTCTTCAACTCTCCCTTTGTAGCATGAAAACAGTGATATGCCATATGTAATTAATAAACATGGCTGTGTTTCAATAAAACTTTATTTGCAAGAACAGGCAGCTGGTCACAGTTGATCTCCTAGCCATAGTTTTCCAACCTTATTTATCTCCCAAAGGAGATTTCCTTTGGGAGATAAATAAGGTTAGATTTGATCTTGAGGGTGAGAAACTTATGATAGGATTAATATCCTCATAAAAGAAGAAAGAGGCCAGGTGAGGTGGCTCATACCTGTAATCCCAGCACTTTGGGAGGCGGAGGTGGGCAGATCACCTGAGGTCATGAGTTCGAGACCAGCCTGACCAACATGGTGAAACCCCCATCTCTACTAAAAACACAAAAATTAGCCGGGTGTGGTGGCACACACCTGTAATCCCAGTTACTCGGGAGGCTGAGGCAGGAGAATCGCTTGAACCCGGGAGGCAGAGGTTGCAGTGAGCTGAGATCTTGCCACTGCACTCCAGCCTGGGCAACAGAGTGAGACTCTGTCTCAAAAAAAAAAAAAAAAAAAAAAAAGAAAGAAAAGAAAAGAAAAAAAAAATCTAGAAAGGAAGCAAACTCATTTGCCTAAGACCATGGCAAAATCACTAAAACCATCTAGTACTTTCTCCAAAGCTGCATACCAGCAACATCTCACAACTATTGAGCATGTAGATCTGGGAGACCCTAGGGATGTCAGCAGGCTCCCATGGGCTGATGGAGACCTAAGTCTGGCTCCTCCTCCTCTGCTGTAAGAGTTGTAATGGGAAACCTCTGCCGGGAAGGGCTGGAAGTGGGGGGTGAGGGCTGCATAAGGACACTCCTCACTATGGACAAGGGAAATAGCCTGTGACAATTCAACCCCAGAAGTTAGGACCTCTGGGAAGCTGCCAAGGTGAGGTTGACCTGGGTCAGCCCTTGGGAATGGACAACATTCTGCTCACAAATACAGGGCCACTGGGAAAGGGTCATGCTAGGTGCATGCTTGAACTTTGTTAAGGAAAGTTGGAGACTGACAGGTTTTTCCAGTGGCTGGTCCAAGCTAGCCTAGTGGGGAGTGGAGGTCTGTGGCATGTGGCTTGCTGTTTGGGAGAGGAAACCCACACTGTGTGCCAGGACTAGGCTGGGAGCTTCAGGTACCCTTCCTCCCTCAGTCCCTTGCCTGGGGTATGGGAGCACAGCCATCCTCATCTTGTCCATTTTACAGTGAGGAAATTGAGATTCAGGGAGGACAAATATTTCCCCTATCAGTGCAGCTGGAATTGGAATCCTGCCATTAAGCTGGGAGAACAAAGTGTGCGGAGATCCTGAATTCCTATGAAGAAAATAAGAAATTGTGTATTAACTGTTCTCTAAGTATTTGGACCCTGCATGGTGCAGTTTTGTTGCAAAGGCTGGAAGAAGATGGCAGCTCCTTCTGTCCTAGTTCCTAAGCCTCTGTCAATTGTGCTTCCAATTTCTCACCCAAAAGAAACCAAAGTATTTCTTCTTGGGGTTCTTTCAACAAGCTCAAAGTCTTCCAAAGAGCAGTGAGAAGACTCAATTTGGATGTGGATTCCTCCCTGGAGTGTTCTAGACCAAGAAAGAGGAAATAACAAAATACTGAAATAGTGAATTGGGCAGATGGACGCTCCGCATCCACTGTACCAGAGGCAGGTGATGGAAGACAGAACGAGCTAAATTTGCTGTCTGTAAAATATTAGGAAAGAGGAACTCAAGAGAAAGCTGGGTCATTTTCAGAAGATACAGACCTCCTTGGGCTTAATGAAGAAAAATATTAACAGAAATCTAAGGCACACACACATACTCCCATCTGGCAATAATCAAATGCCTAAAATAGGCTTATATTGCTGCCATCTGGCCATGGAAGGTGGTGATTCTCACTGCCCAATGCAGAGCCGCCCCTCCATCACACCTTGAAATCCTGGGGCAGGCTGGAGAGCCTGAGAATTCCCCAGCCACAGAAACAGGGGCAGAGGTCTCATCTGCGGAGATGGGAGGAGGCTGGGACAGAGGCAACCTGTGCTTTCAAGTAGTGAGAAAAGAGACTAATTTCCCATTTATAGCAATGTTATAGAGTTGCTGACCCCAATAAATGAATTTAAGTTTTATTTATTCAGAACAAGCCTCTTCAAAAAAATTCAATATTATAGTACAGGAGGCACGTGGATATGAAGAAAATTGTGAAGATAGTACACAAAGAAAAATGGCGGAAGTTTGGGATTCACATTTATACATAAGAGTGTACAGAACAGGCCAGGAAGATGAAAGGATCCAGGAGTTTGCAAAACGATGTGTGATGCAACAGAATTTCTGACTCCTTCAAGTGGTTTCCTGGGCAATGAAGTTCAACCGGTGCCCGGCAAATTGCCTTTTTGCATAAAAGACCCCAGAGAACGAGTTAGAACTCGGAAGCTTTGCAATGAGTTAGGAACTATAAACTTGATAGGTCTGTGGTTTCCCACCCCCCAGCCCCCACACCCTTTTCCTTTTCTGTGTGGCTTCTCCCTGGCCAAAAAAAAAAAAAAAAAAAAAAAAAAGGAAAAGAAAAGAAAAGAATATTTGTGTGTAGTTGCATATTTTTCTGGAAACCTGTTTCTGAACTGTATCATAACTTCCAGTAATAACCCGTTCCTGTGGTTCAGATATCTTTTATTAGCCTATTTTAGGCATTTGATTATTGCCTGACTAATAATAATAGGGACTCGTTTTGTCAAAGAGCAGGCTGGAAGATCTAGTGTAAATCGTAGTGTATAATTGCTCAGTGACTGCCATTGAAAATTCCTAGTTACTGGAGTAAAGGAGCATCTCTCTTAGGTGCAAGAAGCTAGTTTTTCTTGTAATAATAATTAGGCTGTGAGACACCCAGAGAGCAAACTTAATTGTAAAGAAAAGGGAAAAGAAAGAAAAAGAGAGGGGAAAATCATGAAAACACCTGTTGGGCTCCTTCACATTGCCTGGGAGAGAAGTTCAGCCAGAATCTAGGAGGAGCCTTGGACTAGCTGCATGTCCAGTCCGCAGCCAGTGGCCCTGGTGGCAGGTGGCAGGTAACTTCGGGGTGAGCACGCAATCCCTTTGAGACAGGCAGTGAGCAGTGGGCCTGGGGTCCACTCTGATGAAAGTTTACAGAATTTCAGTATTCCTCCAGCCTACTCACAGTGCATGCACACACACACACACACAGACCTAGAAGGTTTTGGAATGGTCGGTCCTGTGGGGCTGAAAGTCACTGGACATCTGGGGGAGCTTTCTACCTTTTGGTGACCAAGGAGCTATAACATGTAGGAAAACTTCCTAACTAGAAACACCCTTTCCAGCCCAGTCACTATGCTGGATCCCTTCTGAAGGACTCACCATTTCCGAATATCTGAGTGATGAGGGGGCGTGGGGCAACAGTGTCAAGGCCTACATGGTGTGACTTTGGGATTGCCTGGATTCTACCTAGGGGCAAAATTCTCTCTCCCCTGCCTTGTCCTGGAGCCTGAAATTCTGAACATTTTGGGTTAGGTGTGGATATTTCTGTGACTGGAGACTGATGTTTTCGGATGTTTCATTCTGATAGATGAGAAAGCTCCTATTTCATGTTTGTTCCTGTGTCTAGTAAAATAAATCAAGAACTCAAGACATAGATGCTAGCACTTAAATTGTGCCAAAAATGTGCCCACAGTGTTGTAAGTTCTTAACATGTATTAATTCATTTAACTCCACATCCATGAGCTAAGAACTATCATTATGCCGACCTTACAGACTGGAAAGCAGAGGTCAGGAGAGATGAGGCAAAGTGCCTTTGCCTGATAGGTGGCTGAGAAGGATCCAAGGTTGGTGGCTGGGCCTCAGCATCTATAGGCTTGCCCTGGCACAGTGCTGCCTGGCTCATCCTTGGTTTTAGAAGTAAATACCACATCTCCTCTTTTTCTCTTCCTGGACAAAATATTCTGGGACCAGAGCTAGGGGTGGGAGGGGTAGATGTGGAAGCATTGTTCTGTCATGTTGACCCTGTAGGTAGAAGGCTGCTATGCATAGTCCTCTTTTGGGCTGGCACAGCACTTTACAGTGTACGTTGTCCATCCTTTCACGTCCATGACTTTATTTTATCCTGGCTCAACTATACCCAGCCAGGATTCCCAAGAAATATATTACCTGTCTCCCTCAGTTTCTCTTTATTATCAAACTGTGTATGTCAGGAAACTTCTGCAGGCCTTTTTTTTTTTTTGACAGAGTTTCTTGTCACCCAGGCTGAAGTACAATGGTGTGATCTCAGCTCACTGCAACATTTGCCTCCCTGGTTCAAGAGATTCTCCTGTCTCAGCCTCCCGAGTAGCTGGGATTACAGGCACAAGCCACCAGGCCCGGCTAATTTTCATATTTTTGATAGACATGGGGTTTCACCATGTTGGTGAGGCTGGTCTTGAACTCCTGACCTCAGGCGATCTGCCTGCCTCAGCCTCCTAAAGTGCTGGGATTACAGGCGTGAGCCACTGCACCCAGCTGGCCATAAACTTTTTAAAGAGGAACCAGGCTTTATGTTTCAAAACCAGGACAACCAATAGGCACTTCCAGTCCACTTATTAAGGGTGAGACCTTGGGCTGATCCCGTAATTTGTCTGGGCCTCAGTTTGTTCTGTGACATGGGAATGAGAAGTCTCCTTTGCTGACTGGAAGAACTCACACGCCCAACTCATCTCCTCCTCATCCTACAGGAGTCAGTCTGAAGGTGCCCCAGGCTGATTTGGGATCCCCATGGGCTCCCATAGCCCCCTTTGTTTCCCCCAGAGAACCTAGATGACTCTCATGTTATCTGCACTGTCATTGTTGGATGCCTTCCCCACTGGACTGCCTGTTCCTGGAAGCTGTGGCTCACTTTTGAACTTGGACAAAGTTTAATTCATCTTTGGAGAAACAGCTATGAGCTGATGGTCATTTTTCCTTTGAGATTTAACTACAATTGGTTGAATTCTTCATTCCCTCATTGATGAGAAAGCTAGCATAACCCTCAATATCTTGAAGGATTCTTATGTCTTATCTACTCTTCTCTTAAATCCAAATTCTTGCTTCTGAATTCCTGCTTTCTTCTCTCTGTTTTGCACCTGTCTCACTAGCTGAAGGTTAGCCAAGATTTAGCAAAAATAAATACAGGAAAAACAGTTAAATTTGAATTTCAGATAAACAATGAATTTTTTTTAGTATAAGTATGTCCCGTGAAATACTGGGGACATTCTTATGTTAAACAATTATTGACTGTTTATCTGAGATTTATATTTACCTGAAAACCCTATATGTTACCTTGCATCTCTCTGCCGGCCCATCTCCACATGACATCACCTCTCTAGGAATTGTTGATATTATCATTCCTCAAAGGACCATCAGCTGAAGACTGCCCATCTAACATGTGGTTCTGAGTTTGGGAGAAGTGGAGGGTGGGCGAGATGGCAAGGAGCAGAGCAAGCAACCTCTTGTTGGAAGCTCTGCATCCCTGTTCTTAACTGTTCTTGGTTATTCCCAAGACTAGTAAGCCTTTCCCTGGTGATGTTTTCTGAAGGGCTCCAGCCTCCAGCCATGCTGCTGGGACCCCATCTCTGTGCTTTGCATTTTGTGTTCAATGTCTGAAAACCAAAATGTCTGTTGTCCTATGATGTGGTGACTCTGCAGCCCATGCCCCAGGTAAACTCCAGGTCCAGCTTGGCACCAAGGAAACCTCACCAACCAAAGTGCTTTGTGGGACAAAGGGCTTTAATGCTGAGACTTCAGTCCATACAGTAGCCATGGAAAAAGATATTTTAATGTGAGGAGTCTGGGGTCCTGCTCTACCTCACAGAGGGATGGCTTCTTTCAAGAAAAATGATGCAAAGGAAAGCAAGTGACATGTAAATGTTTCTCTTCTTTAGGAAAAAGAAGTAATGCTTATCAAGCATCTTCTATATACCAAGCATGATATTGCAAAGAGACAACCAATAGGCTGTATCCAGGTAGCAGATGCATTCTTCTTAGACCTGTTCAGTACTTAAGAGTATTTGAGCTGATATTTAAATTTTATGAATTTCATGTAAAAGTCTGAATTTCCAGCCTCCTTGAAAAAAATCAAAGCTGTGGCCACATTGGGAGCACCATTGGTTGGGTCTGAGTAGAGCTGGTCTTTAGGCTTTATGCTGTGTAGGCCACGTGCTCTCCACTCTACCCCCACTCCCCACCAGTCCCTATTATCCTGATGCTTCTGCCCTAAACATGTTCTGGGTGCTTTACATATTGATCTAGTTTAATCCTCATCGTCAATTATTAGACAGTGCCATGAACTGAATTGCAGCTCTCCAAAATTCATATGTGACCGTATTTGGAGATAAAGCTCCCAAGGAAGTAATTACAGTTAAATGAGTTTATTAGTTTGGGACCCTGCTCTGATAGGTAGTAGCCTCCTTTATTAAAAAGAGCGAGATAGTGCACACAAAGAGATCATGTGAGCACCCAATGAGATAGCAGCTCTACCTAAGAGAAGAGGCCTCAGAATGAAACTTACCTGCTGGCACCTTGAACTTGGAGCCTTCAGAACTATTATGAGAAAACACATTTCTGTTTGAGCCACTCAGTTTACAGTATTTTGTTATGGCAGCCTGAGCCAACTAATACAGATGGGTATATTATAGTTATCTTACAGATGTGAAATTAGAAGTCAAGAAGTTGAATAAGTTGCATGTGTAAAAAGTAGCAGAGATGGGTTAAAATCCAGGTTTTTCTGATCAAAGCAAGGTATTCTCTGAAGGTTAGGGCTTATGTGCCGCAGGACCTCTCCCCCAGTGGATCACTGGTCTGTCCCCTGCCCCTTTACATTCCCCGTCTGGCCTCATAGGCTTATTATCCTAAAAGGTCCTGCCAACTCCAGCATCCATTGGCTTCTGGGAAACTGCTCCCCTTGTGCAGCCATTGACCTTGTAACTGTCACCGAATGCCTGGCTTAGCACCCCTGCTCCGTGAGATCTGCCTTGACCCCTTTGTATGAATGCTCATTCCACAGCCTGCTCAGCACTTTGCAGCACTTTGTCTATGCTCCTGCCCTGATGGCACTTCCCATGGGTTGCCTGATAGTAGAGATGAGTGTCAAGCATCTGTCCCCTTGAAGGCAGGGCCAGCTCTCAGCCACCCTAGTATATAGCTTAGGTCAGATGATGAAATGCCTCCCAATGCTGGGCAGGGCCCCTCAGTGGGAGAAACTGGTCGAGTTCAGAGATGAGAGTGTCGAGGGGACTGTGGTTGGTGGGAGAGTTCAAGCCCTGTCTATAGGGAGCTTCTGCTACTTGGTTCCCAGTGTTTGTTGCCATGAGGGTGTGTGCCCAGGGTGGCCAAGTCTGGCTTTTTTCAACAGCAGTCAGAAATCCAGATTAACCTGTTTCTAACACTTAAAGGTTGGCCATGATTTCTTATTTTTCTGAACTCTGCACAGATCAAACACAGTACATCGAGGCTCACGTTACAGTTGGTCATGGATTTGGACCCAGTCTGTGGATCCTGCAGTGATGGCTGGGCTGGTTCTCAGCACCCAGTAGGTCTGTGGATGGGAGAAGGTGACAGAAAGTTGCACCAGGCAGTCACCGTCCAGGACCCGGCTGCTCTGGGAAAGCCCGCCTGGCCTTTCCCTACCTCCCCGGCCAAGCCCAACAAAAGAACAGAGCTGTGGACTGGGCTTCCTACCCCAGCCCGATTTTTGACCCAGTAATTGACTTTTTCTCTGGATCCTCCAGTGCAGCTCCTGCTGCTTCTCCTCTGAGCCAGTGAGGCAGGAAGCCAAGGCCTCTCTGGAAGGCCCTGAGATCCTGGTGGAGGTTGCCTGGGCGAAGCTTCCATGGGGAGCACTTCCAGCCTGAAAAGCTAGTGGTCTTTCTCCCTTGAGTCACCACTCTGAGCCTCCCATGGCCTCCCCACTCAGAGCTGCAGGCACTGGACATGGTAGATTTAGGCTCCTGTGGACAATTTGGGTTTGCAAGTATTTAGTGGCCAGATCTTCATAGTGCTTTCTACAGAACATTGCAAATCTGATGTGGTAGAGAAAGTCATATAGTATATATAGTATATAATATAGTTATAAAGGGCAACCAGAACAGGGAGTCCTCAGGCCACAGGGCTTTGTTGGCCCTGGCCTATCCAACTTCAGAAGGGGTGGACCTTAGCTTGGAAAGCCACCAGGGAATGCCAGGAGGTTCCCCATGCATGAAAATATTTTCCTCAGTGCACTGCAATGGTCCTCCTGGTTCTAACTCTCTAAGAGGCTGTTTCCCTGATGTCCCTTGAGCTATAAGATGCTGAAGTACCCTGGCATGGAGAAGGATAGAGAGAGTTCCTGCTTCCCCACTCCAGCTGTGTCTGAGCCAGCATGGCCTCTGCCTACAACTCAATGGAGCACATGAAGAGCACTGTGCCCAGGTGTGGGTGCAGAGGGCAGGTGCCAGGGAGAGCAGGCTGGACCAGTTCACTACAGCAAAGCCACAGGGCAGCAAACAGTTGAAAGGAGAGGGCTTGGAGTCAGGCAGATCTGAACTTCAACCTCCAGTGGTTCCATTATGAGACTTCGAGACCTAGGGTAAGTCATCAAACTCCTCTCACTTCAGTTTTCAGTTCTGTAAATCAGAGATATTGAACTACCTACCTCATAGGGGAGGTTCAGTCCACAAACAGTGCTTAGCAGAGTGCCAGGCACACGATAAGCACTTAATACATGGTGGCTGCTACAATTAAAACCCATTCAGGCCAGGCACGGTGGCTCAGGCCTGTTATCTTAGCACTTTAGGAGGCCGAGGCGGGCTGATCCCTTGAGGCCAGGAGTTCGAGACCAGCCTGGCCAACATGATGAAATCCCATCTGTACTAGAATACTAAAAGTACAAAAATTATTTGGGCATGGTGGCGCACACCTGTGATCCCAGCTACTCAGGAGCCTGAGGCAGGAGAGTCCCTTGAACCCGGGAGGTGGAGGTTGAAGTGAGCTGAGATTGCACCACTGAGCGAGGCTCGGTCAACAAATAAACAAACCCATTCAGTGAGGCAGTTTTGGAAGACTGATTTGGTTGTATTTGCAAAATTACCAAAGTCATACCTTTCGACTCAGCTGATAACTTTAACTGGAGCCAAGAATCAGTCCTAAGGAAAAAACACTGGTTGAGTATCCCTTACCTGAAATGCTTGGGACCAGAAATGATTTGGATTTCAGGTTTTTTTGTTTGCTTGTTTGTTTTTTTGATTTTCAAATACTGGCATTATACTTACCAGTTGAGCATCCGAAATTTGTAACCTGAAGTGTTCCACTGAGCATGTCTTTTGAGCATCATGTTGGCACTCTAAATATTTCAAAGTTTGGAGCATTTTTGATTTTGAATTTTCATATTAGAGGTACTCAACCTGGGCGGGGCACAGTGGCTCACACCTGTAATCCCAGCACTTTGGGAGGCCAAAGTGGGCATATCACCTGAGGTCAGGAGTTCAAGGCCAGTCTGGCCAACATGGCGAAACTTTGTCTCTACTAAAAATACAAAAATTAGCCAGTAGTGGTGGTGGGCACCTGTAATCCCAGCTACTCAGGACGCTGAGGCAGGAGAACTGCTTGAACCCAGGAGGCAGAGGTTGCACTAAGCTGAGATCACGCCACTGCAGTCTAGCTCGGGCGACAGAGCAAGACTCCGTCAAAGAAAAAAAAAAGGTACTCAATCTGTACTAAACATGAAAAGATGTTTTATCTACAAAGATGTTCATCGGAGCATTCTTTGTGGTAGTGAAAAGGTGAAATGACTGAAATGTCCAACACTAAGGGGATGGTTATCACAAAAGTGATAATACATCTCCCATTTATTGAGTGCCTTCCATGCAACAGACATTAAACTTACATTGTTTCACTTACTCCTCATGACAGTGATGCTTTCCCCATCTAAGAGATGAGGAAACGGGACAGAAGAGGATGTCCCCAGCTGGAAGTCACAGGCTGAGATTTATCATGACCCAATCACAACACATAGATGAGTGGCTGCTGGTGGTTGTTGAGGGTGGAGGAAGCTGAGAAACAGAAGCGCATTCTCCCCAAGATGTGCCTTTCAAGGGTCGTTAAGACTAAGATGGAAAGAAGTGGGTGGGATGTGATCAACATCTCTGTTGTCAGAGCTAAGTCTTGGGAGGAGGAAGCCAAATGTTGGCATCTGTTTCCAGGGCTTGCCTGTCCACCAACCAATGGTGCAAATGAACTGATTTCAACCAAGAGACTGGCAGAGGTGTCTGCAGGGTGAAAGGAGTCAGCAAGGGATGAGCTGGGCTGCTCCCCATACCCAGAGCTTTGCCCTGTTGTCACCCTAGGGCTGAAGGGGAGAAGAGAAAGTAGTGCTTGCCAGTAAAAACTAGAAGTGGAGGAAGGGCCACCTGGTGGGAGGTGTCATCATGCAAGGATTCAGTTCCTAGTAGAGACACAACAATAAAGCAAGGAGGGACCCAGGGAGAAATTATCCACCTTCTCTCTCTGCTCACCTGCTCATCTCCTGCTCTATCAGCCAAGCCTGACCAGAAGCCAGAGGGTAAGGAAGCTGGGATATGTGGTCCCCAACAATTAACCTCAAGGCTGAGAACAGAGCAGAGAATAAGTCCAGGAGGAGGGCTAACAGAATAACCAGTGTTGCATAACACCAGAGTGCCTTTCTGGGGAATACATGAGATAACTAGATAACTTTGAAAAGTTAAAAACCGCAAAGGTGAGGTATTTGTGTTGAGCTGGTAGGACACAATTATATCATCTTTTAGTTTTCATTACTCAGCTAACACCGAGACTGTGCTGACCTGAACCTACTCACCGGGGAGAGGTGCTTGACATGGTCCTTGCCATCAGATGTTTATAATCTAGTTGGGGAGACAGAGAGAAGAAAACAGATAAAATAAGGAAATTGCAATGCAAGTGATGAGATGAATACTAACATCAGAGTGTGCATGCCAGCATTGAGGACTGGGAAGGGGAAGGAGGGGCAGGCCAGTTGCCTGGTGGTAGGTTGCCAGGGGCAGGGTCCAGGAGAACTGGATTCTAGCCCTGTGGGCCTTCGGGCAAGTCACTCCTTCCCTCTGAACTGCAGTTTCCTCATCTATAACATGAAGAGAAGCCTTCCCACCTCATTGCTCTCCAGGATGAGGTGAAAATAAGTGATGAGGTGAGTGTCCCACCACTTTAGAAAGATAAAACTCAGCTTATGATGACCATGGAGGCCTAAGCTCCCTGTGACACCATTATCCTCATTCAGCTCCGAGACACTTTCTGGGCTTTCTGTAGAATTTGTTCTCTTATGAAGATGGAGGATGAGAGGGGATCATTACCCTTGGGTTAACTGGAAGACCTTGGCTTACTTTCCCTTATGGTCCCAGATGTGTGAGCCTGACAATGATTTCTCTTAATTTTTTATTTAAAAACTTGGGCTAGAGAATATGAGGGAGTGAATCACATGGCTTCAAATCTCTTCTAACTCTGAAACTCCAAGTTCCTCCACTTTGGGATCCCTGGCTTTCTAAAAACAACATGAAAAACAATCATCTGCCCTTCTATGCAACCAATAAAAACATTATCCATCCATCCATCCACTCACCCACCCATTTCTCATTCATTCATCTATTCATCTGCTCATTATCCATCCATCACCTACCCATCTATCATCCATCCATCCATCCACCTATCATCCACCCGTTCATCACCCATCTATCCATTACCTATCCATTTATACACGCATACATGTATCCATCATGTATACCTACACATGCCAAGTCCTGTGCCAGGCCCCATGGGTGAAACAAGAGCAAGAGTTCTGCCCTCAAAAAGCTTCTCATCTGGCAGAGGAGCTATGAAAAACTCAACAAGAGGCAAAATCCACTAGAAAGCAGGGTGAATATAACTGAGTAGTGAGTGACCCAGACAGGAAAAGTTCAGAAAAGAGTGAGACCACTGGAAGCTTCCAGAGAAGAAGTGGCCTTCCCAGACAACTGGTGTCTGGACACAGCCCTAAAGAAGAAGGGTTTCAACTTGATCCTGGGCTCCTGAGGCCAGGGACTTCTCATGCTCCATGGCGCCCCATCCTAGGCTGGGCCAGAGGACAGTGAGAAATCTTGTCTTCGAAGGGCATGTTCCTAAGCTGGACCCAGTTTCCTTTCCAGCAAGCAACTCTGATCAAATCTTTTCTTGGGCTGGACTTTTAGCCTCTATTCTGCTGACCAGCCCCAGCACTGCAAACATCTTTTAAACTCTCTTTGGAAACAAGGGGAGGCAGATGGGAGCTGGAAGTTGCAGGACAAGAATCCAGCCCACACTACTTTGACCTGGAGGTGCATTCATGGAGTAGCCCCACACACTGAAGGCTGACCCCCTTTCTGCCTGGCAAATGCACTTTTTGCTTTCCTGGCTTGGCCATAAATAACCCAGCCACCTCTAATTTGGCCTCCAATACCCTGACCAGCCGTGATTTATTCACAGACCAAAACAGGCATCTCTAATTTGCTAACCAATCGCTGCAATTCTGGCCTCTCCAACCAATAATTCTGCCATCTCTAATTTGCCAATAAATAATTCTGCAGCCTCAAATTTACTAACCAATAATGTGACCAATTTGCTGACCAATGGTTGTGTCAAGGCATAATGGTGCCCCTAGCAGATGGCAATTTGCTAAGCAATATTCGGACCTTTCCCCCTTTAGCAATAAAGAACCTTCGCAATCTTTGAATTCGGAATCCATTGCTTTGCTTGGAAGGATGCTCCAGGCTGCTGAGCTGCAGAAGGCTCCTCCCCAAAGCTTGTGCTTACCTCTACATCCTCTTTCTCCTTCTCTCTCTCTCTCTCTTTCCTTCTCTCTCTCTCTCTCTCCTTCTCTGTCTCTCTCTTCTCTCTTTCCTGCAATCACAGTTAGTGTCTTGGAATATGAGAGATGTCTTGGCATGTTCATTTTAAATATGGAGCTGTTGAGACCCAGAGAGAGATAGTGACTTGACCAAGATCACACAGCAAGGTCATAGTAGAGCTAGGATTGAAACACAGGTCTCTGGGCTGCCAATCAAATATCCCAACTACACTATCCAGAAGCAGACTTCCTTCCTCAGGGAATCTACACCAAGGAGCAGGTTGACTCTGGCTGGGCCAGGTGCCATCAGACTTTGGTTTGTCCTTGGCCAAGTTCCTCTAGTGCCAAGGGAGGGAGGAAGTTGACCCTGCTGACCTCACCACCTAGGGGGTCTGAGAGCTGGACAGGAAGGAGATTAGCTGTGCCACACAGAGGTCTTGGCCCGGTTTCAGTCCCAGGAAATGCTGGCTGTCAGCAGAAACCAAGAGCCAAATCCCACATCCCTTAAGGGAGTTGGCACCCACATTTCCCAGAATGAGTAAGAACAAGAGTTCAGGAAAGTAAAGCAGATATCCCTCCCCCAGCAGGTCCTGGGGATGAGGCACGATGGCCCCAAGAAAACACAGGAGATGCCTTAGCACAGAAAAACCTAACCATGTCTGGGGCCAAGGGGAGCCATTTAGAGGAACATCCACTTGGTCCCTTCCCCACTTCCCAGGTCAGAGGTGAGTCTAAGCTGGCCCTTCCCAAATATTGGTGCAGTTAAGAAGGACAACACCTAATTCGGCTGTTTCTGCCCTTTCATCTGAAAAGGTCTATGTGACTCATTTTTATGCTCATGGCTCTTTTCAGAAGTTAAAGCAAAGTAAAACCAACAACAGTGCTTTGAGAATTGGGGGGAGGATTCCTAGGGATGTCAGAACATGCCTGGACCCCCTCTGAGTGCCACTGAACCTGTCTAAGGGACTGCATTTTGAGAGCAGGGAGGTGGTGATGGGGGCAGGTGGGCCTGTGATCTATTTTGGGACACTGAGGGTTTTCCCCGTAAGGGACACATCCCCTGCAGTACTGATGCCCTCAGGAACAAGTCCTCTTCCAGTGCTGTGCCAAGTCTGGGCCGGCAAGGAGAATGGAACCAGGTGGAAGCAAGAGTGGAATAAATGGTGGCCGAGAGAGGAGAAAAGCAGTAGCTCAGTGTCAGCACAGAATCTCTTGGCTCTGAGGGGCTGTCTGGGGATTGCATTTTATTCTTTAGGTCTGGGAACCTGCTGCCCTCCATCTCCAAGTCCTGAGCAGGAGAAAATGGAGAAATTGGAGCAGCCAGGCTCTGGTTAGACTCTGGGGAGAGGTTCCTTGAGGGCAGATCAGCAGATTCTAGTATATTTTAGAAGGGATGACACAGTAAGTTATATTCATTGCATGTATCCGATTTCTGCCCTCCTAGGGTGGACATTAAACACTGAAGAGCTGATTTGGATTTTGTCCTGGTCTAGTGACAGATCTCAGCTCAGATGTCACCTCTTCTGGGCAGAGTGGATTGGGTGCCTACTCTATTTCTTCTGATTCTGGCATTTCTTAGCCTTCAAAGCGTCTGTTGGATCGTGAATCCTTTCCTCACTGCACTGTGAGCTCCTGGAGGCCAAGGCTGGGATCTGTAATCCATTCATTCCCTTGTCTGTTGTTGCATCTCTGAGACCCAGCATGTGCTGGTCCTGAGGTCAGAGCCAGCAAGCATTTGCTGAATCATTGGATAGTGAAGGTTCTTTGTCCAGCTTGGACTCTCAGATGTGTCTGTCGGAGGTTCTCTAAGCAAGTGAAGTTTCCCCGAAAGCAGAGCCTGAGACAAAGGCTTATGATCAAGAAGTTTATTAAGGAAGTGACACCAGGGAGCAAGAATGCAAGACAAGTAGCAAGAGACAGAGAAGGCAGGAAGACCCATGCAAAGCTGCTTTATGTTGTTGGTCACTAATATGGATGACTGAACTTGATCCCCTGGCGATCTGGCAAACCTTAGAGCATGCATATCAGAAGTGCTGCCCAGAGGATGGAAGGGGGAAGCAAGAATCCATTGATGTTCATGCTCTTTGGTCAAGGGCATGAATGTCCAGGTTGTGCATGCATGAGTGCTGCCTATCCCATGAGATGGTGTGAGAGAAACTTCAGCAGGAAGTGAGACCAATGGGGCATAGCGCCAAGTGAGGTGCTGCCAGATGGCACTTGTGCCAAGTGCTTGCAGCCTGCATACAACTGGGTGCTGCAGTAGTGTCTAGAGAGGGAGGTGAGGCTGAGGCGTCTTGAAGTGTCACACAAGCAGCATCTGATACATAGATCTTCCCCTCTTTAGCAAAGGAGTAGATAGGGGGCACTCCGAGAGCCAGAAAGGAAGGTGGGAGTGGCCCATCACCAGCTTCCCATGGGGTGCTGCTGCTGGGCACTCCACCATCTGCAAGTTGGTGTTGACTGCTGGCCCCATCTTATAGATATGAGGATCACATCCGGGGCCAGCACCCCTGCCAGGTGCTCCTCACCCTCACTTCTCAGGAACACATTCAGCCCCATGGAGACTCTCCCAGGCCCCTTCCCCACTTTGGCTCACCTGCGCCTATTATCGGCCACTGGGTCCCTAGCATTAGTTTCCTTTCCCTCTTAGAGAGAGAGGAAAAAAAAAAGCAACAGAGGTGTGGTCAGCTCAGCTAGGAAACCACTTTGAATCTTCACCCAGGCCTGAGCACTGATAAGAGTGTATGTAACATTGGGGTCACCTCCACAGAGCACCTCATAGACATAATTTAATTTTTTTAAATAGGGAAACAAGATTTCAAGGCTAAAATTGGGCTGGACAGCAGAGGAAGAGAGTGGCTGGGTGCCTTAAACTTGCAAAGGGAAGAGGTCTGGTTTACAGCCCTGCTGCTAAACGTATCTGTTCTCACTAAGTGATGCAGCACCTCGAGCACTGTGGTAATAGAGCCACAAAATGGCAGGAAAAGAGGCAGTAGACGCAAAAGGAGGAAAGGCTGTCATGCAAAGGGTGCGACTAGAAATAGGGGAACCACAGGGAGAGCAACTTGGGCAAGGACAGGGAAATTCAGAAACCAGCTCTAAGGAGACAAGCAGGGGCCATAGGGCAGGTGCCCATAGGGACCACATGGGCACCGCAGGGCAGGCTGGGCTTGGTGCACCAGGGACAGTAGACAGCAGTGGGGACTGTGGCCAACTGCAGAACGCAAGCCTCATCTGAAGGGGCAGATGCTGACCTACTCCAGTCAATTGCCGCCATGAGCAAATGTGGGTGATGCAGAATCTTCCCATTTCTAAAGAGAAGGTTTAAATCAGATTTTTAAGCAAAATCTCTTGCTTTAAAAACGTTATCCACAAATTTTCAGAAAATATTACGCAGGACAGACAAAACACCCACCAAGGGCCATATTCAGCTCTCAGGCAGCCAATTCTTAACCACTGTGGGAAAGAACACGTCCACAACAACCCCAATGTCTTCCCCACCCTTCACCCCTCTGACAAACCCAGTCGGCAAATAGGGCAACTCTGGGACTAGGGGACTGGGTGGTCAACCTTGCTAACAAACTGTGTAATTATTACTTGTGGGTTTGGGGTTTATCAGTTGTGTCTTCCCTGGACCCTCTCACCTTCGATAACTATAAACTCCACAGGACAGTTTTCTTCTCTTTTGTTTACTGATGGATCCCACACACCTAATAAAGTGCCCAACATGTAGTAGATGCTAGGTGCACAATAAGTGTCTGTTTCGTGAGTGAATGACAGAAAGAGCCAGATGAGCGTCATTTCATTTCTTTTTTTTTTTTCTTTTTTTTTGAGACGGAGTGTCGCTCTGTCACCAGGCTGGAGTGCGGTGGTGCAACCTCAGCTCACTGCAACCTCCGCCTCCTGGGTTCAAGTGATTCTCCTGCCTCGGCCTCCCAAGTAGCTGGGACTACAGGTGTGCACCACCACGCCCAGCTAATTTTTGTATTTTTGGTAGAGACGGGGTTTCACCATGTTGGCCAGGATGGTGTTGATCTCTTGACCTTGTGATCTGCCTGCCTCAGCCTCCCAAAGTGCTGGGATTACAGGCATGAGCCACTGCGCCTGGCCTGGTGAGCGTCTTTTCTAACAAGCCTGACAGGCAAGCTCTCCTTCCCCAGATAATCATACTCTCCCTGCGCAGGGAACTGTACAAACTCAAAATAAACGGACCACGAAAGTCCAGGCTTCCCTTTTTCCTCTTCAGCAGGGTGCTATGGCTGGTGGGAAGTGGGACCGGACCTCTTGAAGTCTCCAAACCATAGGCTGGGATTGCACACAGCATATCTGCCAGAGTCTAAGGAGGAGAGAGGCAGACAGAGGAGCGGAGGAGAGAAAAGAGAAAGAAAAATTGTCCCATGCCTGCAACGGTCAAAATGCGTTATTAGGGTGTCCAGGAAATTATAGCTTATGTCTATTAGTTCTTTCAGGGTTAATATTGATGCAGATATTATTTCTATCCACAGCCCCATTTATTTGAAATATTATGACTGGGAGTAGCTGCTGCCGTGAATCAAATCAATTGATGGAGTAGTTAGCTGTGCCACCAGGGCAGCCTGCCTGCCCCCTCCCCCCGCCGCGAGCATGAAATATTATGGAGATGGTTCCTTAAAGTGAGCACTTTATCATCATTTGTCTGCAGGCCCCCGCTAGGACGGCCTTGCCTGGCTTCCCGTTGGGCACTAGGAGTTGTCATAACTCAATCAGGCGGCTAATGCTGCTCCCAGCGCCTCCAGCCCACAGCCTCCAGCAGAGCAGCCCACTGACAGCCGGGGATCCCAGCCTGGGGTCTTGCTGCTGGCCACACGCAGGGCAGGGGTATTTTTGGAGGTGGAAATTGCAGTCCTGTTTCCTTGTGCCACTTATGGTTCTCCAAACCCAATCTGTCATTTCCCACCACTGCACTTTTCCTCATGCTATTTTCTTGGCCGGCCTGGAGCCCCCTCTCCCATGACTCTGTCTGTCAAGATTCTATACATTCCAAGACCTGGGTCCAGGGCTCACACCTGTAATGCCAGCGCTTTGGGAGACTGAGGCAGGCAGATCACTTGAGGCCAGGAGTTCGAGACCAGCCTGGCCAACATGGTGAAACGCCGTCTCTACTAAAAATACAAGAATTAGCCAGGCGTGGTGGTGCAGGCCTATAGTCCCAGCTACTCGAGAGGCTGAGGCACGAGAATTGCCTGAACCGCGAGGCAGAGGTTGCAGTGAGCTGAGATCGTGCCACACTGCACTCCAGCCTGGGTGGCAGAGCAAGACTCTGTCTCAAAAACTAAAAATAAGATGCTATACATTCTAAGAACAGGATTTGGGACATGGAACCCTGGCTAGGTGCAGGGAAAGGGGCCACATCTGATTCCCCATTCCCTGATACCTCCAGTGACAGCATCATTTAGCTGTCATCTAAAAATAATAACAGTAAAGATAATTTTATTAAGCTCTACTAGGGTTCAGATAATCTATGCAGTGCTTTGTGCTAGTGGTTGATAAACTTTTTTACAAAGGGTTGGATGGTAAATATTTTAGGCTTTGTGGGATGTAGTGTCTCTGTTGCAGCCACTCAATGTGTCCTTTTTAGAAGGCAGCCATCAGCGATGGAACAAATGGGCATGGCAGGATTCAGCCCTCGTTGGCTTGACCCTGGCTTGATGCTGTCAACTCTTCGAAGGTCTTTGTTCTAATGTCACTTTCTCAATGAGGTCTTCCCTAACTATTGAAAAGTGAACTAACCTCTGGGCATCCCTCAGCTCACAGTCTTGATTTATTTTCCTCCATACCTCTTATTGCATATTTTAAAATATGTTTTGGGCTGTGTGTGGTGGCTCACGTCTATAATCCTGGCACTTTAAGAGGCTCAGGTGGGTGGATGGCTTGAGTCCAGGCATTCGAGGACAGCCTGGGCAACATCGCGAGACCCAGTGGCTACATAAAAAAGTTTAGAAATTAGCCAAGCATGGTGGGCATTCCTGCAGCCTCAGTTACTTGGGAGGCTGAGGTGGGAGGATCGTTTGAACCCAAGGAGATGCAGTGAGCCTGATCACGCCACTGCACTCTGGTCTGGACAACAGAGCGAGATCCTGCCTCTAAACTAAATAAATAAATAAATAAGCAGATAAATTAAAATATGTCTTTGCTTTGTTGTGTTGTTAATAATACCACCACCACCAACCCATACCTGCTGCTAGAATGTCAGGTCCATGAGGACAGAGAGCTTGCCTGTTATGTGAATCACGTTTGCCTTTCTATTTTCTAGCTGGTGCCTGGCCCCATAACCGGCACTTCCTTAACCTTTGATAAACGGGCAGCCCTGAGGTCTGCACCGTTAGGATCCCCATTTTTCAGACTGAGGACCAGAAAGTTTCAGGAATTGTCCCAGGTCACCCAGCCAGTAAATGTTCTTGATCTCACACTTGAGTTTTCGCTGCAGTTTTCTTTATTTCCATGTATGAATTTATCAAATCCTTCTCCTGGCCCTGTAAGGTAGGCTGGTTCTCTTATTTTTCCCCTTGTGCAGGTAGGGAAACTGAGTCAGACATGGGTGGCTAGAAAGTGGTGAGGTCAGGACTGGAACCCTGTTCATCAAAGTCCATTTTCTTACCACTCTGGCATTTTTGTCATCCTATTTTTCACTGGCACCAAGAGCCTGGGGCCTGGGATGTCCCGGCTGGGAGGTGGGAAGCCCTAAGCATGCTCCCCACCAGCCTCTGACTTACCTGTGACCAGGAGGAAATCACTATTCCCATGATTACATGTTATGGGACCCCAAAGCCTCCAGGGTGGCCACAAAGATGCAACTAAAGAGCCTGGCATGGTGCCTCCTCCGACCCCGGTGCTTCCAGGACCAGCTCTCTCATTTTGCCCCACACTGGCAATTTCTCCCTATGCAGCTTCTGCCTGCACCAGTCTCTCCACCCAGAGTGCCTTTTCCCCACCTCTTCCCATTCAGATTCTTTGCATCCCTGAACAAAGGCTGGAAAAAAAAATTACAGCCTTTTAAACAGTGTTTTCAGGGGCTGCCCTTTGGCAGTGAGAAGCAAAGCTTGAAGCCCTCCTCTGGGTCTGTGCCACCACAAGAGGAAGGAAGAGTTGAAGATCCCTTAGGTCAAGATCGCTTGCACCTCATGGGAAGCCCTGGGGTGCCCAAGGATGTACGGCAACCCCAGTCAGCTTCTCTGTTGCCTGAAGACAACAGAGCTTGAAGTTTCCTTGCAGATAATCCAGAATTTGACCCACAGAACCCTGAGCACATTAGAAACCATAATGATTAACTTCATGTGTCAACTTGGCCAGGCCGTGATATCCAGCTTGGGGTCAAAACTTTTGTCCAGATATTGCCGTGAGGGTATCTTTCAGATGTGATTCACATTTAAGTCAGTAGACTTTGAGTTAAGCAGGTTCACCTTTGTAATACGGGTGGGCCTCATCCAATCAGTTGAAGGCCTCAAGAGAAGACACTGAGGTTCTTTATGGAGGAAGGAATTCTGCCTCAGACTGTCTTCAGACTCCAGCACAACATCAGCTGTTCCCTGGGTCTCCAGTCTACCAGCCTGTCTTGCAGATTTCAGATTTGCCAGCCCCCACAACTTCATCAGCCAATTCCTTAACATAAACCTTTCTTTCTCCACACATACATTGTATTGGTTTGTTTCTCTGGAGACCTCTGAAATATCCAGAGAACCTCGAGTCCAACTCTTTATTTAACAGAAAGGATAACCAAGGCACAGAGAGGGTAAGTAACTTCCCCAGTGTCACACAGCAGATTAATAACAGTTTGAATCCATCCAAAAAATGCCTAGGCTAAATCTCTTGCTCTGTAGCGAGGGGCTGGGGTCCTCCCTTTGCACTTCCAAGCCTCCCGGTCAGGTGGAAGGCAGAGATCACATGTGTTCCGGAGAATATCAGCTCCTCACCAAAGGCTGCTGGGCGGGGAATTAATTAGAAATCAAAAATTCAGTGTGAAAATACAGAAATCTAGCTGCAGAGCCAATTTTCTATCACACTTAGCAACTCCATTTGATGTGATAGTTTGCTAATAAAACATGAGCATTACGGTAACATAATATTTTAAGTGTCCATTAACTAATACTTAAATATAATGGAACCTTATGGAAATATACTTAAGCTGTCACCAACACCCCTAATGTAATATGCATGATTTCCAGGGCTATTTATAACTCCTAGGGCTCTCTCACCAGTGACTTCATTGGCTCAATCAAAGGGGGATCTTGTTTTCTCTCCCTGGCCTCTGTCTTGATAACTCAACCCTTGGGCCCCTGTCTCGGTGGTACTGAGGGGGCCCCGCCAACACCCATTTGCCCCACAGTGCCCAGTGGATTCTGCTGTAGGCTAGGGCTGGTGCTGGGCCCTGGGATGGCATGGAAAACAGGCACCGTATTCAGGCATGGAGCCAGTGACCTGGCAGACACACAACACGTGGGTGACATGAGTTGTCAAGGGGGAACTGCAAGAATTTGTATGTGGGTAAAGCAGGGAGGCCTCCTGGAGGAAGTGACACTCCAGCTAAGAAATGGAGGATGAGTAGGATTTGGTTGGGCAAAGCAGGCAAGAGGAGGGAATGGAGGAGCATGGTGAGGGGTCAGCACATGCTAAGACACAGATGTGAAGAGCAGGGAACAGTCCTGGGAACTGAACAGTGATAAGATGCTGATGCAGAGACGATGAGGGGCAGAGTGGCAAGACAAGAGGTGGGACCATCACACCTGTAATCCCAGCACTTTGGGAGGCTGAGGCAGGCAGATCACTTGCGTTCAGGAGTTTGAGACCAGCCTGGCCAACATGGTGAAACCCTGTCTCTACCAAAAACACAAAAATTAGCTGGGTGTGGTGGCAGATGCCGGTAATCCCAGCTACTTGGGAGACTGAGGCAGGAGAATTGCTTGAACCTGGGAGGCTGAGGTTGCAGTGAGCCGAGATCACGCCACTGCACTCCAGCCTGGGTGACAGAGTGAGACTCTGTCTCAAAAAAAAAAAAAAAAAAAAAAAGAAGAAGAAAAAGAAAAGATGTAGGACCAGCGAGCAGAGGCTGGGCTCTGGAAGACCTGAAGGCAGGAGGAGATGCTCCTATAAAAGGGCCAGAGCAGGCACCAGTGTTGGCCAGGGACTTCCTTTCCATCGCGAACAGCATCCTAAACCTGGAGGAGAGGAAAAGGGCTTCAAGAGAGGCCTCAACCAATTCCATCTGTGGGTTTGTGCCCTGATATGGGTTTAAAAGGATCCCAGTCTCCAGTCTCCATCTTCAGTCTATACAATCTTGAACAGCCTCTCTCTGGGCCTTGATGTCCTGATCCTTGACACTGAAGTAGGGGCACGTTGTAAAGGTGCTCCAGGCCAGGCCTTCAGGAGAGCTTCAGTGAGCACCGTCCCTGCTCCTGCAGACACCATCCCCAGCAACCCCTGATTCTGTTTGTAGCAGACTTGGACTTTGGAGCAAATATCTAGCAAACCGCCACTTGCAAAGTACATAGCAGGAATCGATGCTGGGCATCACACTCTGCCTGAAGTAGAGTAATGCCTCTTCCGTCTCTTCTACAAAGTGGGTTTTTATAGCCCTCTTAGTTTGGGTTTCTCCAGAAGCAAAGCCCGAGACAAGGAATTGAGAGCAAGTGGTTAATTTAGGAAGTGCAGGAACAGGGCTGCGAGGCAGGGACAGTAACACACGCAGTGTGCATTATTTAGCTCCTGCGTTATACAGAAGCTTAGTCCCCTGAGAACTCCAGAAAACAAGGCAGAGCATCATCTTAGAGTTATCCCAAGACTCCAGGGAGCTGGGGAAATGTACACCACATCCCATCAGTCATTGACAGAGGGTGACTGCCACAGGGTAGCAAGGCCCCGGAAGCTCCAGCCTGCCATGCACACAGCCAGAACAGCCTTCCGCTTTCGAGCAGAATGATCCAGGTACTAGCAGTTGGGAGTTGATCAGGGCGAGAAGAAAGGGGAAGGCCCACAGGATATGGTGAGAACATCAACGCGATCACCTGCAGCAGCTAAAAAGCAATCTTTTCAAGTGACTACGCATTCTCATTGGATTCTTGAAGGGCAATTGGAAGGAAGCAAGGGAGAGATAATTGCTAACACCCATTAGACAGGTGAGACAATTATGGGTTCAAGAAGAACCTGACTTCCCCTTGCCTGGAGTGTTTTCCTTTTTTCCTTTTGGCTTAGGTGCTACTTCTTAGGTTCACAGTTCACCTCCTCTACATGACCTTTTCTTTTGTGGACAGGAAATTCACCTTAGACTAGAATCCTGCATTATTATCAGCTGCTAAGATTTGTGGGGATGCTTGTTACTGCAGCATAATCAGGTATATCCTGACTGATGCAGACATGAAAAGTAGACTGATTTAGATATAAAAGCAATTAAGTAAGCAATAGCAGAAGACATACAGAAGACATAAAGATTAGGACAATGGTCTGCAAATCACTGACATTTGAGGATTGATAGTGCCTTTGTGCTAATAGGTTGGTACATATATAAGGAAGGAGTTATTTAGAACATGACGGGTCAACTTGGCTGCCTGATTACTATCCACAGGTGAGACAGAGAGGAGAAGACTGAGGAAATCTTTTCAGCCCCTGAGACATAGAGTCTGGGCTTGTGGGGCCCTCCTGAAGCTGACTGGAGTGAATGTGAGCCATCAGGACTCCTGACTCCCCTGTTGCCAGGCTGAAGCCCAGAGCATGAACCACCCAATCGCTGTTGGGGTGAAAGATGCACAGCTCCACCACTGTGACTCTGGAACCAGCATCATTCAAGTCCTGGTATGTGGAATGGTTCCCAGTCTGGGCTTTGAGGTCAAATAGAATAGTCCTCCCTCATAATAGCTGTGTGACCTTAGGCAAGTCATTGAACCTCTCTGAGCCTCAGTTTTAACATCTGTAAAAGGGGATAATAGTAACGCCCATATCCCAGGGTTTGGAGAGGCTTAAATGAGATAAACATGTTGAGGGTTGAACATGTGTCATATGGCATCTAATCTAAGACTATCAATTGCAGGACATGACATTGTTTTATGTACCACTAAAAAAGAAAAATATCTGTTAAACTCTGGTGCAATATCTTAACAATAATGTGAGACAGCAATGAGTCAGACCAGTCTCTTGTTGCTTTGAAATGTGTTTAATGTATTTCTATGTATTTGGCAATTTCTCCTGCCTTCAATTCATTCTTGGTGAGTGATAGACAATCCTTTAGAGTGTATCTCAGTAACATAAAAAAAACACAAGTTGGCTGGGAGCGCTGGCTAACACCTGTTATCCCAGCACTTTGGGAGGCTGAGGCAGGTGGATCATGAGGTCAGGAGATTGAGACCATCCTGGCTAACACAGTGAAACCCCGTCCCTACTAAAAATACAAAAAATTAGCCGGGCATGGTGGCAGGCGCCTGTAGTCCCAGCTACTCAAGAGGCTGAGGCAGGAGAATGGCGAGAACCTGGGAGATGGAGCTTGCAGTGAGCCAAGATCATGCCATTGCACTCCAGCCTAGGCGACAGAGCAAGAATCCGTCTCAAAAAAAAAAAAAAAAAAAACCCACCAACCAACCAAACAAACAAACATAAAAACAAAACCCACAACTTTATCTCTTTGGGATATCTTCCTGTCTTATGTGCCATAATGCACTTTGTTGTAGCTTTGCAAAAAAAAAAAAAAAAAATAGCACACTGTGGTCATTTCTTCAACAATGAACATCTGCCTCCTGAATCCTGCCCATATGGCTTGGTGTCCTTAACTGTACCTTTCTGTGTGCACAGTCACTTGTCATTTCATCACTGAATCATAGACCAATGGTTGTGAAGACACGTAAAATGGGAATTACATTTAGTTTGGGGACGACAACACTGCAGGGAACGCCAGTGAGGTGACAACAGTGGGAACAGCAGTAACCAAGCTCGCCCAAGCAGTGACAGCTGTGTCGTGACAGCCACTCGGCTAATAGTTGAAGACATCATCATTTGTAAGGAGGGCCCAATTTCAGAATGTTAAAATGGAAACAAACAAAAAAAAGGCATCTGATAATAGATAAAATATAGTGGTAAATGTTCACATCACCGCAGCTACTTATCTTCTTTTGGGGATTAAAATTAATACTATTTTTACTGCACTTACGTGAGTGCGTATTGCATAATCACTGACTTCACTAACATGGCCACTAACTTCACCACCTGGGGGCTAGGAAACAGGACCTGCGTAAGGGTGGGTGGAGGTAGGACTTGGGGTCGTTGGAGAGAAGTTGTTTCCAGCCAGGGAAGAGGCCACCAGCCTCCTTTTTCATTGGCTCCCACAGCCAGAGAAGGAGCAGACTGAACCCCTTTCTGAGCAGTGTGGATGGAGCACCTACTGTATATAAGGCACCACGTATGGGAATGTGGGCAGGGAGGCCATGGGACTGCATATGATGTGGATTCTTTCCTCCAGGGGCTTTCAGGCAAAAGGGGGAGGCAGACACGTGAACAACAGTGTCCCCTGCACAGGAGACAGTGGTTAGCGCTAACATAACCAGCAACCCAGGCAAGGGTCTGGGGAGCCCTGGAGGCCCAGGCTGGGGCCCAGAGCATGGACCACCCGCTCACTGTTGGCTCTACCACTGTGATTCCGGGACCAGCATCATTCAGCTCCTGATGTCTGCATGCAGAATGGTTCCTAGCCTGGGCTTTGGGGTCAGACAGACTGGGCCTCCCACTTACTAGCTGTGTGGCCTTAGAAAAGTCACTTAGCCTATCTAAGCCTCAGTTTTAACATCTGTAAAAGAGCATAATAGTAATGCCCACATTCCTGGGATGTAGTTCCACTTAGGAAAGCTTCCTGGAGGTGGGGAAAGGTGAGCCAAGAGACAGGGAGAGCTGAAGTGGACAATGATGAAGGAAAGGTATCGCTGGACAGTGGCAGCAGGTGGAGCTGGGTGGCAGCAGGTATGGAGTGGAGACCACTAGCGACCTTCATTAATCTCACCAGCTGGGGAAATGCCAAAGCAATAGTCTAGACCCAGGCCAAGACCGAGCCTGAGCTCTGGCTCCTTTCCCAGATGCATATATATACAGGGGCACAACGTGTGTGCTCAAAGGCTCCTGCACATGCTCAATCAGGCAGTCACATATGCACACCATGCACATATCCATGACATGCAGGAATGTGTGTGCATGTACACAGAGGGGCACTCATGTGCTCATATACATACTTCTGCTGTGCTCTTTTGAGCAATCATGCATGCACACCATGTGCACATTTATACACATGAATGCACATCCAGGTACATCCACATAGACACACGTGCATGTACACACAGAGGCACACCCAGCTGTGCTCACACACTGTTTCCAACAGCTGTTCTTTGGGGCAACCACACACATACCCATATCCATACACATGCATGCACATACAGGTACATAAATAGGTATGCATGTCCATAGAGGGGTACACATGGGTACACCCCTACAAGTGCACACACATTGTACTCTTGGTAAATCTTTTGCAAAAATGGGAGCAATAAGTCCTCTTCCTGCATCCATGCCCTTGGTAATTTCCCCCAGCCCTGCTGACTCTGGGCTTACCTATGTGACTTGATTTGGGCAGTGGGACAATAGCAAATGTAATGCAAGCAGATATTGAAAAGTGTTTATATATGAAGACTTGCTCTTGCTGTGCTTAGAACCTTAAAACTGCCATATAAGTAAGCCCTGGCTAACTTGCTGGAGGGTGAGACCACGTGGCCAAGTCAGTTTCTGATGTTGCATCAACTGCTACTACCAGATACATGAATGATGCCATAGTAGACCTCTTACCCTCTCCAGCTGAGCTACCAGCTGCCACAGACACATGAACAGAGTTTACCTAAGCTGGTCTGGACTAGAAGAACCTTCCAGTCAACGTACAGAATTATGAGAAATTATAAATGTTTGTTGCTAAGCTTTAGGATGACTCGTTACACAGCAGAAGCCAACTGATACAAATAGTCACTCACAGGAACATACAGATGCACACCACGCATACGCCCATGCATTGACTGCATTTATTTGTATACACAAGCACAGAAAGACAGAAAGGTAAACTCACACATGATTCAGTGACCACACACATAGGCACACACATATGTATGTGTAAACAGCACACACACGTACATCCACAATACCTCCCAGAGACATGGTTAGATGCAACACATGCATGCATATAGGTAAATGCTCATGTTTGCTCACTTAGACTAATACTGTCCCAGGACTCTGACCACTCTCTATGGACAAGTAAGCAGCCATTAACCAAACCTTCTACCCGCTTCCTGGAATCCATTAGGCAGAGGGAAGGAGGTGGTTCTGAGAAGAGGTGCCATCCAGCCCAGCCAGGAACCACAGACACACTGAGGCCCAATACTGAGCAAGGACTCAGAGTGTTCTTGGGTCTTCAGGTGGCAAGGCCTCCTGACAGGTTGACTGCAAACCTTAGAATCCTTCTTAGTGACCATCTGAGCCCTCTGATTTGTTTTCCTCTCATTTCTGGTTGCTAAGCCTTGGGCATGGGGCGCATGGTAGTGCTATTAGAAGGTCATTTCCTCCATTCCACACTGCTCCCTCCTGCAACTCAGAGTCCCGGTATCCTGGAGTCCAGAGGGCCATGCAGGCTCTACTCCCTTGAGGAATGGGTGTTGGCCAAGTCCCCATCATGGGGACAGGAGCACCAGGGGCCTTGGTGGGTAGGAGGCGACCCAGGCCTCTTGCTTCTCCTAGTGACCTTGCTTCTGTGTGTCTCCTGACCAACACTCACCTGGTTAGAAACAAGGTTCAAAAGGAAGCTGGTGCTCACAGCTAAAGACTGAGAACCTCTCCTCCCTGGGAATGGCTGTGTGCCCCGCTCCTTTGACTTTGCTATTATACTTCCTTGCACTGTTTGTAATTCAAATTTCCATGTGTTTTCTGTCTCTTCTACCTGTCTGTGGCCATCCACTTGTCCCTCTCTTGCCTTCTGCCATCCTCCTAGTCTGGACTACACCAAATGCTTGCCTGGATGACTACAATTACCTTCTAATTGTGGACTTGCACCAGTCATGGCCCCTCGGATCCATTCTCTGTGCTGTTGATGGGCTGTTTCTAAAATGCAGTCTTGACCCACAGGTCAAAGGCCCATGAGTGACTCAAAGATGAAGCCAAGCTGGTTAACATGGCGCACGAGGCCCCAAGTGATTTGAACCCCAAGCATCTCCCCATCCTGCTCTCTTGCCACCTGCCTCTCACACTCTCTCTTAATCAGCGTTGCTTGATGACATGAGTCCCACCAATGTACTGCATCCTCATTCACCTCCAGAACTCTGTGCCTGCTGTCCTTGTGGCCTGGAATGCCTCCAATTCCCCCCATAGCACTCCAATCATTCTTTTACCTGGCTAGCTGTTCATGACTCAGCTTGGTAGCCACTGTCTCTGCAAAGCTTCCCTGAATTCCAAGGTGCATCCACAGCCTCTACATTGGGCCAATTACCTGTTCAATTATTTGCACCCCACTCATGTACAGACCCATGCATGCCTTATAACAGGAGCTCCTTCAGGGAAGGGCCTGTATCTTGATCACCATTTTGTTCCAGTCACATCTCTGGCACATAGTGGGCCAGAAGTAAGCGTTTGCTGAATGAATAATTACATGAATGAAGCAAGCTCGGGGGGAGAAATGGGGACTGTGTCTGTGCTTAACCTAGCATGGTGTTGATGTTTGCAGATGACACTGCAGTCTTGTCCCTCTAATAGAGGGATAGTGCATGTGAGGAAGGAGCCTTGGGGCTACAGGGTCCTCATCCTCTGAGCTGCATCTCCTTCTTGGCCAAGATCTTTTCATGCTCTGGGCAAATCTACTCACTTTGCTGAGATAAGAGTTTTCCTGGGGCCTGCCTGGTTCATCCTCCAAACTTACCCTTGGGTCAGTCACACTTCAGGAAACACCTGCGTCTCTCTCATTATTCACATTCTGCTTGTTTGAGGCAGCAGGTGCTGACTGACTGGCTGGTGTTGATCATGGATGCATTGTGGCTTCCTGTTAGATAATTCATGGAGTGCAGGTGAAGGGTCCCAACAAGACAGGCTGCACGGGTGTTGAGAGGCCCCAGGCCAACGCAGCTAAGACTCTAGCATATGGATTTCAGGACAGAAATCAGTAGGATCTTCTGAAAGATATGCTCTATTGTCCATTTATCCTGGTCAACAAATATTTATTGTACTTGGTTATGTTTGAATAAGGAAGTGTCCAGTGTCCAAGGGGATGTAGGATGACGGAGATGTGACCCACAGCCCCTACCCATAGTATTTCCCTGGCTAGCTAGTAAGGCATGTTTAAATCTTGCACCAATATGCAAATATCCACAAGATAAAAAAAGGTGTGACAAGTATCAGACAGATGGTATCAAGTTCTGAGTTGAGATTATTCTCTTGCAGCCAGAAAGACAGGAAGGAAATCACTGAAAGGGAAGGGTTTCAGCAATGTGGAATTTGGCTAAATGGAGACTGAGGTTAGGAGCACCTCAGAGGCAATAGAGGAAATGATACTGCAAACTATCACTCATCAAGAACAGCAGTGTGAGAGCTACTGTGCCAGCACAATCCCTGGCATCTGTGAGCCCCACGGTAAGCCTGCTGGGTGAGTATGTCTACTTCCATCTTACAGATGAGGAGACTCTGATAGTTCAGAAAGTAAGGGACCTGGCTGGGGCAGCTTGTCTTGGAGCTAAGCTACAAAGCCAGGCTTTCTGGCTCCAAAGCTTGATGTTCTAGTAACTTTCTTCTGTGTGATGAACCACTTTAAAATTTGTGGCTTGAACAACAATAATTATTTATTATTATCTCACGGTCTCAGGACTCTCTCTCTCATCTGGTCTTTGTGGCACAGTGGCTTTGGTGTCACTGGACCTCTCTTATGGCAGCTCTGGGTTTCAAAGGTATATGTCCCAAGAGAGAATGTCAGGTGGAAGTGGTATTGCCGTTTATGGCCTAGCCTTGAAAGTGATCTAATGGAGTCAGTCACAAAAATAATCCCCTCTCCGCAGGCTCAAAGGGAGGATCCTTAAGCCTTCATATATTAAGGGGAGTGGCAAGGTTCTAGAAGAGTATACAAGACAGGAAATACTGTTGTTACTATTTTTCATTTGCCACATCTGGGTTCCATTGTACTCAGGGGCCAAGACCTAGAAGCAAGGAAATAAAATTGGTATCTGATCTCGGAAGTGAAGCCAAAGTTCAGCTTAGCAGAAGCAGCAAGTTTTCCCCTAAGGAAGTGAAGGAAAGCTCCATGGTGGCTACTTCAAGGATCCAGGCAGTGGCCACAAGGTCCTCAACTAGAGAGAAGAGAAAAGAAGGAAGCAATACTGTGAGGAGATACTGAGTTAGTGCCAGGCAGGAGCGTGGGGAAGACTCAAGGCACAGCCAAGCTCAAGTCTCAGATTTGACCTGGGTAATTCTGGGACATAGTGGTGCCAAGAACCAAGATGGAGACATCAGAGGAAGGGCTGATTTGGGAGCATGGTGACGGTTACTCTGGCGCCTTGTTGAATGAGAGGTACAGGAAGGCACATTGGGAAGCTGCCTGGAGGTGAGTAGAACTGCAGGTCTAGATCTTGGACAGTGACAGTGGACTGGGCTGAAAATGCTGACTTCAGGGATTGGAAGCCATTAGAGGTGTTGAGGACGCCAAGACGGAGAGAGCAAAGCATGAAGGAAAACACCAGAACACTGCCAGTACCAGTATTTGGAGGGTTATCTTGAGAAAGTGGAACAAGAGAAACCAATTCGAAGGAAAGACCTTAGAAGACCTTTCTGACTCCAGGACTCAAGGAAAACCCTAAGTAGAAGGATGGGGATAAAGAGTCACTCTGCCCAAAACTCATCTCCTCCAACTCTATGAAGGGCCTTGCAGACCTTTCCTCATTAGTTCCAGTTGCCAGTCACTTCTGCTGGTGCAAATTCTATCCCTGGTTGCATTGGAAACCCCCATGGAGACAGGGACCTGTGACATCAGTGGTAGTCTTGACACGTATAGCTCAGTGCATGCAAAGAATGTTGGTTGAGTGAATGTATAAAATAGGTGAAAACATATAAACATGTCTGAAAGCAGTGGAAAATGGAGCTGCCCTGAGAGCTGAGGGCCTGGAACCTCTGGTTGGCTGCCTTTCTCTTGTCCTTTCCATCAAACTCCAAAAAGAAAGTTCCAAAGCCACTCATCTTCCCCAACATTTTCATGATACCACAGAGGCCTGGAGAGGGAAGTGGCTTTCCAAGGGTGACGCAAAGGGTCAATGTCAGAAACGGGTCTGGACCTGGGAGTGAGTGCCCAGTAGTTCCGCTCCATGCCCACCAGTGCCCAGAGTTCTCACTAAGGAACAGGAGAAGAAGGAAGGAGCAACAAGGGCTTAGAGGGCCTTCCTCATGTAGACTCACTTGCCCCTGGAAAGCGGCTCTGGCCATGGCGGCTGGATGCCTGGGGAGGACAAGCTACGGATGGCCGGCACAAGCCTGGAGGCCCGCCGAGCGCCAGGCTGGCTGAGGCCCCTCCCTTGGCAGCGGCGGCACCTCTGGGACCTTGCGGTGGGCTGAGCTCCTTGCAGACCCAGGGTCTAAGGGAGGAGGGGAAGGCAAGGAGACATTGCTGTGGTTTTGCGGCCAAGGAGGGAACGTACTTAGGATATTTAGGGGATGGACAGGGAACCGGCTCCACTTCCCTGCAGCCTCTGCCTGCCAGCGCTCACCCACTGGAACATGCCATTTGAGAAATGTCTTCATTTTCTCTGTCATTGGCCAGGTTCCCGCCACACTCGTTGGGAGCGGGAAGAGGGGGGCAGGAGAGGGAAGGTAGGGGTCATAGACCGGAGCGAAGGATTGGAAAACTGGCTCCTAAGAGCTCTCTGCACAAAGAAAACACCATGGGTCCTGCCAAATCTGCCCGCTGCATGGTCTGACACCCACACGTGGCCCCCTGAGCTCCCTCCCGCCATCCCACAGGAAGTCCCATTTCTCCCTGGCCCATGGCCCGATGGGGGCACACCTCGAACCGAGGCCCAACCTGCAGAGCGGGCTCCATCCACCCAGCCATTTTAGGGAGGGTGGCAACATTCTGCACAAGAGCCGAGTTCAGCTGGGCACCTCCCCTGCCAACAGTAAGCCTCTCAAGTCGGTCTTTATTTTTATAGACCACGGCTTAAAGGCCCCAGCCACTGTGAGTCCTGGTTTCCTTGCTTATTTGTAATTTTTAAACAACTTGATTTATTGCTTGGAAGCCTCTGAATGTATTCATAGACACAGAATTACAGAAATATCAGAGCTGGGGAAGAAAATGCCAGAGCTGCCTTTGTCCAACTGCCTAATTTTACAGATGGAGAAACTGAGGCTCAAGGGGGCATTCACTGGGAAATTTAGACATCTAGAAATAAAATGCAGATTAATATAAAAAACTTTTGCTATTGGTGGGAGATGGTTGGCTGTGGGCGACAGAAATAGGCTTTAGAAACAAGTGGACTTTTGTTCAATTCCTGGCTTTGTCACTTTAGCTGCATTTTCTTGGAAAAGCTATTTAACCTCTCTGCACCTCAGCCTTCTCATGTGGAAAATGGAAAACAGTATGCCCATCCCTATATGAGGATAATGGATACAAAATGCCACCCACAGCACCTGGTGAGTAGCCACTCAGCCAATATACCTCTTGTCTTATGTCTCAGATAGATATCATACATATTCCCCTGTTATTGATTTTTAATAAATTAAAGAACTGGACATTTCAAAAGAGAAAGTCCAACTGCATGTATCTTTGTCATCTGGAATATGACTCAGCTTTATGGAAACTGTTGGGGCCAGGCCTGGGTGGGGACAATACCTTCCTCCAGAGAGAGCCACAGACCAGTGGCAAGGAGGGTTTATGTCAGCATGCCCGCCTTGCTACCATACCCGAGACGTCACCCGATCAGGGCAGATTCAGTGCTGGACCGCTCTGCCCAGGCATTGGAAAGTAGAGGCCTGGCTCTGAGTGTGGAACAGGAGATTTACCTTAAAGATACCCCAGTTTGGGCCCGATAGAGATCAGCTGGCATTTCGTGGGGCTGAAAGAGTGGCAACTGAATACTCTGCCCTGCCTGACCCGGCCCCTGTACCAACGCCGTAGATCGATTTCTATTTTTTCCTTTCTTCTGTAAACAGTGGCGCAGGGCAGGTCTGCCCGGATGGCTGGCCCACAGGCCCGCCCCAGAATCCCTGATCGTCTATGGCAGATAATGCGGGCTTGAATTCGCACCCATCCCAATGTTCATTCACATCGAGCTTTTTTGGCACTTCAGTAATGAAGAAAGGGAGAGGAGAAAGGAGAAGGGGCGAAAGAGGCGGGAGGAAGAGCCATCGATATGAAACATCCCGGCTCGGATTCTGGGCAAACAGCTGCTTTGTGTTTAGAATTTGGGGCTTGACTGGGTTTCAAGGCAAACCACAGCACTGAAGCCAGTCTTTCTTCTTTCTGCCAACAGGCGCCCACAAATGCCTAAATTTAGAAGCTGGCAATTGCACTCATTTAGGATTTTAGGAGAAACTCAGGTAAAACAAACTATCTCAGATCAGAAAGGTTTGTGAACTCGCTTTGTTGATGGCATTTACTCATTTCATCGAGGGTGGTGGGAAGGGTCTTTTTTGCTCCATCTTTTTCTCAAAAACACAAATGCAATTTCCATCCCGGAAGTAAAGTTGATAGACTCTGTTTTGAGACATCCCTTCTCTTGGGATTACCTGGGCACGCCCATAGGTGACCCCACAGAATGGCCAGTGGACCTGCTTGTCCC
The DNA here is from genome assembly GCF_000001405.40 of Homo sapiens. Lineage (NCBI taxonomy): Eukaryota > Metazoa > Chordata > Mammalia > Primates > Hominidae > Homo > Homo sapiens. The sequence goes on from NC_000016.10 coordinate 50,993,500, forward strand.
ACAGAGAGGGCTTTATGGGCCCAATCCCACAGAGATGATTAACATCAGATTTTACAGGAAGTAGTGAGGTTGAAAAGAGACAGGCGAAGAAAGAACTGCAGAGAAGAGAGAAGAAAAAAAGAAAAGGACCCTGCCCAGGTCAAGTCAGCCCATAGCTGTGGTTAGCAGTCTGCTGTGAGGCTGCAGGCATGGCCCTTCCCCCAGACATCAGCGCCCTCACGTCTCCCCTCAGAGGGCTCATCTTCTTGACAGACAAGTGTAGTGGGACAGAAGGAAGGAGCCCACTGTCTATGCCCTCTCCACATTCTTCTCTTCCATGGACACTCAGAAAAGGGAAATTGTCAGGTAGGGGGAAAAGGATGGCTAATTGCTGTGTGAACTTGGGCAAGTTTCTTAACTTTTCGGGTCTCCATTTCTTTATACATAAAATATGGATAAGTCAGCAGCAGTATCTCATGCCTGTGATCCCAGCACTTTGGGAGGCCAAGACGGAATGATTGCTTGAACCCAGGAGTTCGAGATCAGCTTGGGCAACAGAGTGAGACCTTGTCTCTTAAAAAACAAACAAACAGGCAAACAAAAAGAAATAAAAGAAAATAAAAACATGTAAAGTTTGTATAATAATACCCTTCTATACCCCAGAATGAAAACCAAATAAAATAACGCATAAAAGGCACCCTAGGAGGGACTTGTTGGCTGAGTGGTTATATTATTCATGCTGTTGGTCCTTGCCCATGGGCTTGATTTGTTTTTGTCCTCACTGATACCTGACAATACGGCAGAGGAGGCTAAAAGAGGTAAGCAAAGACAACATATGATAAACCTAAGTGGCACAGATAATAAATGGCAGTGGGGAGGGGTTGGGGGGTTGGGGAGGTCTGTCTAGAGGAAGTGAGAATTAAGGGGCAACATAACATGATAACCAAGGTGCAGACTCTGGAGCCAGACTTCTGGGTTCTTACTCCAGCTCTGATCCTTGTAAGCTGTGACCTTAGGCTAGTTACTTAACGTCTATGTGCCTCAGTTTCCTCATCTATAAAATGGAAATACTCATGATAGATACTTCCTTCATTGCACTGTTATGGGGACTAAATGAGTTAATCTGGGTGAACCATTTACAATCACACTTGTCATAGAATGAACACTCAATAAATTAGCTATTATTAAGCTATGCCTTGACACTCAGATGGAAGATGTGGGAGGATGGTGTGGAAACAGGAGGGGATTCCAGATTGGGAGAGGATCATGGGCAACAGTATGGAGGTGAGAGGAGAGAGGCATAGTCAGGAAGTGATGGCCAGGTCAGGTTAGTTGGAGCAAGGTGGTGGTGCTGGGGGGTTAGTGGGAAATTAAGGGAGGAAGAAGGCTGGAGTCAGAGCATGTAGGCTCTAAATGCCAGCCCACAAGACTGGGCTTGATCTCATGTTTGGTAAAAAGTCAAAGATAGCCTGGGCAGGAAACTTGTTCAATTCAAGTATTGTCTTTGATTGATCTTGTAACAATATGTAGGACAATGTGAAGGACGGAAGTGATTAAAGCCTGGGAGGCCAGGTAGGTAGCAAGTACCTCCATTCAGGTGTCAACTTGAAAAGGCCTAGACTGGGAAGGCAAAATTTGCGCTGCCACCCTCTCTTCCTATGTCCATGACAGACATCACTAATGGATCACGGCCGTCCCCCCCCATCGAGGCCTGGAAATCTTTCTCCACCCTGTAATCCAGGTGGATACTATCAATGCGTCAGAGCTGGGACTTGAGAGGAAACTTACTTGCTTCCCCTGGCTTGGGTAGGCTAAGGTGGTGCCACTGGGGGTGACAGAGAAGGGATCAGTGCGAGCAATAGGAAAGAAAGGGAGGAAAGAAAGGGAAGCACAGAACGGACTAATGGACTGAAGAATGAAGAAGAGGAGGATGCAGAGATGACTTAGAGTTCCAGGAGGGCCGAGAAAATGTGTTTGGTGTTGTTGAAAACAGGAAAGAGAGGATGTGTTGTGGGAGCAGGGTGCAGCAATTTGGGTGAAGACACGGCGGCTTTGGGGCGGGTTGAGTTGGAGGCAAGTACTGGTCACCTGGCAGGAAACATTTAATCTGCACTTGAAGACAGGGTCCTGGAGTTCTGTCAGAGGCAGGAGCTGGGCCATATGGAGGTGATAGTGGACACGGCTAGAATAGGATCTCGGTCCTGGACTTATGGCCCTTTCTGACCCTTGGTAACCCCAGGAGCTCTGACATTAGAAAACCCTGCTTCCATCCTATCAAACAAATTAAAATGCACCCACAGTCCACATTAAACATAATTTTTATATAAGTAGACACAAATTGAGTTGGCTTGCAGTTGAGTAGTTGATGTCATGTTATGGTTTGTAGACATTTAAACATTTATTAATTTTAATTTAGTGGTTTTCTTTTCATATTTTAGAGCCAAAATATTTTTTTTTTTCAGTTCTCAGATATTTTCACAGGCCCTTGAGAAGCATGTTATAAAGCTTAGATATTATGCCTGTAATGCCAAATGTTTTAAAGAGCCGAGCCTGGGATGGAGGTGGCAGGGATCGGGTAAGGGTGGCGTGGGTCAGGGTTCTGACAAGCACCATCCTAGAATCTGGGAACATCTTCTACCATCAGGTGTCCCCATCCTGTTGGCTTACACAAGACTCACGGCCACAAACCTGGCCACGGGCAGTCGTGAAATTAACATCACAGCATGGGATAACTATCACGATGTGGGCATCAGCTATTTGGAATGGACACCCATGAGCTGGACCAGGATCCTGAAGGATCCCTTCAGCACCAGGTGTCGACTCCGCAGTTTCTGAATGTGGAGTCATCTTGGGAGTCCCAGAGAAAGGATCGGGACTGGCCGGAAGGTAGGGGGCACTCATGAGGGCAGACAGCAGTTGTGTCCCAACCAGTGCAGAAATAGTTCAATGTTTTAATGACCTGCGAAAACCCAGCTCCTGGGGACCCCGGGTTCCTGCTCAGGATCCTTGGCTCCCCTGTCCTTGTGGGAATGCTTCTTCTGCTGAAAGTGCAGGTGTTCAGAACATTTAACCCCACTGTGTGGGTACCAAGAACCCTCCAGGGCTATGAGGGATCCATTCACTGAGGACAAACCACTCTGTTCAGGAAGAGAAGAGTCTTACAAGGTGCAACGAGATACCAGTGCCCAGGTGGGCTGCAGGCTGACTAATGAGATGCAGCAGAGCCGAGAAGGGTGTGGGCTCGTGGCCAACCCACCAGCCCACCCCTGGGATCTTCCCCACAGTTGATTCCTTCCTCTGCCCATCCCAAGGGTCTTCCACCCCTCCCCCAGGCCCACCCTCCCCCAGCCCCACTGGAGCAGGCCAAGTCGCAAAGTCTAAGTACTTTTTAAGCACTGCAATTTAGTGCAATTATTTGAAAGTAAACAATCTGCTCTGTCAGTTAAACATTATTTAGCTTGCATTTCTTCTGATGCATCACACAATCAGCTCTGCAGCTCGCTGAGCAGGGCCCAGGGACTGGCTGCTGGCTTTTTAAACAGCCAGTTACCAGCGGTTCTGCAGCTAGAGCTTTGAGAGGCTTTCCTGTGAGTGCCCTCCATTCTAAGGTGATGGGGGTTAAGGAGCAGGAAGGAGTTAGCAGCCACACCCCAGGACAGCTTCCCGGCCTGTCCTTTGGGGCACTGCCCTTTTCTCTCCCTTGGCTTCATTTCTTCTTCACCCTCTACCTTATCAGACCTGGAGGGTGCTGTCAGGTCCTGGAGGAAGAGAATCCTTCTGGGATATGTCCTCTGCCTCCGAGGTTAGCATTTTATTGTATTTTATTATGTTCTAGGTAGAATGAGTCCCAGTACGCAGTGCCTGAAAGCCTTTCTTTCATTTTTACGTGCATATGTATTTCATGGAAATTTAATCCATGTGTTTCCCATTCATTTACACTTAACTCTTCGAAATATTATTTCTAAGAGCTGTTTGATGTTCAGAGAGCCATGTCAGCCATTTATGAGAGGGCCCTCTGCTCCAGCATTCAACCCATCATTCCCTCAAACTGAAACATGCCTGGGTCCCCGTGGGGAAGCCAATATCTGCAGGGCACAGTTTTTAATGTAGAACGTGGAGCTGTAGGAGGCAGAGAGGCTCAGACCTGAGCATTCTGAGGCTACAGTGGTGCCCCAAGGAAGAGGCTGGCAAGCAGGAGACTGAGCTCCCATCCTCCCAGGACTAATGCTTCATACCCAGCCCTGCTCCGTAGCCAGCGGCAGCCAAACTCCTGTGGTTTCAACATTGCCTGGAGATTTTCTTTGTCTCGGACTCAGATGTCTAGATGTTACCTGGTTTTCAAGACCCAGTCTTGCTCCAAATCATTGTTTGGCCAATTGACACGGCTTCACAAAGCAGGCTATTTTGCTGACAGATGCTCTAAGGATAATCAATAACCATTTGCATGTGTAAAGGGTATCACAGTTCATAAAGTGATTTTACATCCGTCTTTATGGCCCTTCTTTCAATGACTCTTCAAAATGGGTGGAACAGAGACCAGCCCGCCCCCATTTTGCAGTTGGGGAAACTGAGACCCAAAGGAATGAAACCCAGAATTGAATTCAAGTGTTCTGTTACAAGTTAGGCAATCTCCCACTCCAACAAATCCATCTTTCTATGGGGTCGGATCATAATCTTGAAAGACACAATCCCAAACACCATAATCCCAAATGGTGAAATCCCAAAAGATCAAAACCTCTAAAGTCTAAAATCCCAAAAATCACAATCCTGAAAGTTGAAATCCTGAATGTGAAATTCCGAAGAAGGGATGGGCACTTATTTTGTTGTATGCAGGATAGCTGCGTCATGTTAGTTGCATTACATTAGGTGGAATTATCACCTAGTTATTGTCTTTATTTGGAAATTAAGCACAGTTCAAGAAGATGTAAAGGGAGGCCAAGTTGACAAGAGGTGGACTTGTGGACTTAATTTTACATATCCACTTGACTAGATTAAGGAATATCTGGTAAAGGTATTATTTTGGATGTGTCTGTGAGAGTGTTTCCAGAGATTACTGTGTGAATCTGAGTGGACAAGGTGGGAAGATCTGCTCTCAATGTTTGAGTGTTTCAAACATAGAAGAAGTGAAACCACAGGTGAAAAATGCATGAAATTTCCCTTGCCAATTTGTTCAATCATGTATGGCTTCTGCCTCTTCGCACACATCTCCATGTTTGCTTTCAAAAAACACCCTTCATCAGAGAATAAAAACAATTTGACAATATATACACCCACTATGTACACACGAAAAAAATTTTAAAAAACAAACAAAAAACAACAACAAAAAATTCAATAAGCTCAACAACTTCCAGAACCAAAAACACTTGCTGATACAGAGGTTCCTATAGTGTTTTAGAGGTTGAACTGTTCTTGGTTAGGGATTTGACTGTTGAAGAAGATAGACTTCTTATATTTACCATTAAAGCCAACATAAAGAAACTAGTGCACCCTTCACTTTGGCTAATGTATTACACTTTCCCAACTATTTTTTTAAATCAACAATTATCCCATTTATGCCCCTGTTGGATCTGGAAATTCTAAAATTAAAAATTTTAATAAATCTGCTTATTTATGTATTAATGACTTGGAAAATGGAGCACTTTATAAATGCTTATTTGAAGATTTGGTAGACTTTGCAGAAGCAAATGGATTTCAGTTGAATCCCCAAACCATGGCAGATTTGGAATTAGGTGCAAGCAAGGCTCCTAAAAGTGAATTTCAAGGTGTCACCAATAAACTTTGTTTTTTCCGTTCAGCCCAATGCATTTGGCAGAAAATTCAGATAAGGGGATTGGCCACTCAATAGGGCAACCAGAAAAACTTCAGTTTAAAAATGCGTCATTTGTCTGCATTGGCATTCCTTCCGGCTGATGAAATTCCAGGAGATTTTAAGGAATTAAAGCCACATTTGCCTGAAGGAGGCAGCGAACTTACTCATGGCTTCAAAAATAATTACGTGCATGGTAGGATAAGAAGACACTTATAAACCTGTGTCGCTGTTCGATTACCAATATTGTTTCCACCAAATCTGTGGTCTGAGTATGAGTGCATGTTGAATAACTTTCCACATACCCCAAACAGCATAGAAGCATGGCTGAAGATGGGAAAATTTAATAGGGAGTGCACATGTTGGTGTGTATTAAATCGTAGAAGAATTTCAAAAAGAGCAGTGCCATGTACAAAGTGAATTTGAACATATCCCCTGAGAGAAGCCACGTCCTAAAAGAAAATAAACAGCTATTCATCATGACGCAAGCCTTCAAAATATAGTTGGTGATCATGAGGCTCGCCAACTTTTGTGGACTACCTCCGTGCAATTGCCCATAACCTATCCCTGTAATTCACTTTTTCATATGTCAAATTTTCTTTTTAGTTTTTGATAGTGTTTTTTCTCATTATTTTAAATTGTCAGCTTTATTTGTTACAATTTACTATGCTGTGTACTTCATCTGCTCATCATTTCCAATACTGAAGGTATAAATTGTGTAACGACTTTTAGAGGTTCTCATTTTGTTTTATGCTTTTTTTTTTGGCAAATCTGAATTCATGAAAGTGCATTGTCACAACGTTGACTTGTGTGTGAGCATTGTGCATGTAGGCAAAAACATTGAAACTTCCTCAATAAATAAAGAGATATCTGATTTGTACATGTGCATTTGTGGAGAGATAAATTTCTTGAGATCTCAATTCTTTGGGCAAATGCTTATGTGCCCGTTGCAATTTTTGACCAATCTTTTTTTTTTTTTTTTTTTTTTTGAGACACAGTCTCGCTCTGTTGCCCAGGCTGGAGTGCAGTGGCGCGATCTTTAGGTTGTGCTTCATAGTATTTCAGATGACCACAGTTACAAAGCGGGTGCACACAATTACCAGCCATAGAAATATGCCTTTATACATCTCGGTTTTCGACCTATTTCTTTGTGTGTATGGTTTGTCTCTTCATAGCTGTTAACCCAAGTGACTGTCATTAGTATACCTGACTGTTGATGCTTGCAAAAATAAAACAGGCAATAAAATATTGTCTATTTTATTGTATAACGTGGCCCATGAACTGTTCTGTCATGTTTTTGTATGTTTTGAAATAAATTTCTTTTCAAAAAGGTAAATTAATGTCTTTAAATAATTAAAAAAAATTTTTTTTAGAATTATATTTTCAGGATTTTGAATTTCAAGATTTCAACATTTTGTATCATGCGATCTAGGGCTGTGTTTTTTGGGATTGTGGCCCAAGCCTGCTGAGTTAACACATTCCCAATTCTTACCTCCTTCACTCACTCTTTACTTTCGATATGTGGCCCCACAATAGCCCTGTGAAGTAAATATTAAGAGAAGTAGTGATATTCCCATTTAACAGATGGAAACAGCGAAGCTTAAGAGGCTGTATTCTTGCTTAAGCACGCACAGCTTGAATCTTAAGCTCTTGCTCTTATAAAACACTGCACACATATTAAAAGTTGGAGATAAAGAGCGTAAGAGTCCAAAGATCCTCTGGAGGAATAATTTATTATTTGCACAAACATTTTTTGAATACCTAATTTAAGCCAGGTACCATGATAGATGCCAGGAATAAAATGGGGACCACAAGAGATATGGGGCCTTCTTTAGTGGGAGGGCAGACGTGGCCACAGAAAATGACATCCCTGAGGCCTGAGAAACGGTCATCGTCATGGTTAGGGGAGAGTAGACAGGGACAGAAGATGAGAGAAGAAATGCATAGTCGCTCATCTCCATGCATGATATGGTTTGGCTGTGTCCCCACCCAAATCTCATCTTGAATTGTAGTTTTCATAATACCCACATGTTGTGGGAGGGGCCAGTAGGAGGTAATTGAATCATGGGGGCAGTTACCTCCATGCTGTTCTCATGATGGTGAGTGACTTCTCACAAGATCTGATGGTTTTATAAGGGGCTTTCCCCAACTTTGCTCATTCTTCTCCTTGTTGCCACCCTGTGAAGAAGGACGTATTTGCTTTCCCTTGTGTCAGGATTGCAAATTTCCTGAGGCCTCCCTAGCCTTGCAGAACTGTGAATCAATTAAATCTCTTTTCTTTGTAAATTACCCAGTCTTGTGTATGTCTTTATATTAGCAGCGTGAGAACAGACTAATGCAATGCACAATCAAAATGAGAAGCATTTCCTTTTTCATATTGAAACCATTTCTGCAATTTTGCCCATATTAGATGTTTTCTTTTCTTCTTAGTGCAGTTCCCTAGGATAATTCTGGACATGCTCTTCTGTAAGCCAGGACGCTCTACCTGTCTCAGTTCAACATTTATGGAATAACTACTATAGGCCAAGCATTGTTCTGGATCAGTATAAATTGAACCATAAATGTAATTTAAAATTTTCTAATAGCCACATAAGACATACTAAAATGAAACAGCTGAAATTAAAGTGAATAGTATATTTAACTTACCCCAGTATATCCAAATTGTTATTATTTTGACAATACTATCATTATAATATGAATACAACAATTATTAATGAAATATTTTATATTCTTTTTTCATACTGAGTTTTTGAAATCCTCTGTGTATCATGCACTTACAGAACACTTCAGTTTAGACTGGACACGTTTCGAGTGCTTAATGGCCACATGTGTCCAGCGGCTACCATATTAGACAGTTAGCTGTGCATTTTATAGCATTGTTTTAGTCAATGACAAATGTTGTTTTGGTTATATGACAGTAGTCCCATAAGATTATAATACCATTTTTTTTCACTGCACCTTTTCTGTTTGAATATATTTAGATACACAAATACTTACCACTGGGTTACGATTGCCTACAGTATTCAGTACAGTCACAAGCTGTACAGGTTTGTAGCCTAGGAGTAATGGACTATACCACACAGCCTAGACGTGTAGTGGGCTGTTACATCTAGGTTAACAGAAGTGCACTCTTTGGTATTTCAACAACAACGAAATAACCTAATGACACATTTTTCAGAACATATCCACATTATTAAGCAATGCAGGTCTGTATGTCACTTTCACTAGCAACTCACTGGCTAGCACTGGTCCCACTCGCTCACACAGGGGTCAGGAAGTGTTAATGATCTTACTTGGAGCCCAGGAAGAGAGAAAACCAGAAATATTTGATGAGTGGCCCAAATGGACTAACTATACACAGCTCCCAAAAGACCCTCTCTGGGAGGCTGTTCACAGTGGTTCACGCCTATAATCCTGGCACTTCGGGAGGCCAAGGTGAGAAGATTGCTTGAGGCCGGGAGCCCAAGACCAGCCTGAGCGACATAGTGAGACTCCATCTCTACAAAAAATAAAATATTAGCCAGGTGTGGCGGTGTGTGCCTATAGTCTCAGCTCCTTGGGAGGTTGGATCCTTGAGCCCAGGAACTAGAGTCCACAGTGAGCTATGATCATGCCACTGTACTCCAGCCTGGGTGACAGTGAGACTTGTCTCCAGAAAAAAAAAAAAAAAAAAAGACCTTCTCAAGGAGTCCCTTCTCCCTCCCCCATTTCAAAGGCGTGACCCAGGCTTCTCAGGCTATCTGAGGCCTTCTATCACTGAGGACTTCCTGTTCAGCTTGGCTTCCTCCCTAGTCCAGAGTCCACACGTGCAGCAAAAGAGGAGATGTGACCAACCTTGGTGGCGTTGTGTTTCCAGGAAGTTCTATGTGGGTCTCCGTGTGTGTGGTGGGGGGACCTGCTGGGCTTTATTTTTCCCAGGGTTTCCTCTCCCTTGAATGCTGGATTAGTCCTTGCCTATCAGAAACTGATAAGGCCATGGAAAAAGTGAGGCTATGGCTGGAGACCAGAAGAGAGGCCTGGAGGGAGCTGGGAATTTTCCCATCATCCCAGGAAAAACCTGTCTTGTATCTCCGAGCCCCGCCTTTGCCCCCAGATTTCAGGGACTCATGCAAGTTTTCCACAAACCGATTTTGTTGCATAGAAATTGATGAATGAGCTCAGACAGAAACAGTTGTCATGGAAAACAGCCACTGAGATACTGGTCACCAACCAATCCCTGGCTCCAGGTCAGAGCAGACAGTGGGGACGCCAAATGGTGGAGAGAGGGGCTTTCCTTTTTCTCTGTATAAATTTCATTGATGCTCACTTCCTGTCCAGGCCATGGCTCAGCCCTAGGAGGACCTATCCTTGGCCTGGACCCCTCAGGGGCAGGACCTGGATCTCAACAATAGAAGCCCGTTAGTGAATAGTTATCATTAATTTTTGGAGGAATCCTAAGAAATGGAAAAAGCAAGAACAATTTAAAAATAGAGTTTGTGGTGAATTTGAAACACATCTGAAGGTGGCTTTATGAAAGGGACCTTAAAGATGGGATAAAGAAGTGGCCCTGGGCCAATTCTTCCAATAAAAGAGTTGGGAGGCTTTTCCCAGCCTGCCCTGGTTTGAGGATGGAAGGCTGCTGTATCTCCCTAAGTCAGCCACCTTACCATAAATTGTCCCTACCTTGGAGCCACACCATCCAGGCTCAGAAAATATTTGCTTTGGCACCCTCCAGAGCCCAACTACTTCTGGAGAGTAGAAACACGCCAGGGGCATGTTTATAAAGCTATCTGATGGGAGCCACTGCTGGCCCACAGGAGATAGGGTGTGAGCTCAAAAAAGGTATCTGCTCTGGGTGGACTTAGCTCCTGAATATCAGCTAGGAGCAGGTTCCTTTTTTGTTGTTTATTTGAGACAGAGACACCCAGGCTGGAGTGCAGAGGTGCAATCATTACTCACTGCAGCCTTGAACTTCTGGGCTCAAGCAATCCTCCCACCTCAGACTCCCGAGTAGCTGGCATGTGCAGCATGCCCAGCTAATTTTTTTAAATTTTATTATGAAGAGTGGGTCTTGCTATGCTGCCCAGGCTGGTCTGGAATTTCTGGCCTCAAGCGATCCTCCTACCTTGGCCTCCCAAAGCTCTGGGATAACAGGTGTGAGCCACTGTGCCCGGCCTGAAGCAGGTTCTTCAGCAGGGTTTCAGCCACACTCCCTGCCTTGACTGGGTATCTTTAGGCAAGTGATCTCCTTCTTAAGTCTGAGCTTAAGCTTTATCCCTTTCTTCAAAATAGAGACCTCGTTCCTCCCACCTGCACTGCCCTCGTGAGGCTGCTGCTCTCTGTGCCCCTTCCCCGGGCCCCTTTGCCTGGCCCACTCCTGCTCTCCCTTCATTTCCAGTGGATGCCTCTCGAGGAGCCTCAGCTTAGGTGCTCTTTGCTCTCCCTGCTCCTGGACTGTCCCCAGCTCCATGCTTGCCCCCTTGTATTGTTATTATCTTTCCCATGAGACAGTAAGTTCCAGGAGGGTGGGAATCCTATCTGCCTGATAGGATCCCTGCTGAAACCCTGGCCCCTAAAACAGTGCCTGGCACATAGTAGGAACTCAATCAAATGGCTGAATTAATGAATGATCAAACAAAGGAATGAAGTCTAAACCCATTTGTATTTTTTTCTTAAGGAGCTTGCTGTTCCATAGTTATTAATACAAATGTAGGGATGGCTGGACGAGGAGGCTCACTCCTGTAATCCCCACACTTCGGGAAGCTGAGGCAGGAGGATTGTTTGAGCCCAGGAGTTTGAGACCAGCCTGGGCAACATAGTGAGTTTTATAGTCTCACAAAAATAAAAAAATACAAAAATTAGCTGGGCATGGTGGCACACACCTGTTGTTGCAGCTACTTGGGAGGCTGATGCTGGAAGATCACTTGAGCCCAAGAGTTTGAGGCTGCAGTGAGCTATGATTGCACCCATGTACTCCAGCCTGGATGACAGAGCAAGACTCACCTCTAAAAACAAAACAAAACAAAAACCAAAAACAAATCAAATGGAGGAATGGTTTCTCTTCCCCAGCTGGAATCTCCCAAAGGGCTGGGGGACACAGGGTATGCCTCCCCTGTCAGACACATGGATCCCCAAGCTGAGCTTTTCTTCTTCTCCCTCTTCTTTGCAGATAGCTATGTATGGAGGCCCTCCTACTGTGCATACTGACTGAATATGACCTGCCATTAGCCAGGGTTTTAGCACTTGCTCCTGCACTCCCTGCCCACAGGACAGCCCAGAACTGGCTCTGGAAGCGAGTGTCCTGGATTCCAATCTTGACTGTGCTATGCCCTTACTGTATCCTCTTCGGCTGGTTATTTAACCTCACTGGGTCTTGCTTTGCTCATATGTAAAATGGGGATAGTAACAGTAGCAATTAATGAGGGTTTCTGAGGATTAAATGAGATCATGAATGTGAAATGATTAGACTGTGTCTGGCACATAATAAGCAATCAATAAATGGCAGCTCTGGTCATGATAATGCTATTATTCCTCATGGTTCCACAATTCCCTCCAGCTGGGGTCTGCTTCTGGTCCTGACCTCAGAGGAGATTTAATGTTGTCATTCACTCAAGTTGTTCAGTCATTCATCATTCAAACAGACCTCTACTGGGCTTGTGCTCTGTGCCTGGCTCTTTCTTGGTCTTAAGGATGCAGAGGGACTAGGAAGAGAGGGAGTCTCTGGTCTGAGGTTGGTGTGCTGAGTTCGGCACCAGGGCAGCTGAGTGCTTGTGTCTGTCCTCATGTGACTGACCCTTCTCAGCATCTTGGAGATGCCCCTCTAAGAATCCTTCATGGAAGCAGTGACTTCAATATTGATCTATGCAATTCACATATTTATTAAGTACCAACCGTATACAAGCACTGGAGATGCAGAGTGAGTGAGACAGAGCTCCTGTCCTTGGGAAGCTCATATCAATCTGTTGGGAAACAGATTACAAAATGACAACCATAGGACACATGGTGTTAGGTAGGAAAAATAATCATGTGTAAAGAGAGTAAAGCAACTTTGGACAGGATGGGCAAGAAAGGTGTCCTGGAGAAGGCCACATCTGAGCAGAGACCTGAATGAACCATGTGACTTTTTAGGGAAAGGATGTTCCTGGCAGAGGGAAGACACACACAAAGCCCTGAGGGAGAGGGTGCTTGACACATGCTTCAGAGGTCTCTGACCAGGCCTGTGGTTCATAACAACTTGAGGAACCCTGGCCCAGTCATCCATATTCCAGGGGAAAGAGGATATTTCTGTTCTTGATCATCTAAAATGTCACATTACTGTGTTGTAGAATACAGATTTCTTAGTTCCTTTGAGATTCACAGGTTTTGGTCCCCAGGGATCCATTCTGTTTTAAAGGTGACAAATTCCCCCCCGCTTTCCTTGGGCTTTATATACTGAACATTAAGTTTGGGGCTGCTCTCATGACCCAAACAGAAAATAGGTTTTCCACTGTGGAAAACAGCAAAACTGGGTCCACACTGGAACTTTCATTTCTACTGATTGGGTGAAGCTGATCACCCAATGATTGCTATTGATTGGAAAGCCCCTTTGTCTCCTTGGATCTCAGTCTTTGCATCTGCAAAATGGAGCAAATCTTATCTACTCTATGCCCCAGCCCACCTCATGGAAGACACAGGGTCCTCCTATCCCTCTCCATCATTTTTGCCCTCATCCAAACCATCAACCACAGGAGACTGAGATCTTCCTAAGGTATAAAGCTGATCTTCTCATTTGCTTTCAAGAGACCTTGGGATAAAAATCCTAGAAATCAAAGCTCCTGGACATGATTTTTGAATATAGTGACTCTACACACTGGTTTGTCTGAGGCAGTCCTGATTGGAGTCTATTAGCCTAGACTCTGAGACCTAGAGTCATTATTCACGGAGCCCACATCTGCTGTCAGCATTGGAACATTACATCAGGAAGTGGAGTGATGAAACCCTTCATGACTTGGTCCTGCTCACCTCTTTGACCTTTTCTTTACTTCTTTGCAGACATCCCATGTGCTGCTGCTTCTAGTAGACATTCTTCTTCCCCACCATCCCACCCACTTTCTACCTCTTCTCATGAAGTGCAGCTTTTTATCCTTCAGAGCAACCACACAAACAAGTCTGCATAATAATCAGCTAACAACACAATGACAGGATCAAATCCACACATGTCAATATTAATCTTGAATGTAAATGGGCTAAATGCCCAAATTAAAAGGCACAGAGTGGCAAGTTGGATTAAGAAGCAAGACCCAACAGTATGCTGTCTTCAAGAGACCCATCTCACATGCAATGGGACAGCCTTCAGAGTTACAGCCCAACCCCTATATTTTTCTTCCCCTAAATCCCAGCTTTTCATACTTTAGAATGACCATCAGGTCAGCCCCTCTGACCCCCAAATCTGTCACCTCCTCTGTGCCCCACACCTTCATGAATGTCCCCTCACTCCTCATCACAATGCTATCTTAAATATTATGTCTCCCCACTAGACTGAAAGTTCCACTGGGACAAGATTCCTGATAATGCTATTCCTCCATACTCTACCCTCAAAGTCAAACGCAGTGCCTGACATGTGTTAGAATGTATATGTTGAATAAAATAAATGGACCTGCTCATTGAATAAGTCTCATGAGGTGAGAGTGGTTGGGGAAAATTCTCAGGAACTCTGAAAATGGAAAAGGACTAGAGCATTACAAAGGTGATAAAGCAGCTAGTGTGTGACAGAGGCTTTTATTCTCTTAAGGAAACACAAATGCTCCTAAGAATAGCATGTTTTCTGCTAGTCTTGGGAGATTTCAAGGGAATTACCAAGCTGATTTCAGATAGAGCCCTGGCAAGGGCAAACAGTCATAACCTTCCATCCAAGCTGCCTCTGGGGCGGGTCCAGGGTCCCACCACCAGTGCCCTGTTTCAGGGAAGGAAGCCACCATTGTCCCCTGGACCAGGTCAACAGAGTCTGGCACTTCTGCAGGCAGCACCTGCCAAAGCCACTGCATGGGCTTCACCCCTCCCAGTAAGCACAAACATAATTCTGCAGCATCCCCAGAAATCTCTCTAGAGGCAGCCAGCCAATTAAATGAACATTGTTAATGTTTCCCAAAGCTCTGGTCCCTCAATGTCCACACCAGGGGGACAGTGTGTGGGGCAGGGGGGAGGGGAAAGACTATTGCAGCATTTACTCCCAATGAAGGAATTGATCTGTGAGGGTGATCTGCACTAATTACAATAAGAAGATGTAAGATAACAATAGTCAACACTGTCATAAATTCCCAGGGCATCACAGTTGGAAGCAAATAAATGTGCACAAACACATGAACACACCAACACTAAGCTTTTGGCTGGGGAAAGAAAAGGAAGCTGCTTCCCAGCCTTCCTCTTTCTAGACAAAGGTTTTCTCAGCCTGATTTTCTCGGCCCGGAGGTCCCTGGACACTTGTACCATCAGTAACACTTCACAGAGCCTTCATTCCTAACAAATAATTAGCTAAAATTGAACCAGGGATTTCTTACATGTATGTCATAGGTCTGATATGAATAACGAGGCAGAAGGTTAACGGTGGGTCAGAGACAGTTCCCCATCTTCCAGCTTATTTATTCAGCGAAATGAGAAATTGATCACATTATTGCGTATAGGGGGAGCCTGATTCATTGCAATCAGCTTGGAATTGGCAGTTTTGACTGTAGGCAATTTGGAGACATTACTTATGCCTGAATAGGCCAGGGAAGGTCATTTATAGCTTGTTAACACCTTTCCAACCTCCAGCATGGCCAGCTCCGACTCCCCTACCCTATTTGCCCTGGACCTAGACCAAATAAAAAAAAATAGAGAAAAAAATCATAGAGAGATGAGAATGACACTATAAAATTAAAGGCACTATGAGAGATACTCCAGAGGAGGCTTAAAATGTATGTGCAACATAATATACTCTATTTGTACATCCATCCATCTGTCCATCTATCCAGCTGCCCACTCATCCCTTGTTTATTCATATGTGATTTATTCATAAACCCATTTCCTAAACACTGCTCACTAATGCAGGATCAGCCATTGCATCAGGCACTGTGGCTGCAGAGATTAAAGGATGCCCAGAGGCCTGTGACAGCCTCTCCAGAGGGAGGCCAGTGGGTTTCATGCCAGGCTTTGGAGACATTCCTAGAATCCAGCACAGTTCCTGGCAACCAGGCAATACTTAGTAAAGGTGGGATGAAGGGAGAGTCCAGAGGACTTGCTGGCATAATTTGTGCCAGCTAACATTGCTGAGCACTTCCCGTGTGCGGAAACTTGTGTTGACAGCAGTGTCACAGGGTTTCAGGCCTGGCTGCAAGAGTTGGACTGTAGAGTTAGCCAGGACTGTGGACTCAGATTCCGAGCTTCAGTTTTCTTATCTGTAAAGTGGAGACAACAGTAGAACCTAACTCAGGTGACATATAAAATCAAACACTTAGAAATAGTGTCTGGTGCATTCTAAGTGCTAAATAAATGACAGCTATCATTATTATTATCATCATCATTATAATCTGCATGACTGGAAGACACCTTTGTCTACCCTGTGAGAACTGCTTTTTTTTCCCCCAAATCCTCCAAGTAAAAGAAGGGAGTGAAATGTGGTGTTTTGACTACTTGTTGTTACATAATCAATCAAACCAGACCTTAGTGACTTAAAACAACATCAACTATTTATTATCTCTCCTATTTCTATGGGTTGACTGTGCTCAGCTGGGTGGCTCTTCTGCTGGTCTCACTTGGGGTCTCTCATGCAATTGCTGCCAGACAGATACTAGTCTGGGGCTAGAATCTAACTGCAGGGTTAACTTGGATATGAGGACAGGTGGATACCTCTTTACCACCCTATATAGTCTCAAGACCTTACCTCTATAACCAGGAGAGCATGGGGACTAGCATGCCAATGAGATATAGCAGGCTAGGAGCAACATGCTACAAGAAGTTCCATATCTCTGCTCTAGCAAGTAATGAAGGTTACCTGAATACATAGGAATGGCTTTATTACATGGTCTTTTCCTTAAAATCATTAAATACTGCCCCCATCCCAGGAATATACTGAATGGAAAGATGTAGCCTGGCCTGTTTGCACCATCAATATCCTTTTTAATAGCTTTGTGCCTAGTTCTTGTTTGTTGACTAGATTCCATTTTTTAAATCCTCGGTGTGCCCACTCTCAGAGGAGCCCTTGAGCTTCTTTTGTTCCCCCTAGAGGATCACCCTTCTTTGCTAAATTCCAGTTGTCTTGAAGCCAGACCCAGCTCTACCATAAGTAACAGACCCACAAACAAATGTTCCACCTCAGACAGGCAGCTGGTACAAGAAGTGAGGTGGAAGGGGCAGTGAGGGCCAGGGCTGAGACTGTTGGTGGTCTCTACCTTTTTCCCACCTCTTCCCCTGCCATACACACACACACACACACTCACGTGCACTTACACAGAGATGCACACACAGAGTTATCCTCACTCTCTTCCCAACCCTTTTTTTCTGCCCTTAGAATAAACAAAACTCTTTCATTCTGGGGCCTGAAAGATTCCATAATGAATTGAGACTCTTAACAGTCTATTTTAATAAAACTCAGCTCCCTGGCTGTATGGAGACCATAAAACATGCAGGTTCCAGCAATAATATGTTTAGTAGCCCTGCTTGATAAAGTGGAAATGTTTGCATGTTTCAAATTATGAGCAATTTAAAGTAGGAAGCTAGCAAGCCAGTTCTTGGGTTATGAAGCCTGACATCGTTAAGCCTTAAGAGAACACATACTTCAAAGTCTCCTGGTCTGAAATATGTCCTGTGCACTGCTCAGCGAGAACCAGCTGGATAAGCCTACAGCTGGCTGGGAGGGGGAACCCACAGCCTGATGCTATTTGGCCGACGGAGTGTCAACCCTTCAGCAAATATGCAGAATTTTTGTTTGGGAAGATGTTACCCCAAGGAAAGCCCTGCCTGCCATAAGCCCTGCTCCCTTGAGACTCATACACTCTTGAGGTGCCCATAAACTTTGATTTTGGAGGTAATGGTTTGGCATCACCAAATAATTCAAATAAATACTGAATATTATAGGGGAAATCTTAGTTTCTGGCAGTGGTGAATCTTATCAGTGGTTTTAACCAGACTTTATCTGAATCCCTCTGCTCTGATTTATTTTATATTAGATTTTGTGTTATTTTCATTGGAACAAAAGGTTTTTGCAAAGTTCCCCCTGCTCTAGCCATGCTGGGCTCCTTTCTGCCCCTCAAACCTGCCAAGCTTCTGCCCACTTGAGAGAATCCTCTTAACTAACACTTGCTATTCTCTCTACCTGGAATACTTTTCTCCCATTTTTTGTTCAATTGCTTGTTTTGTTTTGTTTTCATTTTTATTATGTATGGTTGGCTTATTCTTGTCCTTTAGTTTTCAGCTTAAATGTTACCTCTTTGGAGAGGCCTTTCCTGATCACGCCAGGCCTCTCCACTAATTTTCTCATGTCTCGTTGGTTTTCTCTCTTTGGGTATCTACCATGATCTGGTAATTATTTTGCTTATTTGTTTGTTTACTTGTTTACTGTCCATCTCCCTCAATAGCATGTCAGCTCCATGACAGGAGGGTCATTGTTTCTCTTGTTCACCACTGGGTGGCACATAGTATGTTCTCAATAAATGGTTGTTGGATGGATGGATGGATTGATGGATGAATGGGTGGGTGGATGGATTGATGGGTAGATGAGTGGATGTATGGATGAGTGGATGTATAGATAGGTGGATAGATGGATGGGTAGATGGGTGGGTAAACAGGGGGGTGGATGGATGGGTGAATGAGTGGGTGGGTAGATGGATGGATGGATGCAGGGATGGATGAATAGATGGATGGATTGATGGATGGATGTATGGATGGATGAACGGATGACCTATAAGAATTCTTTAAATGCCAAGACTTTGGGATTATGAGTCCTTAGGGGATATGACTTCAGGAGAAGGTGAACCAGATTTGAAAGTTAAGTGCACTGTTTTGACCCCAGTGGTAGCTCTTGCAACAATAGGAAGGCAGGTGAACTCATGGTTCACGTTTGGGAAGATGAATTTCCAGCAATGAAAATGACCCCACTTTCTCCTCTTTCAACATCATACTCCTTCAGTTTATTTTCCCATGGTCCAAGATGGGAGATACAATTTCTATACCTTAAAAAAATCTCATAATTGCACCCACCCTAGATTCTCCATCCCTGAGTAGCACCCCCAGTCACACAGGAACAAAGACCAGTCTGTTCTTGGCTAGACAGCCGAGCCAGGCCCAGTCACTGTGTGGTATGCGACCCTGACCGGCTGGCTGAATTCTTCAGCTGATAAGAAGGCTGCACCTCATTGCTAGGAGGGAGCGTGCAGATTAGGTGAGGAGATCTCCCTGTGGCTCACTCTGTCACTGCCCCCACAGGGAAGGGACCCCCAAGTTCCACAGGGTTTCCCCTTACTCTCCCCAAACCTCAGTTGTATTCTAATCATCCCTTAGTATCCAGGCTGTCTCTCTTTCCCTGGGTATCATTTGACAACTGGACTTGACCAGTAAAACTAATGATGCCTCCATCAAAGGGCCTTGGGGAGGGAGGCAGGCAGCTCAGAATTTAAAAAACACAACCTAGAACAACGTTGTGAATATGGGTGCCCTCTCCCTGGGCCCTGCTCCAGTTGCCTTTAGTAAACAGCTTCACTAGTTTCCCTGCATTTTTCCCAGCCATACCCCCAGAATCAGAATGGAGTATTCTAGGGCCACTGGGTAGTGTGCACAATTGTACCCCACTCACTTCCAGAGACGTTGGGCACAGGAGCACAGTGTGAATGGCATCTTCCTGAAGTTGTGCATTATGGCAGCCCCAGGAAGCCCTGCACAGACATCAGTTTCAGAGACTGGAGGCTTGGAGGCCTGTACAATGACACTTGTACCTGCATGTACCCCCATCATGAAAGATCAGTGTCCTCGTGCATTAGGCTGCATTTGGGTTGTTGGCTGCGGAATATTTCTACTGTCAGTTCAACAAAAAGTGTGATGATCACAGTGAAGCTTAACAAAGAAAATGCTATCAGGCAATTAGTAAACCCAAGTCAGCAGGACTGAAGTGAAATTTTTCATGTTGGGAAAATCATGTTCATTTGCGTGTGACAAATGTTGGCATGTGAATGCCATGCCCAGGGAAGCTAAGGATGATAGCTGCTTTTTTTCTTTCTGCCCCTACAGTTTTAGTTCAGACCCTCTTCTCTGTTCTGGGATATCAAAAGGAAGGCATGCAGGAAATACACACTTGCATTTTGTGCAGAATAAGTAAGGAAGAGGTCAATGCTGCGAGCTGGGATGTGGAACATGGCTCTTAGGGGAGGAAAAAGTCAGGGTGAAGAGAATACAGAGAGGAGGAGCAGTTTTGTTTAGTACCCAGGAGGGGGCCGTTAAGGAGCTGCTTTGAAACCTGTCCCCAGAAGACCACAGCCTGAGCTCTGCCTGTATGACCTGGAAGGTTGGGGGTAGGAGAGGCCCCCTACTCAGCCAGGTGCTACTTATTATGAATAAACACTCACCTCCACAGCCCCAGAGTTATAGGTCAGCCGAGGCAACATTTACAGCAGAGGGATCACTGAAGCCTCCCCAGGCCCCTCAGCTTAGAGGCCAGCTATCATCTGGGTGGGTGGCTCAATCCGACTTGGGGGTCAGGCCCCAGACGCCTGTGGGAAAGTATAAGGGCTTGGGGCATTATTAGATCCATGACTTCCCCTCTGATTTCTTTTTTATGAACCTGCCTTTATAAACTCACATGTGTTTGCTTTGGAAAAACTTTTTCAGGGGGAGCCCAAAGATGTGACCTTCTCAGCGTGCCCCTTCTCCTCCCTAGGCAGGGTCTCCTTCTCAGCATATCCCCTTCTCCTCCCTAGGCAGGGTCTCCTCAGCTTGCTCCCTTCTCCTCCCTAGGCAGGGTCTCCTTCTCAGCGTGCCCCCTTCTCCTCCCTAGGCAGGGTCTCCTTCTCAGCATGCCCCCTTCTCCCTAGGCAGGGTCTCCTTCTCAGCGTGTCCCCTTCTCCTCCCTAGGCAGGGTCTCCTTCTCAGCGTGCCCCCTTCTCCTCCCTAGGCAGGGTCTCCTTCTCAGCATGCCCCCTTCTCCTCCCTAGGCAGGGTCTCCTCAGCTTGCTCCCTTCTCCTCCCTAGGCAGGGTCTCCTTCTCAGCGTGCCCCCTTCTCCTCCCTAGGCAGGGTCTCCTTCTCAGCATATCCCCTTCTCCTCCCTAGGCAGGGTCTCCTCAGCTTGCTCCCTTCTCCTCCCTAGGCAGGGTCTCCTTCTCAGCGTGCCCCCTTCTCCTCCCTAGGCAGGGTCTCCTTCTCAGCATATCCCCTTCTCCTCCCTAGGCAGGGTCTCCTCAGCTTGCTCCCTTCTCCTCCCTAGGCAGGGTCTCCTTCTCAGCGTGCCCCCTTCTCCTCCCTAGGCAGGGTCTCCTTCTCAGCATATCCCCTTCTCCTCCCTAGGCAGGGTCTCCTTCTCAGCATATCCCCTTCTCCTCCCTAGGCAGGGTCTCCTCAGCTTGCTCCCTTCTCCTCCCTAGGCAGGGTCTCCTTCTCAGCATGCCTCCTTCTCCTCCCTAGGCAGGGTCTCCTTCTCAGCGTGTCCCCTTCTCCTCCCTAGGCAGGGTCTCCTTCTCAGCGTGCCCCCTTCTCCTCCCTAGGCAGGGTCTCCTTCTCAGCATGCCCCCTTCTCCTCCCTAGGCAGGGTCTCCTCAGCTTGCTCCCTTCTCCTCCCTAGGCAGGGTCTCCTTCTCAGCATATCCCCTTCTCCTCCCTAGGCAGGGTCTCCTTCTCAGCATATCCCCTTCTCCTCCCTAGGCAGGGTCTCCTTCTCAGCATATCCCCTTCTCCTCCCTAGGCAGGGTCTCCTCAGCTTGCTCCCTTCTCCTCCCTAGGCAGGGTCTCCTTCTCAGCGTGTCCCCTTCTCCTCCCTAGGCAGGGTCTCCTTCTCAGCGTGCCCCTTCTCCTTCCTAGGCAGGGTCTTTGAGCCGCCCCAAGGTATAATGTGTTCTTGGATGTGAATAAAGCATTTATTGGGGTTTAAGACTTTACTAAAGCTCAGGAAACCACTGGGACACAAGTGTCTGACTTTGAGCGAATGATACCAGAATTCTTGGCCCAGCAAAGTGGTTCCCTACCTGCACTGTGTTCTTAGAGTCTCTCAGTTCCCTTCCCCCTGGGCTCCCAGGCCTTCCCTGCTAACTTCTCCTTGGCTTTCCCTCTTCCAATTGCCAATCTTTAGCCTTCTTGGTGGCATGGATTCTGGGAGTAGGAGAGTAGGAAATAATGGGGATATTTCATTTATTAAGCACCAACTAGATCCCAGGCACCATGTGAGGCTCTGAGAACACGATGGAGAATTAAGCACAGTCCCGCCCTCTGTAAAACCTTCTGTCTAATGGAGATGATCAAGAAGTGAGCAGCCTGTGACAACTCGAGGGAAAAATGCAATGATTGGATGGGCAGGGCCAGGTAAGGGGTTAAATCATGATGCATTGAGAGCATAGGGGAGTGCTTCCTGGAGGAGGTGGCTCCTAAGTTGAGACAGGAAGGGCAAGTGAGAGTTATTTAGGTGTAGAGGAGGAAGATCTGAAGAGGCAGAGGTGTGGGCAAGTTGAAATTGCTTTAGGAAGCTCAATGAAAGGGCAAGGAGGGGGCGTGATAATACCATCCTTCAGGCCTTATGAACAGACTGCAGTGGTCACACACTGAGAAGCCCACTGAAAGTTAAGATCTGGGTAACCTCACAAACAGAATAATGGGAGTGACTTGTCTGCGAGGAAGATGCTGGCTGCAGCTGACCAGCTCCAGGGCAAGGTCAGACATGGGTTCAGGAGTTTCAATATGGTGGCTTAAAGATGACCACTAATTCTTTGTCATCCAAAGGCGGTCCCTTTCCTCCCTCCTTGAATTTGGGCACAAAAATTGTCTTGGGACTTCCAAGTGCAGACTTTGAGAAAGACAGTTAAGCTTTCTTCCCTTGGAGGCCAATGGTTACACTGTGAGATGTCCAAGTCAAAGGAGAGGCCACATAGAGGTAAATCAAGGTGCTCTGCTCAACAGCCCCGAATGGACTTCAAGCCCACAGCCAGTATCAACTGCAACCATGTGAGACAGCCCTCTTGGTTGCTCCAGCAGAATTGAGTCCCCAGAGGATTCCAGCTCTAATCAGCAACACCTGGAACAGAAGAACCACCCCCACAGTGTTCAATCAACCCACAGAATCTTGGAGAGATGATAAATGATTGTTGTTTTAAGGCACTAAGCTTGGGATGGTGAGATCGCTGAAATATTAGACAAAGGCCCAGTCCTCTGAAGCTGAAGCAAAAATCAGTCACTAGTGCCAACAAAGCTCCCCACATTAGCTCATTCTGCCAACAGTTTGAGGAGCTCAAGATTCCACTTTCCTATGTGATATATATATAGGATATATAGGATATGGATATATGGGATATAGATATATAGGATATATAGATATATAGGAATACTATTCAGCCATAAAAAAGAATGAAATCATGTCTTTTGCAACAGCATAGATGGAACTGGAGACCATTAGCCGAAGTGAAATAACTCAGAAACAGAAGGTCAAATGCCACATGTTCTCACTTATAAGTGGGAGATAAGCAGTGGGTACACACAGACATGCAGAGTGGAATAACAGACACTGGAGACTCCAAAAGGTGGGACAGTGTGTGAAGGGGGTGAGAGTTGAAAAATTACCCATTGGGTACAACGTTCACTATTCAGGTGATGGGCACATTAAAAGCCCAGACTTCACCACTATGCAATATATGCATGTAAGAAACCTGCACTTGTACCCCCTAAATTTATAAAAATTAAAAATTAAAAAAAATTTCACTTTCCTGATAGTCCTCTTTCCTCAATTCCACCTTCAATTAACCAGTAAGCATCAGTGGAATATGTTGTCCAAGGCACTTGAGGGGACAGGGGGTGTACGGAAGACACAAGAAAATATTCCCTGCTCTCAAGAGGTCCACTTATATATCTGATAAGACGAATATACCATCCCAACTCAGAATTTGTTCAAGCCAGAAGTTTAGATGTCATCCTCCATCCTTTGATGCCCCTCCCCATTTAACATTAACAACTAACATGTGCTCAGTACCTTTAATATGCTAGGTATCACGAATTAACTCATTTAGTTCTCAAAACCCTATTAAAATAGTATTTTTCTTTCCCATTTCACAGGTGAGGAAATTGAGGCACACAGTTATGTCACTTGCATAAGTCACAAAGCTAGTTCATGACCGAGCTAGAATTGGAATCTTGGCCAGGTAATTCCAGATGTTTCACTCTTAACCATTCTATAGAATCAGCACCCATCTTTGAGTCAGAGTTTGAGATGCAAATCCTTTACTGTATAGCCTTGATCAAATGACTTCACCTCATTGAATTAATCTTCTTCTGCATAAAATGGGGTCACCATCTGCTTATCTAAATTGTTACAAATGGGACAGTATATGTGCCATTCCAGATACCTAATCACAGCTCAATCGATGCTGGTGTCTTTTTCCTTTTTCCTTCTGCAGAAAACATGCTTTACATAGGATCTCTGAACTTAAAGAATGGGTAAGCCATGGCAATAGCATGCTTCAAATTGAATTTATGGTATATTAGGCAGTGGCTTCTACTGAAGAAGTTTTCTGTTGTAGCCAGGCTCTATAATCATTGTAAATATGTTGCTCTAAGGCAAGAGTTGACAAATTTTTCTGAAAAAGATCACATAGTAAATATTTTAGACTCTGTGGTCTGTATAGTTCCTGTTACAGCTACTCAACTCTGCCCCTTATAGTGTGAAAGCAGCTTAGGCGCTATGTAAAGGAATGTGTATGGATGTGTTCCAATAAAACTTTATTTACAAAAGCAGGCAGCTGGCCAGATTTAGTCTATGGACAGTTTAGCCCCTGCTCTCAGGTAAGCTGTAGAGTTTCTGCTGAAAGAATCTCTTCTAGTCCTGGGAAAAGATCCTGTAAGTTAGGAAATTGGTAACTAGAGGGTAAAATGAAGGAGCTTGGTGAGAGTTTTTATAAGCAGTGAAAATTCTGCCAAACTATTCCCATGACTTTTGATATCCAGCATGGTATAACCCTGGCTCTGTATCAAGTTTTCAATTCTGATATTGCAGTTTTGAAAGTAGTTTATAGAAACATAAGAACTCATTAAAAACTCATTCAATGATCCACTTTGTAGCCTTGTGACTAATCCAGAAAGTAGAGTCTGTGTCTCTTTAGGACATAACCCTCCCTAGCAAGGTTCCTATAGAAAACTAACCCCCGGAAATAACACTAGGGGAAAAAAGTGTTCCATGGTAAAGTATGTTTGGAAAAGTTTACATATTTTATTCTCCCTCTTGGAGATTTCTAATGGATATAAACATATTAAAAAGCTGAGAATTCCTATAGTAACAAAATCCATTAATCTTGGTTAACTCTGACTTTTACAAACTCACTTGACCACAAAAGCTTAGGTTAAAATATGGGATCTGGATTCAGTAAAATGAGCATAATAATACTTATCTCCTGGGGCTGGTGTGAAGAGCACATCTGATGAAGCGTGTGCTTAGCACAGGGCCTGAGAGAGAATACACAGGAACTAGATGTTGGCTGTTACATCAGCAGCACACTTGGGAAATGCTGGTCAAGACAACAATATACAAAGATATTCATAAACTCAATTCTCATTATAATTTTCAAAAGAGTTAATTAATGGTATTCCATATCATATGATATAACAAGTGCTGTAATCAATCTTTTAGAAATATTTAGTTCTTGAAAGTGGGACCCCCTGAGCATGGCCTGTGTTAAAACAGGAGGTGCATGGTGACCATCTCTTTATGAGACACCAGGCAGGATCCTCAGGGAGTTCTTACTGCAGCGTGGGCAGGTGGTGGTCTTGAGGCTGAAGGCTGGCTGAATGGAAACAGTCAGCCTGGAAAGGGGGATGTGGACGCTGGTGGTCTCACTCTCCTCCACAGCAGGACCCTTTCAAACCCCCTCATACAAAGGCCAGAGGCCCTAGATATTGACACATGCCTTTAAGCCCTTGGATACTTCAAAGAAAGAAGATTAGGAGCCAGTCTTAGAACCTGTTCCCCAGAGAGATGCATTTGTCCAAAAGTTGATATTATCGATGTGGGTGGAAGCTGAGAGGAGCGTATAATTTCTTTAATAAAAGCTGGACTGTGTTTGCTTGGGCTCCTGAGTTTTTCTGCTTCCTCCCGAGCATTCTCAGGGGCTGGGATGGCCTCCTATGATCGGCACGAATGTTTGATCAGCTATGCGTCTTCTCCAGGGCAGCTCAGATGATCCGAAAGGCTTCGGAGCTCTGGTTGTCTCCAGAGTTTTCCTTCTTAAATTCTTTGTTTCCTTCAGAATTCATTATAAATGACATAATTACATCTCTTTTTCTTCTCTGATTGAGCATATTTCTCACACATGGTGATTTGCCACTCAGATGTGGGAGGAGGCTGAGCAATGTCATATGCAACCAAAGCACTGCGTCTCCCTTCCGGAACTGCACTGCCTCTCACCCAAGCACTCCACTCCCTTCCAGAACTGCACTGCCTCCCACCCAAGCACTCCACTCCCTTCCAGAACTCCACTGCCTCTCACCCACACTCCTCTCCCTTCCAGAACTGCACTGCCTCTCACCCAAGCACTCCACTCCCTTCCAGAACTCCACTGCCTCTCACCCAAGCACTCCACTCCCTTCCAGAACTCCACTGCCTCTCACCCAAGCACTCCACTCCCTTCCAGAACTCCACTGCCTCTCACCCAAGCACTCCACTTGCCACTGTCCCTCTCCAACTTTCCCCTAGTTCGGGACATTGACAGATTCCCCACAAACCCATGAGAAAGAGAAGACTGTCTGGGTCAGCACAAAATTGAATTTCAGAAAATAATGAAGTCCTTTGCCGGGAATGATATTTCCTAAGAGAAGACATACCACCAATTGGGATGTTACCAAAAAAAAAATTGGGTATATATTGTTCCCAATATATATTTTATTGATATATGATTGCTATAATTACTTGCTTAGAGACAAATATTCTATTAGACCATGGCATTCCAGCTCCAGTGAAAGTAGAAAAGGGGATTTGATAGCAAATTATAAACTGTGACAAGAGAAATTTAAAATTAGAGGCCAGGCACGGTGGCTCACACCTATAATCTCAGAACTTTGGGAGGCCGAGGTGGGTGTCCTCCTAAGGTCACCTAAGGTCATGTGTCCGAGACCAGCCTGGACAACATGGTGAAACCCTGTCTCTACTAATGAAAAAAAAAAAATAAAAAATTAGCTGGGCGTGGTGGCAGGTGCCTGTAATCCCACCTACTGGGGAGGCTGAGGCAAGAGAATTGCTTGAACCTGGGAGGCAGAAGTTGCAGTGAGCCAAGATCCGGCCACTGCCCTCCAGTCTGGGTGACAAGAGTGAGACTCCATCTTAAAAAAATAAAATAAAATTAGAGACAGACACAAGGGAATTTGTTCATTCATTCATTCGTTTACTTCACTAATATTTATTGTGTTTCTTTCCATGCCAGGAACCACTGTGTTAGGTATAATTATGGTGGTTGAGCAATAAGAGCTTGTATTTGTGGAGCACGTATTATGTGTTAAGTATGATCTCATTTAATTCCATCAGATAGGAACCAATCCTATTATTATTATTATTATTCTACAGAGAAGGAAAATATAGATTAGTGAAGCTAAATGGCTGCCCAAAGTCAGTGTAGCTAATAAGCAGCAGATCTTGAGTCTGACACTAAAGCCCCTAAGTTTGTATAAAGGGCTACATTGCCACTTAAAGCAAGTAAAGTCCTTATTCTCATGGAGTTTGCATTCTAGTGGGGGAGACAGTCAATTGAAAATAGAGGCATAAGTATACACATAAATAAGCAAGATCATTTCAAATAGCAGTAAGAGCTCAAGAAAATATAAAATGGAGTGATGCGCAAGGCAGAGACAAGGTGGAGGTGCCGGGAAGATCCCCCACCCCAGTTGAACACTTGTAATGGCTGAACCAACTCTCTTTGAGCCTAGTTGTTTCATCTGAAGGCAGGAACCTGGACAAGAGGTTCCTTCTGTAGCTCATTTCATTCCACAGTGGCATGGGCAGCATGGGCTGCCATTTACAACTCGTATTCTTCTTCTGTGTTCTGACATATGGAGTTTTTCCAACCCAGACAGAGCTAGGCCACTAGATATGAGCAGACTCAGATGCTACCTAAATAAAAAGTTACCTTTGTCCTTAAGCAAATAATCCTACACAGGACACTCAGATATGGCAGTAAACAAATGTCTAAGTGTTTCATGGAAAATACTAAAACACTCAACTGGTGGGCAGTGTTACCTTCCAAGTGACATTTGGCAATATCTAGAGGCTTCTGGGGTTGTCACAAACTGGGGGAAGAATGCTACTGACATCTAATGGGTAGAGGCCAGGGAAACTGCTGAACATCATACCATTCACAGGGCAGCCCCCTACAATAAATAATTATCTAGCCCAAAATTTCACTACTGGGAAATCTCATGCTACAGTGAGGTAGAGAGATAATAGATAGATAGACAGATAGGTGATAGATAGACTGCCATCCTCATTTTCTGGTAACTTTCTCTACCTCCAAAATCTGCCCCAAATTGATGGAGACAAGAGCTTTCAACAATTTTTTACTAAAACTTTCCATCAAAAGTCCAACCCAAAAAGCAGGGTCAGGAAGCCTCCCACATTTAAAACGATCTCACACAGCCATCAGAGAAAGAGAAGGACTCCCTCAAAGATGTTGAGAGAGAGAGACAATGTCTAAATCTTTACTTGTGTAAAATTGATAATACAAAACATATCTCTATTAGGTTCTTTCTTAATTGAAACAATGCTTTCTTTCATCCCTGCCAGGAAGAAGAAAAATCATGTTTCCAGCTTGGGCTGCTGTTTCATCTGTTGGACTTGCTTGTGAGCTAAGCCAAATTTCATTAAAAATTATTGGTCTCATAACTTTTTTTGTTTTTCCCTTTAAAGAGTCCCATATGGAACCAATATTGTGATAGGATTGTAGCTGCATAAAGTCATTGGGCATTTTGACCCACTCTCTGCTTCTTGGTAGATTCTAAGTACAGATCTAATTATTTTTTCCTTCAAGTATTAAGCGAATATCTCTGCAAACAAATCCAAATTTAGAAAGCTAGATTGAAGAAATGGAGAAGCAAATCTAGTCAACTCATAGAAATCTTTCTTCTCCTCTCTTGCTCTGTCTCCAAGAGAACCTCTACACCTTCTTTTAAGGTGCCAGCCATCTTAAGCTCTTGTCTGATTAAGAAATTCTCTGGTAGAACCAGAGCATCTGCAAAAGCATAAAATATGATCACAGCCTTTGCACAAGTATTTTAACAACCCAACCTTATGATAGGTTATATTTCATTGACTTGGAAGAAACACTGCATTATCTGGGAAAACAGCACAGATGTTGCCTAATAAACGTTTTGGTTTATGCATTGTATTAACCTCATGAAACATTTATGCAAATCTCACATTAACAAAAGGTAAAAGAACCATTCTATGTTATGAAGCATACAACAGGATGATCTTTGTCATGTTTTTGTTTCTGTTGTTGTTGTTTCACCTTGGTATTTTATGGGTCTGTTTGTAACTCTTGGAGTTTCTATTTAGGAGGACACAAGAGCATTGCAGATTTTCATCTCTTCTGTTTTCAGTTCTGTTATCATCCCTTCCAGCTGACTTCACATTTTATGATGCTAATGGGGGGTGTGTGGTTTTGAGTTTCTCTCCTGTCAGCTGGTCAGTGGGTCTGAGGGATATATTTAATAGAATCTGACAGCTGATGGAACTGGCCTCATTGAAAGAGGATTTGATATGTGGAGTGAATGTGGCGACCCTGAAATCGCCATAATAACGGCCATTATTATTCTGCCTCTCGCAGCCAATATAACTCTCCCTCTTGTACACACCAGTACATGTGTATAAAAGACATGACTTATGGATGGTTTCTTCCGTACACTGATCTGAGGGCCATTTAGATAGCATGTCAAAACAGATTAACTGTCTTATCCTGCCACAAAATTAAGGGGGGGAAAGAGAACTTTACACAACTCTGCCCAACATATGCACTCTGTGCCCATAAACAAAGCCAGCACAGAAGGGCCACAGATTGTCTCTGGGTGGGGGTTAAGAGAATCAGGCACCCAGAAAAGCTGCAGGCTCACCCACTTAAGGTGCCCGCTCCAGTGAGGACCCAAGGGCACTGCCTGAGATATGGTGAGGGCAGCTGGAGCCACAGGTAGGAACCTACCTCCTGAAAGGCTGGTGCTATGCTTTACCTGTGTGCATGTGCCTGGGATGTTGGGGTGGGTGTTGGCCCACCTCGGCCCTGCTGAACTGGACTCGCTGTTGAAATCAACATCTCAACCTGCATCCTGGCAACCTGAAACAGCCACATTCTCTGCCAAACCTGCCTGCCTACTGGTTACTAAAGTTCGTTAACACGTATCGTGTGCTTGTTCCATGCTAAATTTTACCTGTAGAGACCCTTTTAATCTTCCCAAGAACCCTAAACTGTAGATATTATTATTATTAATTATGATTATCACCTCCATTTTACATATGAAGAAACTGAGAGAAAGGTAAACTAAGTAACTGGTCTCAAGTCAGAGCTAATAATTGATGGAGTCAGGATGGAATCTCAGGCCGTCAGAGCCCATTGCCATAACAGTGACTGTCCTCTTCTGCTTCTGTTTGTCCCCCAGCCAACAAGAAGTATGTGTGAGTGTGTGTCTGCATACGTGGGCATATGCACGTATAAAAATTCTTAGACACAAATGTTCCCCTAGAAATCATCTGGCCACCCCCTTAGTTGCAGCCAAATCCCCACTCAATCAAGAAAGTTACTGTGTTTTTTCCTCTGTAAACCGGGCACCTCCCATCCCATGGGCTGGCACAAAGACAAGGGGGAGAACCTGTGTGCACCTAGCATAGCCCCAGGCCTGGGAGGTTGGCCGGGAAGCACTCACCTCTCCTGTCCTTCATTTCCAACCTCAGAAACCCACCCCTGTTCCCTGCCTCCTGTCAACGAGCTGACCTCCCCATCTTCAGCCATGCAACACCGCTGTCTGAGGTTATCATTTCAGGCAATGATATCAGAAGCAGTTGATTCCACATTTCCGAAAATAATCCTTTTATTTATCCACTGTCATCTTCCGGCGCAAAAAACAAAGAAAAGGAAAATGGTTGCAGAGAAGCCAGCCGATGTGTCCGGGGTACCTGAGGAAAGCAGGCCAGATGCTAGGAGATATCCTTGTGGCTGTCAGTGTTTAAATTACATAGAGCTGGTACTTTTTAGGTCAGAAGCATAAAACCTACTATTGATCTTGAGCAATGCATCCAATTTTGAATGTCTGTTAAAGCCCCAGGCACTTCAATGCCACATAATCAATATTTCTTTTCATTCGTTCTTTCTTTTTTTGTTGTAGAAAGCGTATGGGTTTGTTTACCCTTCCTGCAGGCATCCAACCTGGCCTTTTATTCCTGCTCAAGTAGGACATGCAGCCTGCTGGGGACCCGTGGCTCAAATCCTCCAACTGCAGGACTGCCGGCCCTGGGACTCATGAATAATGGAAGTGCAGTAACCACTCCTTACAGCCCAGACGACTTTCCAGGAGCAGGCTGTACCCCGAAAGTAAACAAGGAACAAGGGGCAAGGAGACAGAGAGAGATGGGGAAATGTGAGATCATGTTTAACTCATTGTAGACCCTAAGATAAGACAGTACGTGCAATCTTGAAATTTAGAGTAGAAAAGGGCCTGGGAGATTATCTGGGAGAAACATTCCCTTTCAATTTGCAGATGGAAAAACTGGCCAAGGCTCCTTATGCCTGGGTTGTTGAAATGGTCCAGGGAACATGAGCTGGGCCATATGGAATATGGGTTAAGCTTTGATCTCTATTAAGAAAAGGGTTTCGGGTCGACCAGATGACCATAGCAGTCTTTCTATTCTGACTCTGAGGACAACCTAGTAAGCAGGTCAACCAGGTAGGCTGGTGTGATTCAAAGCTACAAGGCCATTGCATCCCTGACTAAAGGCCTGGTGGCTATGTCTGTGGTGGTGGTTTTGAAGAAGTGTATTCTTCTACGGGCTGCTACATAGACTTGGCCTTGAAGGATGAAGAGCACAGAGAAGTAAAACTGGTGAGGGGTAAGGGGTGGGGACAGAGGTAAGAAGACAAAATGACAAGTGGTGCAAAGACAGAAGTGAGAAGCAGCATGGTGCATTGATGGACTTGCAAATGGTTCACACGAGCAGCAGAGCAGAGGGTGTGGAGGCAGCAAGAGAGACAGCATCACAGGAGCCTGGCCGTGCCCTGCACTGAGGAGTTTTCAACTCTTGGCTTTGAAGCCTTTTGAATCAGGCAGTGATACAATCAGTGTTGCACTGGAGAAAGTTCATGTTGGCTGGAGGGCAAAGGATGGATTGCAGGAAGCAAGACTGGGGTCAGGGAGCCAGACAGCAGATTACTCCAGAGGCCAGGCAGACCCTGATGATGGCCAAACCAGAAAGGAGCAGGTCGGGGGATGGGTTTCTCATATTCACAGGGAGGCTCTGCAGGATTGGAGGAGGGTCTGGACAGATAAAGTGATGGGAAAAATCACAGTGGCAGGCAGGGTCACTTAAAAATTTTAGCACTACATGTGAATCGTTGTGGTTTACTGTGTGACTTTTGACAAGTCACTTAACTTCTCTGAGCTTCAGTTTCCTTACCTATAATGTGAGAATAACATGGGGATTTCATGATTAAATGAGGTAATACATGAAAATGTTTTCCATAGTGCCCACCATGTAGTAAACCTTCATTGTTTAGAAGGTGACACCTGACTTCTATTATATTATTGACCATGTGGAGAGTGTCCAATGAGACATGATGTGTTTTGAAGTAGCATCACCTTTTTTTTTTTTTTTGACAGAGACTCCCTCTGTCACCCAGGCTGGAGTGTAGTAGCATGATCTTGGCTCACTGTAACCTCTGCCCCCTTGGTTCAAGTGATTCTTCTGCCTCAGCCTCCTGAGTAGCTGGGTCTACAAGATCACACCACCATGCCTGGCTAATTTTTGTATTTTTAGTAGAAGTAGCATCATTTTTAACCCAGTCTTGAAATAGATAGCTTGAGTCATAAGCTGTTTCCAGGAAGCACGCTGGAGTTACTTCTCTAGTGCGGGAAGACAACAACATAAGCACATACCTATCTATCTCCCAGATTCCCCAGAAAATGACCAACTGTATATAAAAATAAGAAAAAACTTATCCATACTGGATATTAGCAAAGGGTGGTATTTATAGGCCAGGAGGTCTGAGGAACATCTGTTAGATACACGGCAGATGGGCCAGATTGAAGAATTCATTATTTCCACAATGGGAAGGAGTGGTCTGTTTGATAGAAATTTCAAAACTGTCTTTGCAGATCCTCACCAACAGCCCTGCTGCAGTGAAAACTGGAGGTGAGAGTGGGCTAAAGCCTCTAAAACTGGTCAGTGCCATGGATAAGTGGCCATGGTGCCAGGGGCACAGTGAAGGGGACCCCCAGACCAGACCAGCAATTCCTTGGGACTAAACTCTGAAGCCAACTTCCACCAGGCCTGGGTCAGGGCACAGCCCCAGCAGACTGCTGGTGGCTGAGCTTTAGTAGACATGAATTCTCATTTTCCCAGCATCCCAGATCCTCTTACCCTAGTAATGACTCTGATTTTGAACTTGGAGTCAACCCTTCTCTTCATTCTGAGTCCACATGGTCTGGAAGGATCTCCAGGATGAGGTTCTTGACTCAGGTCTGGTCAATCCAGCACTAAATGGACCTTGACACAGTGATTGATTCAGGAATGGTCTCACCACCCAGGGTGGTCCAATCAGAAAGGCTCTCAAAAGTTTAGTGGGAGTCCACAATAAGATATGACTGCACAACACAAGCATGGCTACAGCCAAATAGAGAGATCTCAACAAGACTGGCAAGGAAGTGGAGAAACTGAACCCTTAGACACTGCTGATGTGAGTGTAAAATAGTATAGCTGCTTTGGAAAACAGCCAGTTTCTCAAAAGGTGAACTGTGTCACCCAGCAATTCCACTCTTCAATACCTACCCTAGAGAAATGAAACCAAATGTTCACATAATGCACACAAATGATCCCAGCAGCACTGTAATAAACAAAAGGTGGAAACAAACCAAGTATCTTTCAACCAGTGAATGTATAAACAAAATGTGATGAATCCATACAATGGAGTATTATTCAGCCATGAAAAGAAATAAGATTCAGGCACACGCTGCAACATAGGTGAGCCTCTCAATCATCATGCAAAGTAAAAAAAGCCTAGTGCAAAAGACCACGTATTGTATGAAATGTCCGGAACAGGCAAATCCATAGAGACAGAGAGTGGATTCATGGTTACCTAGGGCTGGGAGAAAGGAGGATGGGGAGTGACTGCTCATGGGAATGGGGTTTCTTTTTGAGGTGATGAATTTTTTTTTAAATTGATTGTGCTGATGGTTGTATAATTCCATGAATATACTAAAATCACTGAATTTTACTTTAAGTGAGTGAACTGTATGGTATGTAAATTACATCTCAATAAAGCTCTTATTAATTTAAAAAAATGTTTAGTGGAAACCAAGGGAAAGATCCAAGCTCTATGCTGTTGGAATTGAGCTGATGGGAGGAGGAGGGGTGAGGCTGGAGCTGTTGTAGCCACTTTATCACCCAGAAGTTTTAGGGGCCACTACAGTGAGCCCAAGAATCAATCTAACACAGCAGGAAGCACACGGAAGCGATAGAAACTGGATTGTCAAGGATGTTGTTTTGACTTTAAATTCAGCTCTACTTGAAACCAGAACTACTCCTCGGTTTCCCTTCCTCAGTTACCTCCCTCTAAGTTGGGCTTTGTGTTCACAATAGAAAGACCCCCAGTGCAAATACCAAACACTGAAAACACTCCTTGAGCAGGGAGTCCAAACTTCCTGCCACCACTCCCGTTCAGGCTGACCTCCTTACCCTGGCCTCTTCTAGCTTCCTCTTCTTCCTTCAGCATCTAGATCTTCGAATCAGCCAAAGAGAACTCCATCCAGTTTAATCCATTCCATTCTCCCATCGTCGTGGCCTGAATTATTCACACAGGGAACCGCACAATCTCTGACAGAACTCCTAGCAATGGGTTAGTGAAGAGAAGCAAAGAAAAGTCACAGGCGCATGAGAAGACAGAACTGTTCACAACAAGGAGGACCACAGGTGCCTCCCAACTGAATTGAGTTACTGCAAGACGCAAGAGAAAATTTTCCAAGTCTGTTAATTCAAGTTGTCAGAAGGAATCAAGAACAAACTGTGGCTTCCATTTTCAGAAAGCGATTCGAGTTTATCTGTTTACTTCCCTTGCCTCTCCAAACCTTATTATAACCAAATTAAAAAACAAAAAATGAAAAGAAAGAAAGAAAATCTCTATCAGCACTAGAAACTAAGCCATGGATAACCTAGAAACTTGAGTACTTTTCTTTATTTTATTATTATTATATTTTAAGTTTTAGAGTACATGTGCACAATGTGCAGGATTGTTACATATGTATACATGTGCCATGTTGGTGTGCTGCACCCATTAACTCGTCATTTAGCATTAGGTATATCTCCTAATGCTATCCCTCCCCCCTCCCCCCATCCCACAACAGTCCCTGGAGTGTGATGTTCCCCTTCCTGTGTCCGTTTGTTCTCATTGTTCAATTCCCACCTATGAGTGAGAACATGCAGTGTTTGTTTTTTTGTCCTTGTGATAGTTTGCTGAGAATGATGGCTTCCAGTTTCATCCATGTCCCTAAAAAGGACATGAACTCATCATTTTTTATGGCTGCACAGTATTCCATGGTGTATATGTGCCACATTTTCTTAATCCAGTCTATCGTTGTTGGACATTTGGGTTGGTTCCAAGTCTTTGCTATTGTGAATAGTGCCGCAGTAAACATACATGTGCATGTGTCTTTATAGCAGCATGATTTATAATCCTTTGGGTATATACGCAGTAATGGGATGGCTGGGTCAAATGGTATTTCTCGTTCTAGATCCCTGAGGAATTGCCACACCGACTTCCACAATGGTTGAACTAGTTTACAGTCCCACCAACAGTGTAAAATTGTTCCTATTTCTCCACATCCTCTCCAGCACCTGTTGTTTCCTGACTTTTTAATGATCACCATTCTAACTGGTGTGAGATGGTATCTCATTGTGGTTTTGATTTGCATTTCTCTGATGGCCAGTGATGATGAGCATTTCTTCATGTGTTTTTTGGCTGCATAAATGTCTTCTTTTGAGAAGTGTCTGTTCATATCCTTCGCCCACTTTTTGATGGGGTTTTTGTTTTTTTCTTGTAAATTTGTTTGAATTCATTGTAGATTCTGGATATTAGCCCTTTGTCAGATGAGTAGGTTGCGAAAATTTTCTCCCATTTTGTAGGTTGCCTGTTCACTCTGATGGTAGTTTCTTTTGCTGTGCAGAAGCTCTTTAGTTTAATTAGATCCCATTTGTCAATTTTGGCTTTTGTTGCCATTGCTTTTGGTGTTTTAGACATGAAGTCCTTGCCCATGCCTATGTCCTGAATGGTATTGCCTAGGTTTTCTTGAGTACTTTTCTTTAAAGGATTTGATGGAGAAGGAAAGTGGTTGAATGAAGGCTGCCGTCTAATGCAGGCATGGGAAGGGCCCCCGCAGAAGTGGAGGGGATCCCCAAGAGCTGCAAAAGCCCCTCAACCTTGGGTTCATGTTATTTACTATCATGGACCCCAGGGTAATTGGTATGGGGCAGATTAAAGGACTTGAGGAATTGTCCCACTGCCCCTGATAGGAAACAGCCAAGAGCACCACTCACACCAGGCTTCACGTGATGTAAATAGTGTGGGAAGGAAAAAACAACTATTGCTAAGGAGACTCAATGAAAGCAAGGATTTGCTGCCCTGATTTGGGGCTATTAGTACAGTCATGGCAGAGAAGTACATGCTTGGGACAATAATAAACCTTCCTGCCATATTGATGCAGGACAGGCCAGCCCCTAAATTGAGGCTTAGCCCAGGAGAGTTCTTGGCCTCCCCAGGAAAGAATTTAAGGGCAAGACAGTGGTGTTAAACAGCCACTTCTATTGAAGCAGCAATGTACAGCAGAAGACAGGCTGCCCTGTAAGCTGTGTGCCCAGAATAGCAGCTTAGAAGTGCCACTGTGCTCATAGTTATAACCAATTTTAATTATATGCAAAATAAGGGGCAGTCCATGCAGAAATGTCTAGAATGAGGGAGGTAACTTCTGGGTTGTCGAGTGTTGCCATGAAAAGGTGGGGTGTAACTCCTGGGCGTTGCCATGGCACTGGTAAACTGACATGGCCCACTGATGGGTGTGTCTTATGGGGAGGTGCTTCTGGCCCTGACCTGTTTTAGCTAGTCTTCAATTAGGTCTGGTGTCCAAGCCCCACCTCCAGAGTTGAGTTCTGCCTCCTGCCACAATAGGAGAGTAAATGGAGCTCTCCTGGAAAGGCTAGATGGGGACGACCAGGAGAGGGTCCCGAGCAGTGGAGTGAGCAAATCTAAGCCCTGCAGATGGCTGCGGATGCTGCTGCCCCAATGCCTGCACAGGGTGAAAAGAAACCGCCAGGAAATGGTGCATTTTCCTGCTGCACCTTCCCACTCACCCACTTTCTTCTCCTCATAATCAACTGAACCTCCAAACTAAAAAAACACCTGCAGAATAGACCAAGAAGTCCTTTTCCCTTCTGTGAGTAACATATTTAAATAAGTTTCTAACAGAAGTATTCTCAAGTTGTAACAGTGGATCAACAGTTTTCCCTCTGCAAATACATACAATAAAAGAAAATGTAACAGAGGTAGGAAAAGTTTCTGTGATTTAAAAAAGAGAGCTTATTTTGAGAAATCAAAACATATACTCTCTCATGATGTAAAACTATCCCAATAAACAAGGGTAAAAGTGATCGCTAATTTTTGTATTTCCCATAAGATTAGAGATATTGTTTCTTTTAATGGAAATCCCTGAAATCCAGAAAGACAGTTTCCCAGTGAAAAGCATAATCATGGAAATGTTCTAGTGTTGTTAGGGCAATACAGAGCAGATTGAACAGAACAGAAGACAGAATCTGTGAATTTAGAAGTGAGCTCAAGGAATCCTCCCAGAATCAGTGAAAAGACGACAAGAAATGGAGAAAATAAGACGAGAGAGAGAAAGAAAAAGGAAAGAGGAAGCTAGAAAGGCAGCTACAGATCAACTCTGTGTAAGATTTTAAATGGTGGCAACAGAGCAAATGAAAGAGAAAAAATAACTCAAGATATGACAGAAAATTCCCCTGAGCCGAAGCAAGATTTGTGTCTGTAGAATCTAGAGGCAAACTGCCCCGGCAGGCTGTTCACCTGCTTTTGCAAATAAAGTTTTATTGGAACATAGCCATGCCTGCTCATTTATACATTGTTTCTGGCGGCTTTTCTGCTACAACAGCAGAATTGCATGCTGGCCACTACAGACCCTATGACCTACTTAGAAAGCTGTATGGCCTTCTAAGAAAAGATCTGCTATCCTCTCTAAGAGTTCTTCGATGCATACATGGCTAAAATGTTTGCATTTCAAGGATAAAAAATTTAGAATCCTATAATCATTTAGTCCTCTAGGGTGGAGGGTAGAAATACCCAAATTACCTTCAAAAGAAGAAAGAAAGAAATTGCACTAGGTCATACTTCTTAGCAAATTCTAAGATAAAATGTTATCAAAATCCAAAAACTTTCAGAGGATTGAGATTGAGAACTAAGACTATATGCAGCCAAGGTGCCATTCTTGTATATTCGTAATCTTTTTTGTGCTTCCACTCCTGGGGTGGTGTCTGCAATCCCAGTCACAGCCCTCCGAAAGTGTGCGGGTAATCTTATGGGGACAGATTCATAAACAACATATGTTGTGACTATTACTTCTTGAAAACAAAAATCATCAAAGAAACACTCCAGGTGGCTGAAAAATGAAGCAAAATAAATAATTCAGATATGAGAAAAAGCAATATAAAAGAAACATTGCTTAACAGAGAACCCAAAAATTTCAAGTTAATTTCTTAATAATTGCAGTTAACATGATTATAAAACAATGCAAGTGTCAAAAAATAATTCTGGAAAGAGATGAAGCCCAATGTAAAAATGTATTAATTATAATATTCTTATTCTAAAAGCCAGATGGGGCTGGAAAAGGAATTGGTGATGCTAGTACTGGTAATTATAGCTTCCATTTTTAGAAGTTACTATGTATTAAGCACAAAAATAATGCCGATATAAATATTGTTTTTCATAAATCTTTGTACACATCTTTAATATTAATTCCTTAACATAAATTCTTAGAAGGTGAATGCTGGGTCTGAGCATTTAAAAATCTTTCAACACAGTGAAATTTGAACTCTCAATAGAAATATATAAGTGTTCATTTCTCTGGAATCTTGCCAATGACAATTATTATCATTTTGCTAGTTATAACAATGAAAATAATGTATGAAAAAGTATGGAAGTTTGAAAATTTTTGTACAAACTAGAGCAAATTAAGGTTATTTGATATAGTACTATAACTTTCACTCATTTG
Source organism: Homo sapiens (assembly GCF_000001405.40). NCBI lineage: Eukaryota > Metazoa > Chordata > Mammalia > Primates > Hominidae > Homo > Homo sapiens. The sequence goes on from NC_000016.10 coordinate 51,032,965, forward strand.
TGTTCTGATATACTTCTCAAATAGAAGAGACCACTACTCTATTTATTTTCACTTCTCATGAAGTTACTAGGTGGCATGTTTTTGTGGCACATAAATGTCAATTTTTTTTTTTTTTGAGATGGAGTCTCACTCTGTTGCCCAGGCTGGAGTGCAGTGATGTGATCTTGGCTCACTGCAACCTCCACCTCCTGGGGTTCAAGCGATTCTCCTGTCTCAGCCTCCTGAGTAGCTGCGATTACAGGCATGTGCCACCACGCCTGGCTTTTGTATATTTAGTAGAGACGATTTTGCCATGTTGGCCAGGCTGGTCTCAAACTCCTGACCTCAGGTGATCTGCCCACCTCAGTCTCCCAAAGTGCTAGGATCACAGGCGTGAGCCCCCATGCCCGGCCATAAATGACAATTTTAAGGGGATATAAAATTTTTTATTTGGAGACAACATTGATGAGAATTGAGGGACCTTAAATAATTTATAGCAAGTCCTCAAAATGAGATTCTCTGCAGCCATTAAAAGTCATATTCAGAAAAACTATTAGAGGTGTAAGAAGCTTCTGGAAATATAATACTGAGTGAACAATAGTTTATAGGATACAATCCCAATTCTGAGGTTAAAAAGCATATACCATGTACAAATAAGGAGATAAGCCAGACATTAACAAGGATGGTCTTTAAAAGATGACAATCCAGAAGATGGGGTTTCTCCTTTATTCTTTTCTGTATTTTCTAAGTTTGCTACTTAAACATTTTAATACATAGAGAAAAACCGATATCTTATAAGTAAGCTAGAAGTTTTTATCTGTTTCCCTGGCAACTAGGGCAGTATCTGGCTCCCAGTAGACACTTCCGTCAATGTCCACTGAATGAATGAGTGAGTAAGTGAATGAGTAAAAGACTGTGTGTTTCCCCTAGGCAGAATCCCCTTTCCTGGGGCATCTGAGATCTCCTGATTTCAGCAGGCCTGGGATCCTGCCCCTATCGGCTTGCTTCCCACCGTCAGCTGCTTAGCTGCTTTGACCCTCACCCTTCTCCCTGTTTGGATCTCCGCAGCATCCCCACAGTGGGGGCCTCCCCAGGTCACCTGCTTCATCTGCTAGGCCTGGGCCCCAGATCTCCATCACTAAGGCCCACCAAGTTGGTCTTGACTTTGCCAGTTCTTCTTCCTTCTGAGCTAGAAAACTCCTTTAGAAAAACTTCTTGGCCAAGGACATGACACCTTGGGAAACTGATCCAGGCAGTCAACAAGGCTGATGTCATCCGGATAACACCAGGATCACACTGAGCTCCCCTTCCCAGTTGATTTGTTTCCTTGCAGGGAACGTTAATTTGTAAAAATCATGAATAGATTTGTAGTCTGAACTGGCCCTTAAGAACAGAGCTGTAAACACCAATGTGATGTAATGGCTGGTTCTGTTCTGATTTGTCAGTGACAATGTTTTACCAGTACTCAAAATGTCTCAAGTATCATCCCTGCTTACATGGGAGTTTGAGTGAGGAAGAGACTGTTGGACTGTTTGCTCTGGTTGAATGAGACTTAGCAGGTTTGTATAACACATTTTGTCCTATCAAAAATAGCTGAGATTACATAAGCATAACCTCTCCCCAGAGCAAATATGCATTTGAGAGGCAGTGAAACATACATAATTATAGATGTAAAACTCTAAAAATAGGCTCTGTGCCACACACAGGCAGCTGAGAGCGTGGGACTTGAGTGCAATGCTGCCACGTATGGCAATATTAATAGGAGTTGTGGCACCATCCCAGGTGGCCCAGTGAGGCGATGCAGAGCTATTACAGACAGGAAAAGACAGAGAGATTTAAAATGTTTGTGTGCAAAGAAGGTTGCTGCTTATTTGAGCCTGTCAAAGGCTGTTCCAACTGACTGTGGTCTTCTCCCAAGGGACAGGAAATAAGAAGTCATCAAACAACCACGATTGTTACATTGTTACCTCTTATTGTATTCTTATTCTAACTAGTCAGTATGAATAATAATAGCAGCTTGTGCTTAAAAGCATGTGCTGTATTTTTCGAGGGATTTTCACTTCTACAGTTATTCAATTCAACCAGTCTATATTGAGGGCTATTTCAAGTGGGCTTTACTATATAACACAACCTCCCCACAAAACTTGACGACTTAAATCAACCAGAATTGATTTACATTTTGTTAAGTTGGCTGTGTGATTTTCTGCTTGTCTCAGCTGGAAGGTCCCAAGATGGCCTCAGGCGCATGTCTAGCAGCTGTGCTGGGACACTTGACTGGAAACCCTGATGCTCCTCCCTGGGGACTCTTGTCTTCCAGAAGGCTAGACCAATTTCCTGATCTGAGGTTTCTGGGCAGTGCTTCAGGACGGCCCCAGTGAAAGTTGCACTGTCTCTTAAGGTCTACTTGCATGATGTCACCTCCACTGCATTCTTCTGGTCAACACCACTCGCAAGGTCAACCCATATTCAGCAATGGGAAAATAAACCCCACCTCTTGATAGGAGGAGCTGCAAAATTTTGTAGGAGTATTCAATTTAAGACAACAGGGCTAAGCTAGATACTGACTTACGTCATCTCATTTAATTCTCACAGGATCCCTGAATGGAAAGGAATGCTATGCACACTTTTTGGATACAGGAAGTGAGATTCAGAGGGGTTAAACAGCTTTCCTAAAGCCACACAGCGAGAGAGTCGATCTGAACTGAAGATTGTTTGACATCAAAGCTCATTTCTTTCCCTAAATGTCAGCATTCTTTCCTGACTTATTAATTTGATTTCTGTCCTCCCCTCATGGAAGTTAATTAAAGGAATGCGAGAACCTTTTAGAAAATCTCCAGGGCAGCTTCTGTGTTGATCATTGTTTCACAATCTCTTTTCCACCCAATCCCCACCAGCCCTTTAGATCTGTTTCTGTTAGGCCACATCCCAGAGCTGCACAGATCAGGGGAGAGAGAGCTCGCCGCTAAGGCAAGTCCTCTGTCAAATGCAACAGGGACGAGGAAACCATGCGCTCGCCTGTGGTTTACTATGTGCCAGGAACTGTGTGGATTGCTTAACAAAAATCAACTTAGCTAATCCTCATAGTAATGACACAAGGCAGGCAGGGTTTTGTTGTTGTTGTTTTTGGAGACTGAGTCTCGCTCTGTCTCCCAGGCTGGAGTGCAGTGGTGCGATCTCCGCTCGCTGCAAGCTCCGCCTGTCAGGTTCACTCCATTCTCCTGCCTCAGACTCCCGAGTAGCTGGGACCACAGGCGCCCACCACCACACCCGGCTAATTCTTTTGTGTTTTTATTAGAGACGGAGTTTCACCGTGTTAGCCAGGATGGTCTCGATCTCCTGACCTCGTGATCTGCTTGCCTCGGCCTCCCAAAGTGCTGGGATTACAGGCGTGAGCCACCGTGCCCGGCCTGTTTTGTGTTTTTAATCTCTTTTGCAGATGGGGAAACTGAAACAGGTCAGTAAGTTGTAGAACTGGGATCTGAAACCTGGGCCATCGGACTCCAGAGTTGATGGCCTTGCCTCCCTCACTTGCCAGCCTCTCCAATCATAAAGGAACTTCAAGCAGAGAATGGGAGAAGTTGTGGCCAGTGTGACCCCAACTCTCATTCCAAGGCCCTCTTCATCACCAGCACCTTCTCCTTTCCTCAACCCACCTCGCCTCTGAACAATGAGTCCCAGTTTTGCAGTACCAGAGATTGAGGGGCAGGGCAGTTAGATGCGTCTCTGCAAGTTTCCTGAGATGGTGATGGCAGGTGGCAGGGCAGGACCCAGGTATCCTGCCTCCTGGGCCTGGGCTGTGCCTAAGAGGAAAAGAAGGACATTATTAAACCCCAGGGCCAATCCCTGAGCCTAAGTAGCCCTGTGCCACTGCGGATGTGGCAGCACCTTTTGAGGCAAGTAGGGATAGGATCTTTTAAAAATAAGAGAACTTCTGATCTCCCTTAAGTTGGCCAGAGAGCCCAGACCACTTTCCCTCCTCAGTGGACATGGGACTTGAAATGCAAACCCGCCTTCGGCACTGGGATCAGCAGTAACACTGGCGAGTCTTCCGAAGACTGGGTGGTTGGCTGCGTTCCCCACATTCCCCACACTCAGAGAAGCCCTCTCTCCCACACTACCAAAATCACACACTGCTGAGCTTTGCTTTGAAACACAACATCCAACAAATTATGAATCATGAAGATCCGGACTCATTGGCCAACAAATTAGAGGATGATTTGCTTCTGGTTTCCCGTCAACAGTGGGATGCCCAAACACCTGTCTGCATCGGTTTCTAGGGGCATCCACTGCCCATCAGCAGAGAGGCCGAGAAGCTGATGTGCAGGGAAGTGGTGGGAAAGGAAGCCTTTCCAGAAGTGACTGACCGTCACATTGGGTGCGATCCACTGCCACTAGAATTCACCATGCAGGTAAAGCATGGTGGGAACATGATGTATTTTGATGGCGCATTACAGATTTTAAAGCTCTTTGATATCACTCATTCTTGCAAAGGGTATCTTATTTCATTTATTTAGTTTTAAACCTAATATTCATTATGCCAGGCACCACAGTGAGTATCTTATATAGGTTTTATATTTTATTTGTATGTTTTTATATGCATATATACAATAGCATAAAAGTTACCATTTTAACTATTTTAAGTGTACAGTTAAGTGGCATTAAGTGCATTAGTACCGTTGCACAACCATCACCATCATCCATCCAAAGAACTTTTTTCACCTTGAAAACTGAAACTCCTTACCTTTTAAACAACAGCTCCCCATTCCCCCTCCTCCTAGCCCCTGGCAACCCCTATCCTCCTTTCTGTCTCTATGAATTTGGCTTCTCTAGGGACCTCATGTAAGTGGAATACTACAATACCTGTCCTTTTGTAACTGGTGTATTTAATTTAGCGTAATGTCTTCAAAATTTATCTGTGTTATAACATGCGTCAGAATTTCCATCTTTTTGAATACTGAAGAATATTCTGTTGCATGTATGTTCCACATTTTGTTCATTTCATGGACATTAGGGCTGTTTCCACCTTTTGGCTGTTACAAATAATGCTGATATGAAGTCCAATGCACAACTTCACGTGGTTTTTGTCAGTTACTCTTCAAAACAAATCTACAAGGTAGGTCCTCATACCTTCTCATTTTCAGATGATGAAACCTGAGGTGGAAAGAAGGTAACACACCTGTCAAAGGTCACCTCTAGTAAACAGTAGAGCCACTTCATTCATTCATTTTCATTCATTCATTTATTCATTCATATTCAGCAATATTTTGGGGTCCTTTGAGGTAACTACCATGTTCTGGCACTGTTGTTGATGACAGAAGTACAGAAGTGATCTGAGCTTACACTTTCTAATTCCATGGTCCCCTCTCTTCACTCTCACACCCTGCTGCCCCTCTATATGTAAATATCTGAGATTCTAGAAGTAGATATAATGATTTATAAAATATAGATAGATAGACATATATATGAAATATTTATAAAAAGCAAATTTATATTTTGTGGAAATAAATATAAAATTAAGATCCAGTGAAAGATGCAGAATTTTAAGTATAAAGGGCTAATATGCAATTCAATGTGGTGTGTGTAGGGGACAGTGCACCATTGTTCATCTCAGTGCAATGAGGAAGGCAAGACTTAGAGAGGCAAAGTGATGGGTCCAGGGCTCCGCAGCAGAGTTGAGACCCTGCCCAGGTGTTCTGAGGCAGGTTTTGTGCTTTCCCCCTGAAACAAACAAACTCTTGTAAAACATGAAAGGAAAGAAAAACATACTCTGATGAGCAAATGCCATCCCCTCAGGTAGAGATGAGGCTTTGAGTTTCAGGTCCTGCTTCCCAGATGACCAAGGCAGTGAGTATGAGGCTGGCCTCTGTGACAGACAGGCACATCCACCGAGTCTAAGAGTTTGATATGCACCTACTGTTTGATCCTCACAAAAGCTGCCTTGTGTTCCACACCACCTTATAGAAGGAGAAACTGAGGCTGGGAGTAGTTAATTCATTGTCTCACTGGCACAAAGCTAACAAGTTGCAGAACTGGCATGTGACTCCCAATTCCTTACTTAACTCCTACGATTCTTCCACGGCCAAGGAATGACTCCGGCATCAGAAATAGATGAGGCCTCTGGTGGTCTTCCAGCTCTGTGGGGGTCCTCAGGCAGGGCTGCTGAGCTGCTGCCACCACCAATTCCTTACCCGTCTGTCCCTGCCCCTCCCACTGTGTGACTTCCTGGAGAGCCCTCTCCTCTCGTTGACTGCGGTGGTCCTTGACTCCTTTATACAGCCTCAGTCAGTTTTGAGAGGGAGATTTTCATTCTTTTATTCACTTATGTACTCAGCAATATTTGGGGGGATCCTACCATGTTCTGGCAATGTTGTTGACGCTGGACATACAGAAGTGAACAAAATAGACACTCTCCCTGACCCGAGAGTTCCAGTTGGGGGAGAAAGACGTAAACATAATAAAAACATAATTTTAGGTGGGAATAAAAATAAGAGCCATGAAGGAAAGTAAAGCAAGGTAAAGAGATTGAAGCAGTTGGCATAAGGGTGGCTACTTTGGGCAGGGTGATCAAGGAGGGCTGCATGGAGGAGGTGATATAAAAGCAGAGAGAGCCACGTGAAGGATGGCTAGGGGGCTTGGGGTCGAGCAGAAAGAAGTTTAAGTATAAAATCCCTGAGAGGAGGAGAACTTGAAAGGTTTGGCAAAGAGGAAGGTCAGTGTGTCAGGAGAAGGCCGAGGGGTGAAGAAGAGGGGAGCCAGGTTAGAAGGACTGGCAGAGGACACTGACCTGAGAGCTGACCAAGGCGAGGACTTTGGGGGGTCAGGGGCTTGGCAAATATGATCGACTCAGTATGGCCGTTCATACTGTTGCCTTTTCCAGGCCACTTCTCCTGCTGGGGGCAGTGAGGAGCCTGCCAGCCCTGCTGCTTTGGAAAGCCCAGAGGACCAAGAAACTGAGGCTGCAGGGGAAAGGTGGGGAGAGGAGAGGCAAGCAGCAGCAAACTGCTGGAACGCCTGCAAATGGGCTGCTCCGAAGGCTCTGGGGCCTTGGTTCTGCTCTGCACAGAGCTGGCTGTCCTGGCTGACATCTGTTGTGACCTCTTCCAAAGTGACTTCGCCCCATCTCTCTCAGAACGAGCCCGGACAGTGGGTGTGAATAAGCCCAGTAATCCTCGATGAGGAAGCCCCGTGTCCACGTGCGTAGCTCAGTGGGGAGGGGGAAGAACGCAGCTCAAACTTCATGTAAGATGGGCCTGGCTCTGCCACTTAGCTGTGTGACCTGAGATGAGTGTTTCAGCCTCTCTGAGCCTCTGTTTCTTAATCTACAAAAATGGCAACAAGATATCCACCTATTGGGTTGTTATAAAGTTTAAGTAGGAAAATACACATGAAGAGCTTTCACTAGCACCTGGGCCTGACAAATACTTAGTATTAGAGTTGCTGTTGTCCTGAAGGAACAGAGTTAGGATGAGAAGAGCTGAGATTCACAACCACCAGGTTGCCAGACTCTAAATATTCTGCCATTTCTGGCCCCTACATTCATGACAACAATCATATCATGAAGGCAAGGCCTGTGCTGTTCCTCTTACTCTGATTTGACAGCTGAGGAGACAAGGTCTCCATGGTTCCTGCCTTGAATGCTGACCTGGCAGCCACATGGACCTGGCAGCTATCTCAGGAAACTGGGTGAAAAAGAGCCCTTTCCCACCCAGCCTGGACTTAGCATGGGCAGGGACAGGCAGGGAGGAGGGAGGCAGGAAGGAGAGAAGGAAGGAAAGAAGAAAGGAAGGAAAGAGGAAGGAAGGAAGGAAGGAGGGAGGCAGAAAGGGAAGAAAAGAAGAAGGAAGGGAAGGAGGAAGGGAAGAAGGAGCAAAGGCAGAAAAGAAGGAAGGAGTGAAGGAGGGAAGGAAGGAGGGAAGGAAGGAGGGAAGGAAGGAGAGAAGGAGGGGAGGAAGGAGGGAAGGAGGGAGGGATGGGGGAGGAAGGAGGGAATAAGAAGGATAGGAGGGAGAGGAGGGAAAGAGGGAGGGAAGAAGAGAAGAAGGGAAGGAGGGAGGGAGGAGGGAAGGAGGGAGGGAGGAAGGAGGGAGAAAGGGAGGGGAGGAGGGGAGGGAGGAGGGAAGAAGCAAAGGAAGGAGAGAAGGAATGAAGACAAGGAAGAAGGAAGGAAAGGAAGGAAGAAAGAAACAAAATAAAGGAACAAAGTTTCCTTCTCCGCCCCAGGATCTCTGGGTATGGCAGATTGGATTGGCCTAAATGGCCACACACTTTGTTCCATCCTGCGGACTCTTCTTACAGTGAGGCCTTACCACTCCTCCATCAAGTGAAATCTCTGTGCCTTCCCCTTGTGCCTGAGTGGGTCTTTGTGATTGCCTCAATCAATAGAGCAAGGCAGTGGTGACTTTAAGTGACTTCCTAGGTCTCAGGAGATGATACAGCTCCCACCTGGCTCTCTGGGGAAACTTATTCTTGGAACCCACTGGCCATGCTGTGAGGAAGCCCAGGACACATGGAGAGCCTCATGGGTTCTAGCCAACAGCCAACTTAAATCACCAGATGTGAGAATTAAGAGGTCTTCAAGGTGACTCCAGCCACTGCCTGTCAAAAATTAAATGAGGGGCCCCAGACAAGAACCACCTAATTGCACCAGTCAACCTCAGAGCCATGAAAGATAATGATAATAAATGGTCATTTTTGTTTTACTCCACTAAACTGAAGGTAGAGTGTTATGCAACGCAGACAGCTGGAGCTCTGGGGAAAGGGGCTAGGCTGGCAGTGGCCGTGGCTCTCTCCCTCTGTGACCTCAGAGCTCCTGCACATGCGGGCCTGGCACAAGGGGGCCCAGCCTGTTCCCGGCAGCTCCTGCAGAGCCAAGTGCAGGGCCCGCCACGGAGGTACTGCTCAAATAATGTTTGCAGAATAATTGTATTGATTGATTTGATTCCAAAAAATAGACAAACCAATATTGTGCTGATTTTTTTTAAGTGTTGAAGAATAGAATGTCTGGGAAGTATGAGATGGGATGGGGTCGCAGCAGGGGGTTCCCCTTCTAGGACAGGCTGTGCTGACAGGTGCCGATTCTGCTTTCTAAGCAGGGATCCTTGGTCCCTGTGCATAGAACCTCTCAGAGAGGAAAGAGCTAGAAGGGTCTTGAGGATCCAGAGAAGGACTATTAGATGTTGTCTGGATATGGAGGAGCCTCAGTCCTGAGATAGGTTGCTTCATTCATTTGTTCATCCACTAATTCATTTATCAAATATTTATTGAGCACATACTATGTGCCAGGCACTCTTTCAGTCACTGGGGAAACACAGTAAACAAAACAGACCAATGTCCCTTCTTCCACTCACTTCCTCACTTTCTAGTGGTAGAGACAGGCAAGAAACCAAATAAGCCATACCCACTTCTTGCAAACCATCAGGACCAGGACTTTCTCTGTTGCACAAGCCCATTGTAAAGAGAGGCAGGTCCATTTTCCTTTCTCCAGGGACTGAGGCTGGAGTCCCTGGATGGGCCCAGCCTGGTGCACTGTGGGGTAGGAAGGTGCACTAGACTACAAGTGAAGAGACCTGGCTTGGAGTTCTCAATCTGGTGATGGCCAAGTCACTTTGCTACCCTGTTCCTCGATTTACTCACCTATCTTAAAGGGGCCAAGAAACCAGTCCTACTTACCTCCCAAGAATGCTGTGAGGTTACATGGGACACAGCTGTAAAAATATTTCACAGATCCTAAAGAGCTCTACAGATATAAGAAACTAGAATTCCCAGCCGGGTGCAGTGGCTCACGCCTTTAATCCCAGCACTTTGGGAGGTGGAGGCAGGCAGATTATCTGAGGTCAGAAATTCGAGACCAGCCTGGCTAACATGGCAACACCCCATATCTACTAAAAATACAAATATTAGCTGGATGTGGTGGTGGGCGCCTGTAATCCCAGTTACTCAGGAGGCTGAAGTAGGAGAATCACTTGAACCCGCGAGGCAGAGGTTGCTGTGAGCTGAGATTGCTCCACTGCACTCCAGCCTGGGAGACTGGGAGAGAGAGACTCCATCTCAAGAAAAAAAAAAAAAAAAATGAAAAAAGAAAAAGAAAAGAAACTAGAATTCTCTTGATGGTCTCTGTCCAGGAAGACTGAACCCTTTTCAGCCCAGCTTTCTAGTCCTGATGGCAAACCATGGCAGTAAAAGGGGCGAGGCCCACCCTCCAAGGAAGCCATTGCTAACACGGATGCGGAGACACCAGAGGTCTCACCTGGAGCCTGTGCATGGGGCAGAGATGACACTTCACCCATGAGCTCCACCCACCTTCCCCTGTCTCAACAGCCTCAGCTCCTCCAAACCCCCTCTGGCAAGGAAGTTCAAGAATCTGCCAGTTGGCATCCACTGGGGAGAACAATGGGGCCAGCCTGACATTTCATTTCATCAAGGCCTCATTTTCTATTTCAGTCATTAAATGGAATTTTGCTTTAAAATGATTAATAAGTTTGAATCCATATAGCAAGTTATAGATTAACAATTGTGGGCCCCATAGGCAGAGCAAAAGAAACTCGATTATTGCATTTCATTCATCAAAACTCTAATAAGAATGTCATTACTTATATGCCTTTGCCTCCCAATCTTGAACAATAGGCCACTTCCTAGGACTTTGTGGGACCTAGCAACAACCCAAAAAATGAATATGTTCACCTGCAAGGAAAAATATTACCCTGGATTTACAATGGCCCTGTAAGCCATGAAAAGGAAATCTCAAAAAGGTACCTCTGGGCTTGCAGTGACCTGGCTGGCCAATCCTTTTTTCACTAGGCCTCAAGAAAAATATCCAAATGATATTCCTGCAAGTTCTATGCCCAAAATTATTCCAAAAATAACACCCACAAAATAGATGAACCGGTGGGTCAGGAAGGGATTTTCCTTAGAGGCTAATGTCTTCTGCGACATGCCATGCACGTGAGTGATTTACATGCCGGACTTGCAGGTATTATGGGCTGCCCTCACAGAGGCACTGGCCCCGGTCTTCCGGGCCCTGCACGTTTCCTACCCATCTGAGGCCAGGGCTGCCTTTGGTGGCATTTTCCCGCAGACTGTGGGTTCTTTCACACGGCTGTTGTGTTTTCTTTCCCTCTCCTCCCATAAGTGCACCTTATATGTCTCCAAGGCTCACTCAGCTCCTTCCTCTCTGCTCGAGACATTTTTCCGTCTCACTCAGCATTTCCACCCGCTGGGGTTCAGGCAGCCAGCAGCTGCCTGACCTCTGGTGAACTCTTCCCTTTGCCCATTCCTTGGACAGCCCCTTGGTTCTCCCACTCACTGCTCTTTCCTCCTGGGATGAGCTCATCGGAGCTGGGAACAAATGTGGGCAGAGGGGAGTCTGGCATCTGCCAGGAAGGGCTCCGAAGGATGAGCAGAGCATTTTCCTTCCTCCGTTGATCGACTTAGATGCCAGGCTTGGCACTAAAAGGAGGATGTGACACTGAATAGGGCCAGATCCTTTCCAGAGGTTAAGACAGTCAAATACAGAGCAGAACCCTGAACCACCAGGATGAGCTATTGGCATGCATCACAGAAAACATACAGGGTGATGCGGGAGAGTTGAAAGGGTGCAGGTGGCAGGATGCAGAGAGGGGAAATCTGTGTTTTCAGGTGCTCATGGGGGTCCTGTATTAGAGTTAGAGATAGGGTTCTCCCAGGGCAGACAGAGCCCATGCATGGCTTCATGAGCAGACAGAGCCTCTGGCAAAGAAAAAGGCTCTCCTTTCCCTGGATGGGTGGAGCTCCACGCAGTGCAAGGGTCTTGGCCAGCAGAAGAAGGCTCAGACATGCAGCACCTGCAGCGAACTGCCCAGACAGCCCTGTGCAGAGGCCTCTGGTGACACTCCCGGAAAAATGCCACTGGAGGAGAGACTTGAACGGTGGTGGCACAGGCTGAATTCTGTCCCTCCCTCACCCCATATTCATATGTTGAAGCCCTAACCCCAGAACCTCAGAATGTCACTGTGTTTGGAGATAGGATCTTCAAAGAGGTGATTAAGTTAAAATGATGCTGTTCGGGTAAGCCCTAATCTAATGTGTCTGGTGTTTTTATATAAGAAGAGAAAATTTGGACACACAGAGAGACACCGGGGGACATGCACGCACAGAAGGAAGACCATGTGAGGACACAGCAAGAAGTGTCTGTCCGCAAGCCAAGGGCAGAGACCTCACCAGAAACCAAGCCTGCTGACACCCTGCTCCTGCACTCCCAGCCTCCAGCACTGGGAAAAGATACATTTCTATCAATCAAGCCACCCAGTTGGTGGTATTTTGGAAGGGGACATCTAAGTTCCAGGCAAAAAGAGCTAGGTAGGAAGGCCCTGAAGAAAGGAAGTACTTGGTATGTTGAAAGACCAGAAATGTGGCTGGGGCTGGATCCTAGTCAGCCAGGCAGAGGTGGGGCCTGAGGTGGGAGGAGGCAGCAGCCTCATGAAGGGCTTGGTGGGCCCAACACCAGGCACAACTCAGGAGGCAGAAGCCCCTAGCCTGAGGAGCCCGAGGCCATCTTCCTGTGTGGGTCTGGGGCAGGATGTCTGGGGATCTGGGTGGGGAGGCTGGTATGGGGCCCAGCAATGCTACTTCCGCAGAGAGTGACTGTGATGGGCGCCTTTACCTCACAGACCTCATTTTATAGACCCGAAAGCAGGGCCCTGATTGAAAACAGCACACACCCTGGACATCTTTCTGCATGCAGAACTTTTTATTCTTTCTCTGGATTTATTCCTTAAAATAAGCCCCAAGAGGAAGATTCTAAGGCCCTGAGCCTTTTGCTTTGCGCATCTTCCGGAATCAGCGTGACCGCATTGCACTCTATTATTTAGACGTCACTCTTTCCTAAATGCCCCTCAGCAGATGTGAGGGCCCACTTTGCTCCCGTCAGTGGAAAGTAAGGGGCAGCAACCTGGAGCTAGAACCAAAGTCTCTTCACGTCAGTTCAGAATTGTCACCTCATTCCAGAGCCTCCGGCAGGGCTCACACATGTGGCTGCTGAATGTGAACTCCCCCCACCACACCCCAGAAGCAGAAGCTGGGAGGGTGTGCCAGCTCCCTGCGTCTTCCATGAGCCCTTGGGGCTCTGCTCTCCTCAACCCTCTTCAGCCCTAAGAGGAAAGGCACAAACACGTCCTGCCTGCCCAGCATCTTTCAACTGTCCAGACCCTAGAGGGCCAGATAATGAAGAAGAACAGCAAAGACTATGACCTGGAGGCCTGGGTCTGAGTCCTGGCTCCCCCTACGCCCTATCTGGCCTTGGCCCTAGTGCCCGGGTTTTCCAGAGAAGGATCCCGATGGCCTCTTTCTCCTAGGTTTGTTGCGAGGATGGGGTGAGGTAAAAGTATAGCCTTGATCCATCAAGGAGCTCTTGCTCCAGTAACAGAAATTATCCTCATGGAGCTGAAGAAAAGGGAATGAGGTGGGTGGGAGTTATTATAAGGCTACAGGGCTCTGGAGGCATCTATCAATAAGAACTAGTTTATAGGGGCTAGGAAAGCCCTGAGGGCCGGGCGCAGTCGCTCATGCCTGTAATCCCAGCACTTTGGAAGGCCAAGGCTGGAGGATCGCTTGAGCCTGGGAGTTTGAGACCAGCCTGGGCAACATAATAAGACCCCATCTCTAAAAATGAAATATGAAAAAATTAGCCAGGCATAGTGGTGCACATCTGTAGTGTCAGCTACTCAGGAGGCTGAGGTGGGAAGATCACTTGAGCCTAGGGAAGATCACTTGAGCCTAGGAGTTCGAGGCTGCAGTGAGCTATGATCGTGCCACTGCACTCCAGCCTGGGCAACTGAGCAACACTGGTCTCAAAAAAAAAAAAAAAAAAAAAAAAGAGGCTGAGCACCGTGGCTCACGTCTGTAATCCCAGCACTTTGGGAGGCCGAGTGGGTGGATCACCTGAGGTCAGGTGTTCGAGACCAGCCTTGCCAACATGGTGAAACCTGGTCTCTACTAAAAATACAAAACAGTTAGCTAGGTGTAGTGGCAGGAGCCTGTAATCCTAGCTACTCGGGAGGCTGAGGCAGGAGAATCACTTGAACCTGGGAGGTGGAGGTGGCAGTGAGCCAAGATCACACCATTGCACTCCAGCCTGGGCGACAAGAGCGAGACTCTGTCTCAAAAAATAAGAAGAAGAAGGAGAAGGAGAAGGAGAAGGAGAAGGAGAAGGAGAAGGAGAAGGAGAAGAAGAAAGAAGAAGAAGAAGAAGAAGAAGAAGAAGAAGAAGAAGAAGAAGAAGAAGAAGAAGAAGAAGCAGAAGCAGCAGCAGCAGCTGGGCACAGTGGCTCATGCCTGTAATCCCAGTACTTTGGGAGGCTGAGGTGGGCAGATCACAAGGTCAGGAGTTCGAGCCTGGCCAATATAGTGAAACCCAGTCTCTGCTAAAAATACAAAAATTAGCCAGGTGTGGTGGCGCACGCCTGTAATCCCAGCTATTTGGGAGGCTGAGGCAGGGGAATTGCTTGAAGCTGGGAGGCGGAGGTTGCAGTAAGCCGAGATTGTGCCACTGCATTCCAGCCTGGGTGACAGAGTGAGACTCCATCTCAAAAAAAAAATGAAAAAAAAAAAAAAAAGAAAAGAAAAGGAAAAAAAGAAAAGAGGAAAGAAAAGAAAAAGAAAAAATAGAAAAGCCCTAAAATGGGTATATCTTTTGGGGTGCAGAGGCTTGGGGAGAGAACCTCCTTTTAGGCAATCTCTGCCCCTCTCTGCTCCCTCTGGCCCTCTTTTGAGTGGCTTCTCCCATCACACCCCAGCCTAGGCAGGGCCCAAGATGGCCTCTTTCTCTAATAACCAGCTGGCCCTTTTTATTTGCTAGCCTTTCTGCTTCAAGCCCTATGGTTCTCTGCTTAATTCCCTCTTGGTTTTCAGTATCTCCTAATTCAAGTTCCTAGGAGAGCGGGGAACCTGCCCAGCTCAGCACATCAGTGATGGCCACTCTCCAGCCAGGTGCCCAACCTGAGGGTGTCACTGGTCACTGAGGGGGCTGAGGGAGGCTGGAGACTGGGTGAGGTTGCCTACGTTGGCTTCTGAGAAGGAGGAGATTACTATAAAATGCTACACGCAGGCTATTTTGTTCTGTTTGCTGTATTTTTCTAACCATGTGATCCTTTTCTCTGAAATAGGCTATCGTCTACTGACCACGAGTTGGTCTTTCTCATGCCACAAACTTCTTAAGGTGGTGACCAAGCTTCAGACATTATCACCACTCGCCCCAAGGACCCTGCTCTTCACTCTCTGAAGAGCTCTACCTCCCTGACATCCCCCTTTTTGTTGCTTAAAAATGGTGAATCACTTTGCTTTTCCACCTCTGGCCTCTGAGGAATGAGACGCCCCAGCTCCCACCATTGTCCCGCTCAGCAAGGCTCTTCTTCCTGCATGGCCCTGCCTAGAGCTAGAACCAGGATTACTAGAGAAGCCTTCGGCCCACCTCCCCTCTGCTCTGATCCTCACCTCTCTCTGTCTGGAGAACTGTTGCATGTGACCAATTGGCCCAAACCCAACCCTCCGGACATAAGAACAACCAGACATCCAGTGTCCAGCTGCTGACTTTCTAGCCTCATCACTGGGAGAAAACATGTTCTTGTTTGCCATCATTGAATTCCAACTTATCTGCTGTGATGACTTTGTAAAGGGTCAGTTTAGCCAGGCTGAACTGCATTTCCCACAATGCCCTTCCCTGTAGATTTCAGGTGAGGGTAGGCCAGAAAGGAGCATCTTGTGGGAGACATGGAGGTCAGAGGGGAGGTAGCAGCCCTTTTTGTGGCTCCCACATGCCTTCATGGATCTGCTGACTCACCTCGTATCTGCTGACTCACCTCGTTGGTGTGAGGCTACAGCTGAGCCTGCAAGGCCCCACCTCCCCCTGGTTCCTCCTCCAGCCTCTTGGACTTTGATGAAGGGTCCTCTCTCCTGTAGGACACCCACAGCACCGAGATCAGAGACAACAGGAGTTGACAGGGGTTTCAGTCTGTCCTCCTGGGCTCCAGCTCACACCGTGCATCTGGCTTCCTCCTGCTCCTCCCACTTTACTTCCATCTTCCCTTCCCAATTGCTGCCTTGTGGACTTCAAGTCCCAGCATCAGGCATGAGGAGCAGGGCCTGACAGAGCCCACCTGACCAGCTCTCTTGTGTGTAAGGTCACACTGATGTAACACACATATGTCGTGGTGGGTTCTGCTTCCCTGATTAAACTCGACTAATGTATCTGCCAGCGTCTATATCCTCCTGCACATGACCCAGGGGCTGGACTCTACTAAAATTCTCCAGTTTCCCTTCATTCCATCAACTGGGTGGGTCTGCTTTAAATTTAGAGGAATTTTAACTTCAGCAAAATGGCTTCTTTCAAAGCCGTTGATAAATTTACTACCTAAAACTATCAGCTCAACTTGTCTATGGAAATGCAGAAAAGGAGAAAAAAAATCTGCTATGAGCTGACAGTATGGGAGAAGCATTACAACTTTGCAACGTA
Organism: Homo sapiens; assembly: GCF_000001405.40. Classification (NCBI taxonomy): domain Eukaryota; kingdom Metazoa; phylum Chordata; class Mammalia; order Primates; family Hominidae; genus Homo; species Homo sapiens. The sequence continues at coordinate 51,049,427 of NC_000016.10, forward strand.
TTTAGAAAATGTGCATGCACCAATAAGTGTATCACTTCTGACACAATACTAAAAGTAAGTGGCTGCCCCAGGTGGCGATGAATCATAATATCTTATGTGTGCTTTCACGCAAAGGCCTCGCAGCCCAGCAGAGAGAAAAGCAGGGCAAGGAATTGCCTCCTTATTTTACAGCTGAGGAAACTGAGGCTTAGAGAGACTCGGTGATGTGCCCAAGCTTCCCTAGCTTGTAAGTCAGAGGCTGCAAGCTCAGAGGCTTGAGAAGTCAACAGATGCCTCCGTTCTGTTTGATTTGACACACACTATTTTTTGCCTGTTTTTGCTTTTTGTCTGCTTCCAATATTTAAAAATCAGCAAAACTGATCCCCATTCCCCCAACCCTCCCCCTGGCAAAAAAAAATCATGTTTGTTATTTGGCAGCACAAATATTGGAAGTGAGTAGAGACTGCCCCCTTTAGATAGAATAGGGGATCCCCAGTCTCTATGGTCTAATCCCCCTCTTTCATGGATTCTAAAAATATTGCCTACTGGCTCCTGTTTCCATCTGTGACTGAGCTCCTTTAAAATCCCTAGACTTGAGACTCAAAGCCAGATTCCTCTGCTCCCATTCTGTGGCTCTTCCAGTGGGTCATGACATAGTCTTGAAGACATCAAACATAAATGTTTTCAGTCATTTGACAAATATTTACTGAGCACCCTTTATGTGTAGCTTGAAGGAAGAAGTGAAGAATAAGCCAGATGTGTACATAAATTAACAAAATAGGTACTTGAGTGCATGTGCATGCCTGTGTACATGTGTGCATGAACACATAGGAACAGTCTTATCGGGTGGAGTGAGCAGCAACTGAGAAAACATGCATGAGCTAGCGATAAGCTGCAGAATGCCATGTGTGACAGGCATGTGTCCATCTACATATTTCTGAAAGTTGATTGCATTTTCTGTTCACTCCTCTTTGAAAGGATAGCTCATGTCTGTTATTGGGAAAATAACTGCTTCAATTCAAGTCTTAGCTGCCTGGATTCTTGCTCTCCAGCAGCAACGAGGCATTGAAGCAAACCACTCAGGCTCCAGGAATGATTAACTCTGAGGACAACAGCCAGGCAGTAGGCTGGCTAGGAGGTGGGACCAACTCTCCTGGTTTTCCCAGGACTGAAGTGAGACTTCCAGTATTAAAACTTGGAATGTCCAAAGGAAACTAGAACAAGTTGGTCACCCTACCTGGAAAGCGCCTCTTGACAAAGGAGAGACCGAGATCAGAGGCTGGAAGGTGAAATGGGAACCGAAAAGTTCTGCTGTTTGTTTCGAAGTTTTTTAATGGGGCAAAAGGAACAAATCTGATGATCTCCCTCATCCACAGCATCACTGTCATGAAAGAGCCCTGTCAGCCATCCGTGAGTCCCCACCCTACCATTAACTGGCTGGGTGGCCTGGAGTAAGACTTCTCCTTCCTTTGCCTCCCTTTGTCTCAGCTTTCCCCTCTGTAAAGGGGGGACTTTGGATTTGGAGAGCACAGAGCTCCCCTCCAACTGTAACGATCTGGTGCAAACCACACAATGTTAAACCTACTTTTAGGGCAATTTTGCTTTGTTCATAACCACATGTTACTTACCTCACAGTGTCCTAACAGCTAATATTTACTATGTATTTCACCCATGCTGGGCATGCTATTTTAGGTATTTTAAATGCATCGACTTATTCAGTCCTCACAACAATCCCAATTTATGGATGAGGAAACTGAGGCATGGGAAGGTAAAATAGCTTGTCCAGAGCTACAGAGCTGGTGAGTGATGAAGCTGGGATTTAGATCCAAGTCAGTCCAGCTGTCTGTCTGCGCTCTTAGCCACCTCTGTTAAAGTCAGTCTCCTTTGTCTGTTTGGGACTTTGTAAGCTCATAGTTGAAGAACTGACACACAGCATGTTGTAGTACAATGTAGTGATGAAGGGTTCAGGCTCTGGAGTCAAAGACCTGAATTTATATGGGGTCTGCTACTTTCTATCTGGGAATATCACTAAACTTAACTCTCTCATCTGTAAAATTAGACTAATAATTGTCCCAGCTCATAAGGTCAGTGAGAGATTGCTTGCAAGACACTTAGCACATCCCTCCTCATTGTACACCCAACAAGAATGTATCCATGTGTCTACTGAAGAGCATGTGCTGGAATGTTCATGCTTATAGGAGTACCATTTGTAACAGCACAAAACTGGAATGTGCCTACGTGCCCATCAACAGTGAACAGATAAATAGCCTGTGGTCCATTCACACAATGGGATCCTATCCAGCCATGAGGGTGAAAGAAATGCAACCATACCCAGCCACCTGGTTGAAGTTTGCAAGCTTTATGCTGAATGAAAGAAGCCAAGTGTGGAGGAGAACATCCTGTGTGATTCCATTGATACCAAGCTCAAAACTAATCTGAGCTGTTAGAAGTCAGGAGAGCGGTTCCTCTGAAGGGTTGAAGTAGTAACTGGAAAGAGGCAAGTGTGGCTTGGTGGGTGCTTTGATGATCTGTTTCTGTTTCATTACAAGAAACAAAGTTTGCATGGGTGTGCTCATCTTGTGAAAATTCACTGAGCTGCACCCTAATGATGTGTGTTTTTTTGTTTTGTTTTGTTTTGTTTTTTTGAGATAGTCTGACCCTGTCACCCAGGCTGGAGTGCAGTAGCATGATCACAGCTCACTGCAGCCTCAAACTCCTGTGCTCAAATGATTCTCCACATCATCCTCCAGAGTAGTTGAAACTACAGGCATGCTCCACTATGCCTGGCTAATTTTTGTATTTTTTGTAGAGGTGGGGTTTTGCCATGTTGCCCAGGCTGGTCTTGAACCCTTGAGTTCAAGCAATCCACCCATCTTGGCCTCCCACAGTGCTGGGATTACAGGCATGAGCCACTGCTCCTGGCTTGATATGTGTTCTTGATATGATATGTGGAGTATGTTATACTCCAATAAAAACTGTTTAAGCAGATGCCCAATAACAAATGACTAAGAATTCTGATGGAGTAGGAACTTGCTGTGGAAAGGGGATGGTCTTTGGGACTGGCTAGTCCAGGGCCCTGCCCCATTCTGTTTCTTCCTGGCTGTGTGATCTTGAACAAGTTGCTTAACTTCTCTGAGCTTCCACTTTATCATCCGTAAGAATACTATACACTTCATAAGGGTGCTCTGAGGACAAAATAATAAAGCACATACAAAGGCAGCATAATATCTGGAACAGTAGGTACATAATATTTGCTTGATGCATGACTGAGTAAACTTTAAAAGTCACTTGGCTTCTCTCTGAGTGGCTGAGCCTCCTAAATCAATAGATAAACAAATGGGTAAATAAGTAAAATTCCCCTTTTCACTCAGATGTGGATGATGCTGACCACTGGGAGGTCAGGATGTGGCTCTCATGGGTCTTGGGGTTCAATCTCATTGGAAGCCTGGGGTTCTCTCTAAGAATGTATTTCCTGATGGACACAGTGCCTCATGCCTGTAATCCCAGCACTTTGGGAAGCCAAGGTAGGCAGATTACTTGAGGTCAGAAGTTTGAGACTAGCCCGGCCAACATGGCAAAACCCTATCTCCACTAAAAATACAAAAATTAGCTGAGTGTGGTGGCCCATGCCTGTAATCCCAGCTACTCAAGAGGCTGAGGCAGGAGAATCGCTTTAACCAGGAGGCGGAGGTTGCAGTGAACCGAGATCATGCCACTGCACTCCAGCCTAGGTGACAGAGCTAGACTCCATCTCCCACCCCCACCCAAAAAAAATATATTATATGTGTTTCCTCTATCAGTTTACAGGCTTGATTGTTTCTGGCAATCAGACCTGGAGAAATTGTCTGTGGCTGCACAAAAGTGAATGCATTCTACCCAATCCCCTTCCTCCCCTGGTCAAGTAAGCCTGGCTTTTCCCTTGCAGTCCGGACACCCATCCACCATTACTCTGTGTGTAGAGGCCCAGCCTGTGGGATGGGCGGCAGCTGGAAGGAAGCTCCCTCCAGGAAGTAATCTGGTGGCATGCAGAGCTCTGGTGGAAGAGGGTGAAGTGTCTGAGTCCTGGTCAAACAGTGACAGCCCTTCCCCCACAGGGGCATTGGTCCTTCCCAAGTAACCCCACCCCTTAGCATCTTTGCCTCTTCCTGATGGAATTAAACAGCTACCACACTTCCATTTCACAGCGGGAGAAATGGAGACTAAGTGCCTGTGACACCTGGTCACTGGTCTAAGTGCTGATGATACAATGCCCCTGCCCTCTTGGAGCTGGTAGTTCATGGGTCTACTTTAGTTCCTACATTAGCTCAGGTGCATTCACAGAAAATAAGTAATGATGCTTTAGCAAGACAGGTTTATTTCTTTCTCACTGAGAGCCTACGTTGGTTGGCTATCTGAGGGGCAGGTGGCTTTGTTCCACAAGTCATCCAGGGGCTCAGGTTTCTTCCACCCTGCTCTGCCAGCTCCCAGCATTCTGTCAACCACATGATCAAAGCTGAAAAGAGGACAGTGTAGGGCAGGCAGTATCCTTCAAGGGCCTGACCTGAGGGCTGCACACAAGTCAATTCTGCTCACATCCCATTAGTATGATCTTAGTCACATGGTCACATTTAGCTGCAAGGGAATCTGGGAAATGTAGTCTTTAGCTGGGTGGCTGTCTGCACAGATAAAACTTGGGGGTTTTATTACTAACAGGGAGAAGGGAAGGATGGATCTAGAGGGGCACTTTTTCCCACATGGGGAGAGACAACAATAAATACGTACTTTTTTTTTTTTTTTTTTTGAGACAGAGTTTCATTCTTGTTGCCCAGGCTAGAGTGCAATGGCACCATCTCAGCTCATTGCAACCTCTGCCTCCTGGGTTCAAGTGATTCTCCTGCCTCAGCCTCCCGAGTAGCTGGGATTACAGGCAAGCACCACCACGCCCTGCTAATTTTGTATTTTTAGTAGAGACAGGGTTGCTCCATGTTGGTCAACCAACCTCAGGTGATCTGCCCGCCTTGTTCTCCCAAAGTGTTGGGATTACAGGCATGAGCCACTGTGCCTGGCCCATACTTTTACACCATAAGTCAGGTGGGCAGGGAGATCTCTTGAGATGACATTTGAGCAGAGAGCAAATGCATTAAGGTAGATGTTTCCATGCTGCCTAAGGAAAGAGGGTTCCGGGCAGAGGGAGCAGCAAATGAGAGGCCCTGGATGGGTGGGAGGAATGAGCTTGGCGCGTTTGAGAAAAGCAGCTTAGGAGAGCCTGGCAAATCACAGGAAGGAGCTTGTATTAGATTGTTTTCATGCTGCTGATAAGACTTACTTGAGACTGGGTAATTTATAAGGAAAAAGAGGTTTAATAGACTCACAGTTCCACGTGGCTGGGGAGGCCTCACAATCATGGCAGAAGGCAAAAGGTGTGTTTTACATGGCAGCAGACAAGAGAGAACTGGTGTAGGGAAACTCCCCCTTATAAAACCAGCAGATCTCATGAGGCTTATTCACTATCATGAGAACAGCACAGGAAAGAGCCGCCCCCATGATTCAATTACCTCCCTCCTGGTCCCTCCGATGACACATGGGAATTGTGGGAGCTACAATTCAAGATGAGATTTGGGTGGGGACACAGCCAAACCATATCGGGGGTCTACAAGTCTCTTCACCCTTTCCTCTTGGGCATTCCAGAGTCCTTATCATGGACTGTCCTTCGCAAGGTGAACTGTGTGTGTGTTAGGGGTAGGGGCAGAGATTAGGTGCAGAAGCTAGGTAGGAGGCTGCACACTTGTCCAGGTGAGAGATGAGGCTTTTGTCTAGGATGAAAACAGAGAGGGGTGCAAGCAATGAGATGTATTTTATCCATGAAGAAGAGGAATGGAATACGTTGTTAGGAAAATAGATTGGGGTTGAAATTTGGGGTAATCTTACATGGCTTGCTAAAAACCAAACCTCCAGGATTTTACTTTGTAGGCAGCAGGGTGCCTTGGGAGGGTTTAGTGCAGAGGCATGGGCTACACTTTAGAAGAGCTCATAAACTCGTTGGGGGAGTGATTTTATTAAAGATGAACAAGAAAAGGTTGAGGGGGTATCCTGTCAAGTTGGAAAAGGAGAAGTGCCAAGATCCTGCTTTTAGGGCTGATGGAAAGTCCAGATCTGCTCACAGTCAGGCACCGAGAGTGCAGAGCCTCCGGCCAAGGGGGATAAAGTGGAAAGAGTTCTTAAAGATGTGCGTCCACATACACATTGCTCCCAAAGAGCCTTATATTGCCAGACACAGCAGCAGGAAGCCATTATGAGAGCTTGCACAATCTACTCTAGCTGAGAATGTTTCCCAATATAATTTACAAAATTTCAGTTGGAAATGCATTAGCAGTTGAGCAGTGAGGAACTTCAACGGGGTAAATAGGAAAACTAAATTAAAACCCCAGCTTCGAACGCGATCGAACGGTGTGTGCAGCTCCTGCAGTCTTCTCTAACCTTTTCAAGTCCAAAGGGCCCTTTTGTTTTCCCCAGTTTATGGGTTGGTTTTCATTTGATTTGGTTTCAGAAAGTTTTTACGGAATCCACTCAAGTGACTGCTGATGAGCTTGCATGCAAAACCATCCGTTCACACATCCATCAGAAAAGGATCTCAGAAGGGAAGAGAGGCAGACATCAGAAAACACACAGAGAACATAGAGAGCTCCAGGACAAGGGTAGGACAGACAAGGATGGAGACAGAGAGACATACAGAGAGAGAGAGAGAGATTGAAATTCAGAGGGAAAGACATTGAGGGAGAGAATGAGAATAACACGATGCAATTTCTTTCTCTAGGCTGCTTTGAAAAGTAATAGCTTATGCCCAGGAGACTGTTCCCTTTAAGTTGTACATGTCCTTTCCTGGCCATATGTCAACTGGACCATGCATTGGAAAGTTTTATAGGTGTCTGAAAGGCTGTTCACCCCTTCTTCTTGGGCATTTGGGGGGCCCTTACCGTGGAATCTCCTTCTCTTTCAAACAGTACCTTCTTAAGCTCCTGTCCCTTCTCCAAATGACTTTCCTCCTTCCTTTCTAGCAACTCAGTGTTTTTCTTTTAGCTCCACCTCCTAGAGCAGGCTTCAAGTTCTTTTTGACATCACAGGGTTAGTCATTTCCCTTTAGGAATTGTAAACATAAATGACACCCTGGACGAAGTCTAGACTGGGTCCTCAGTCCTCTTTGGAGAATGAGAGGTGTCTGTTCTGTGGGCACCATCACCATGAAGCCTGTGAGAGGGTGCCAGGCCATCCCCAGCTGAGGAGTCAGCACTGATTCCCCCTATCCATCCTAGGCCCCTCCATTTCAGAGGAAGAATCCTGTTTAGTATCATTTGGAGCACCCCTTGTGTATCTGTCAGGTGTTAGCGTCTGGGACAAAGCCTGTACCTTCACCGAGAGGACATTCCAGGAGACAGGTTACAAGAAACAAGCACACCAATACATACCACAGTTCACAGTAGAGATCAATGCTTTGCAAAAAATACTAATAATAAAGTAGTAAAATGATAGAGCATGGTTGGCGGGAGAGGTGGTTTCTCTAGATGGGGTGGGCTGGGATTGTCACTCTGAGAAGGAACATTTGAGTAAAGACTAAAATAATGTGAGTGGGGGAGGGCAAGTAGATACGCCGAGATGAGAATAAGCTAGACATTGTCAAGGAACAGAAAGAAATGCCTTTCTATTCCTTAGTTGTATTTGGAGACCTAGAGAAGTTGTGGGAAATAGCAAGTTTGGCATCCTCACTTGCAGCATGTGCTAGCGTTACCTACACTACAGTGGACATGAAATGGTTAAAGAGCAACCTCCCTCTACCCCACACCCATGCAAATGTCAGCAGCCAAGGGGGACACTTGGTCATGGAGCAGAGAGAGAGTCCAATAATCCATGCCCTGAACCACCCTCGAGCCTTCCAGCCGAAGCTGCTAGTTCCATCCACAGCCTGAGTGCAGTGAAGCCCTCTCCCCACCCATCCCTGCAGCTTAGACTAACTCCCAGACACAGCTAAGCCAGGAAAAGGCAGGTCTAGATGTACAGCACCAACCAAACAGCCCAAACCAGGGCTGCAGGCATTCTGTAGGATACAACGAACGGAGAGAGAAAACAAACCTTAGCTCTTAAGATCTAAAGAAGAGAGATGGATAGAACTTTAAATATGCAGTTGATTATTCTGAATACTTAACTCTGAGCAGTTGCACACAGGAGAACTGAGAATTCTGTACAACTGGTGTTAAATGCAGGTGGACTTCTTCCATCCAGACCGGGCTGTAACACAAAAGCATATTGATGCTGCAAACCTCGGTTTATGAAACAAGAAAGAAATGCACAGAGAACAGAGAATTTCTGCAGTCACACATGGATAATTTCCAGGAAAGAGAGATTAGCAGTGAACGTCACTGTGTGTGTATGTGTGTAATTTTATATTTTATATATATATATATATATATATATATGTATGTATGTATATAGTTGTCTGTATACAGAAGAGCACTCTGACAGGGCTCCTTCTCATCTTAGAGTTCTATTCATCATTTATGGGAAGAACTAAATCCAAGCAGAAAATAAATAGAAAGAAGCAGTGATTTTAAACCCGATCTTCTCTTTGATTACATTAAAATTTTAAACTTCTGTATGGCCAAAAATAAAGAGAGAGAGAAAGAAAGTCCTAAACAAAGTCAGAAGGCAAGCAGCAATGTGGGAAACAGCATCACATAATAGACAAAGGGCTAATTTTTATTATTTACAAAGAGCTCTTACAAATCAATAAGGAAAAGACAAACAGCCCAATAGATAAATGAGCAAAGTACAGGAACAGGCAGATAGCAGAGAAAAGCAACGCATTTGGCCAGTGACATAGGAAAATAAATCCAATCTTATTCACAATGAAAGTAATGAAAATTAAAACATTGTATTTTTAAAGCAAATGGGCAAAGTTTTAAAATTTGGTCTAATTTGGAACCCCCAGAAGCAGACTCTGAGATGTTTTAGTAGAAGTGGTTGATTTGGGAGGAATCCCAGGAAATCCAGGAGCAGAATGGGGAGGGAGAGAGGGAAGGGAAGGGAAGGGAAGAAATTAATCAAGTTACCTTTGTCACTAGAGCTTAATTCCACAAGGGACTGGGGAGGGGAAGGGAACAGTCAGAGTTACGGGTTCTGAGGGAGAGAGAGCTGAGGTACTTACACACCAGCTCCCGTCACACACTCGTCAAAGGCTGCTGAGGGAGGCTGCTGATTAACTCCCCAGCCTTTTGGCCTGCAGTGAGCCCTGGACAGCCAGCAAAACTTAAGACAAAGACCTGCAGGTGCTGACAGTGGGAAGTTGGACATTGGACAGCATGCCCTGAAATGATAAAGTTAAAAGGGTATAGGATCAGAACATCAATGGAGTCTTCTATCAAAGTTTGCCCAGAAGAAAAGAAGCCATTGTATGAAAAAGATACTTGCACAAGCATGTTTATGGCAGCACAGTTCACAATTGCAAAAACATGGAACCAGCCCAAATCGCCATCAATCAATGAGTGGATAAAGAAACTGTGTGTGTGTGTGTGTGTGTGTGTGTGTGTGTGTGTGTATCACACAATGGAATACTACTCAACCATTAAAAGGAAAGAATTAATGGCATTCTCAGTGATCTGGATAAGATTGGAAACCATTATTTTAAGTGAAGTAACTCAGGAATGGAAAACCAAACATCATATGTTCTCATAAGTGGGAGCTAAGCTATGAGGATGCAAAGGCATAAAAATGATACAACAGACCTTGGGGACTGGAAAGGAAAGAGTGGGAAGGAGGTGAGGGATAAAAGGCTACAAATTGGGTTCATTGTGTACTGCTTGAATGATGGGTGCACCAAAATCTCACAAATCACCACTAAAGAACTGACTCATGTAACCAAATACCACGTGTTTTCCAAAAGCCTATGGAAATAAAAAGTAAATAAATAAATAAATAACAAGGTTCCATTTGTTCAGTTCTTGCTGTGTGTAAGGCACAAATTCAGTATTTAGGTGTATCATCATCTCATTGAATACTTAAACTGACCTTATGATATAAACACTACTTTTATCCTCATTTTAAAATGAGCAAACGGAGATATGAAGAGGTTGGTTAAATACATTTCCTAAGGTCCTGCAGCAATGAGATTAAGGAGAAATAATGCATTTCAGGCTCACTGACACCCACTCCTGCCTCTTGACTAGTGTGCCTTCCATAGATGGAAAGAAACATTTTCCCATACTGTAGATGGAAATGAAAATCTGGCTGGTAAAATCTCTTTGGAGGGTCATTTGACAATGGCCTTCAAAATTTTAAATGTATGTATAATGTGACTCAACCACTCCACTTGACAAAGGGAAGCAATTGCTGTGCTTTTAATAATAAAAAGAATTCTAAGCAATGCCACTGGATTTTTCATAAAGGGCAGGTAAACATTTTCTGGTATGTCAATGCAACAAAATACCGTGGGATAGTTAAATATAAGGGCAAGGAGCAATCTGTGGAAACAGAAAAAGGTCTAAATGTTAAAATTTTGTTTCTTATTTTAAAAGTGCATGTAGCAACAAAGTATGTTTGATGTGACCGTGTTTGCTTAAAAAGAAAGTGAGTATTCATTTATCACTGTGCTTGTGTAAGGCTCACAGAGAACACTGGTTAGGACTGGGAGTCTGAGAGGTAAGTGGGGGAGCCTTCGTTTCTCGCTCTATACCCTTCTGAATTATTTGAATTTTCTTCCATGTGTTACTTTTATAGTTTAAAGATTCTAGTAAAAATAATCAACCAACCAACCAACAAACAAACCAATCCATTACTATCCTTGGGATATTATTAATAACATCTGGTTTCTTTGGTCCACCCTGACCTGACTCTCTTCTTCCCCAAAGTGTGCCCGTCTCTTAAACGCAGTCAGTCTCCTCCTCCCCTTTTTGCCAGGCTGCTCCTTTCCCTGGGATGCCTCTTCGTTACTCTGCTACCTTTTCAAACTCTACATATCCTGCAAGCCCTACCTCAACTACCACTCCTCCCAGAAGCCTTCCTGGGCTACTCTGGCTCGCAACCAGCTCCTTCCTCTCCAAACACTTATAGTAACTGTGGTTGTACAAAACACATGGTCTATAATCTCAATTTTCTTTATTTTCCTTCCTCTCTTCCAAGTTTGTGTTTTGTTTTTCCAAGTAGGCAGAAAATACCTTCAGAGCAGGGGCTGTGACTTACAGGAGAGGTCATGAAACAGACACACAAGTCACAGGGAGGAAGCAACCTTAAGTCCTGTTGAAGATCCAGCCATGAGCTTTTGGATACTTTGACTTGGGAGAGTGAGTAAAAAAGGGAAGGAAGGGAGGGAGGGAGGAAGGGAGAAGGAGGGAGGGAGGGAGGAAGAAACACACACACACACACACACACACACACACACACACGCACACACCCGTTGGAAATATTTACCTATATCATTAAAGAAATGATTCTACCCTTTGCAGATATTAAACTAAAGTGAATTAACACCTTACGACAAGGTCTCCTGTTAGCTTGGAAGTACATTTACATAGCAGATGGCATCCAGGGGCTGAGGGCAGGTGTCTTAGAACACTGTCTGTTCGGGTGAGGGGCAAAGAGCACATACTCACACTTGCCATTTGCCGTCCTGAGATCAGCTGGAGTAGGTCCCCTTTGGAATGCTTTCCCCAGCCTTGAAACAATTGTACACCTCTTCTGTGTGTACACCCTCCTCTGGTTTTACAACTGGTTCCACAAGCCACAGGTGAGTTCATGGCAGACTCAGCACTAGAACCAGGTCCCTGGCCTGGCGCACATGCCTTCATTCATCCTTCACCTGAAACCCTCAGTAATGCATGACACAGCAACACAAAAGGAATTTTTCCAGCTCTGCCTAGTGGGGCTGAGGCGGTGGTACCAAGCAGTGCTTCCATGTGGGAATTCCTTTCCAGCATTTCTCGGGAAATTTATGTTTTTCCAACTTCTGAGGATAATTAGTCAAGGAACTGAGAAAATGAGAAAAATATTCTAATTCCCCCATGAGAATGACAGCTTAGCAATCAATATGCAGGCATTACTTGTTGGAAGGAATCTAGTGATGTCAAGCAGAAAGCCAGAACAGGAGGCACTGACACATGAAGCCCAAGCTGAAGACATTTCCAGGAACCAGGACCAGAGTACATAGGAGCAAATCAGTCATCGCCTACTCAGGCTTGTTTGCAGTTGTGTGTTTGTGGTCCTGTAGGCTGCTAATGTGAGCCATTCTTGCAAAGAAAATAAAATATTAATGTATTTATATGTATAGTATACTTTATTCAAGTCCTGTGGGTGGAGTTCCAAGAAATTACAAGGTTGGAAGCAAAGTAAGTTCTGTGGCAACTTCTTGAATCTGTGTAGTGTTTTCAACCTTGCTAGGAGAACTGAATGTCACATTATTCAAATATTACCCAGTAATGTTCACTGGCACTTTCCAGGATTTAAATATTTGCTAGAGGCAAATATTTTTTAATAAATTCTTTGTAAAGCTCTCAGTAGATCCTATTCAACTTACTATTTCTTATATATCCATCAACGTTTTTAGATATTTGTGATAATTACTAAAGAAAAGAGTATGAAGAATGTTCAAAGCATTTTAAGAATAACTTATGATTTGAGGAATTCCAAGTTCTTGTCCCTAGATCTCAAAGGTTAATATCTGTTGGGCATTTGGAAACATGAGTGCTGTCAGAGAGGATATTGGTTTCTCAATTACAAGAGCTTTGCTGTTCAATACGTAGATGGTGAGGTCTTCTGAGGCCGCTCATAAGCCCCAGAAATAGCACATAAACCAGTCATCACACGTGTCCTGTTATTTACCAGCAGGTGAGTGAGTAGCCACCAGGGGCTGGTGATGGGTGCTGCAATTTATAGAGGATTGCAATGATGATGATGCCAAGGAGGAGGAGGAGGACGTCTGTGGGCGCTTTTGCTAGATTCTCAGTGTGCATTTGAACACTGGCTTCTCTGGGCTGTAAATTTTCCATCTGTAAAATAAAGAAGTTAGAGAAGTCAGTGATTTTTTTTTCAAACATTACTTTCAGTGAAACTTGACCCTAGGAAAAAAACCCAAAGTGGACCATAAAATAACAGCAATATTAGCTATGTGCCTTCCATGGTCCCAACCACTGTATACTTATTAACTTCACTAAGCTTCACAACAGCCCCGTGTCCATATTACAGATAGGAAAGCTGATGAGACTGCAGAGGGGTTTAAGGAACTTGCCCAGAACTACACATGAACAGCCTGGTTCTGGGGCCAGGTTTGGGTGGGCAGCAGAGAGCCATGCTCTGCCTGTTCAACCTCCATCCCCTTGGTCCCCACAGCACCCATGTGCTCCCCAGAACACAGCTAGGAAAGTCACTGCCCTAAATGATCTCCGAGGTCTTTTTCAGGTTAGGGCTAACTGAAAAACATTTTAAATACCACTGTCCATTTTGAAGTTTCTGGAATTCTGTAAATTTGTGGAGCATTTATAACACCTCACACGAGCATCACTCAACCCCTGTACAACAGAAAAGGCATGGATTCTTAGCCTGGTATTTACAAGAAACAGAGAGATTGGCCTGGAGTCATACGTCAGTTAAATGGCAGGGACAGTTCTAGAAATCAGGTCTCCTGAGTCTTAGCTCCGGGTTTTTTTTTCCCCCAAGGCATATGAAAGCACTTTGTCAAGTGTGAACACTGTACAAATATTCAGTATTACTTTTTCACACCTCTCTCCCCAGACTTAGACAAAGTACGTGTTCAATAAGAATCTGTTGAATTGAATAGCCGATTATGCCTGCTTTATGATTATAGAATGCAAGTCAGAAAAGAACAATGGGGAATCTCATGAAATATGATTCTGTTTACCTTTCCATTGTCGATCCTAATCATTTATTTCTTTCAAGTATGCCCTCTGCTATCCTTAGACTAACACACACACAAAAGGGAGCAGGCATTTGCTGATTACTCTTCAGCTGACCATGAGGGTTAGTGGCCCAGAAGCACGATGCATAATACAGTAACCAGGCTGGGATTCAAAATATGCTGCAGAGCAGCAGAGGAATCCCTGAGCTCATGCACCAATATCATCACCTTACGGTGCCATGCCACGTCTCCTGAGAGCACCTGGTGCTTCTTCATTGACAGCCTTAAAGATCTGCAAATGCTTTGACGCAGAAAGCCCAATTCAAGGAATTTAGTCTAACAAGATGTGTAACCCAAAGATTTGGTTACAGAGCTGTTCACTGCAACGTTGTTTACAAAAGCAAAAGATTGGGACCAGCATAAACGTCTGCAACAGGGAGTTGGCTCAGTATTTTATGTTAATTCTAGTCCATGGACTATTATTTAGTCATTGGAATTTTTCATGTGTAGAAAATCCTATAATTGCATGAGATAATATTCACAATATACTTTTAAGACAAAAAAAGTAAGTAATATAATAACATGCACATGGGCTCAGATGTATTATATATGCATTTATATCTATTTTATGTATAAAACTTTATATATTGTGATATACATACACACACACACACACACATATATACATGTTTCCAGCCTCATTATATGTCTGTTTTATATATAAACATGCAATGAGGTTGGAAATATATATATTAAAATTTAATAGTCGTGGCCGGGCATGGTGGCTTATGCCTGTAATCACCACAGTTTGGAAGGCCAAGGTGGGAAGATTGCTTGAGCCCAGGAGTTCGAGACCAGCCTGGGCAACATAGTGAGACCCCCTCTCTATATAAAAATTTGAAAATTAACCTGGACTAGTGACATGCACCTGTAGTCCCAGCTACTCAGGAGGCTGAGGTGGGAGGATGGCTTGAGCCCAGGAAGTCAAGACTGCAGTGAGCCGTGATGGCATCGCTGTACCTCTAGCCTGGTCGACAGAGTGAGACTCTGTCTCAAAGAAAAAAATAATTAACAGTAGTTATTTCTTCATCAGCAAGATTACAGATGGTTTATTGTTTATCATTTTGTTTATCTCTAGTTTTATAAGTAAGCATATTTGCTTGCATAATGAAAAACAATAAAATTGTGCTAAAGTGATGCTATGCAAGGATACTTAATAGCACTAAGGAATGTTTATGTTATGGTGTTAGTAATAATACTAAAAAGTATAAATAATATTTATTGAGTGCTATTACATGCAGCCACTCTGCTAAGTCCTTTACCAACTTGTTTCATTCAGCAATCACAAAAATCATGTAAGAAAGGCATTATTACTTGCCCTATTTTATAGGTAGGAAATCTGAGGTTAAGAAGGGGTGAAATTGAAATCACTGCATGTCATATTTTCTCTTATTAAATGCAGTAGCAGGTAAAACACACACACACACACACACATCTGTGCTCGTGCACACATAGCCAGTTGTTTTCCTCCGTATGTGGTGAGATAATGAATTGTATTTATTTCTTCATTTTAATTATCTCTATTTCTTTTTCTATTTTACTTTAAGTTCTGGGATACATGTGCAGAGCATGCAGGTTTGTTACATAGGTATACATGTGCCATGGTGGTTTGCTGCACCTGTCAACCCCCCGTCATCTAGTTTTTAAGCCCCACATGCATTAGGTATTTGTCCTAATGTTCTCCGTCCCCTCACCCCACTCACCAACAGGCCCCGGTGTATGATGTTCCCCTCCCTGTGTCCATGTGTTCTCATTATTCGACTCCCACTTATGAATGAGAACATTTGGTGTTTGGTTTTCTGTTCCTGTGTTAGTTTGCTGAGAATGATGGCTTCCAGCTTCATCCATGTCCCTGCAAAGGACATGAACTCATTCTTTTTTATGGCTGTCTTCTTTTTTCTTCTTTTTTGAGGCAGGGTCTCACTCTGTCGCCCAGGCTGGAGTGCAGTGGCACAATCTCTGGTCACTGCTACCTTGACCTCCCAGGCTCAAGTGACCCTCCCAACCTCAACCTACCAAGTAGACTACAGGTGTGTGCCTCCATGCCTGGCCTACTTATCTATATTTCTTATTTTCTTTCTTTCTTTCTTTCTTTCAGAGACAGGGTTTCATTCTGTCACCCAGGCTGGATTGCAGTGGCGCAATCATAGTTCACTGCAGCCTCAAACTCCCAAGATCAAGCAATCCTCCCACCTCAGCCTCCTGAGTAGCTGGGACTACAGGTGAGCAATACCATGCCCAGCTAATTTAAAAAAAAAAATTTTTTTTTTTAGAAATGGGGTCTCACTGTGTTGCCCAGGCTAATCACGAACTCCGGGACACAAGCGATCCTCCCCTCCTAAAGCGTTGGTATTACAGGAGTGAGCTACTGCACCCAGCCTATATTTCTTATTTTTCTAAAATTAGGCCATACATTTACTTTTTATGAGAAAAAGGCAAAGATATTTTCAGACTGGAAAAGAAAGCTTACCACAGAGAATCCATACCCTACGTATACCTACTGAAAAAAAAGGGTGGGTGTATTCCAGACAGAGAAAATCAAAAGGAGCTAGGATGTTGTGTCCTGAAAGAGATTCTTTCTAGGCCCGGCGCGGGGGCTCAGGCCTGTAATCCCACCACTTTGGGAGGCCGAGGCGGGTGGATCAGGAGGTCAGGAGATCGAGACCATCCTGGCTAACACGGTGAAACCCCGTGTCTACTAAAAATACAAAACATTAGCCGGGTGTGGTGGTGGGCTCCTGTGGTCCCAGCTACTCTGGAGGCTGAGGCAGGAGAATGGCGTGAACCAGGGAGGCGGAGCTTGCAGTGAGCCGAGATTGCGCCACTGTACTCTAGCCTGGGTGACAGAGCGAGACTCAGTCTCAAAAAAAAGAAAAAAAAAAAAAAAAGAGATTCTTTCTCATTCCCCTCAGACTCCCTCTCCCAGAGCAGTGTTCTGCTTCCAGGAGGACACGTTTCATCAGGGTGGAATTAACCTGGGGGAGCCCCGGCTGCCCTCTGGAAGTGGCTGGCCTGAGAGAGAAACCTCACCTACGGTACCTCTTATTGTTTCTTATTAGCACTTGAAGATTCTCTTTAGCCCAATGGGCCTTCAAAGCCTTCAAAGTAGACAGACTTGTGTACAAATCCCAATTCTGCCAATGGTGAGATCATGGCGGGGAAAGAAAAAGGTATAGACTTTGATATTGGGAAAAAGACCAGGGCTTGGGAGGGTCCAGCTAGAGGCTAAACAAGAGGTGCGAAAAATAATAATAATAACAACAACAATAATAATATCATCTGAGGCTCTTTTTGAACCTTAGATTATGGAAGTGCCCTACGTGTTGAGGTTATGGGCATCATCAGAGGCTAGATTATGGGGGCAACTTCAAGGATTTTTATATTACTTGTGAGACCACAGCAAAGTCAGTTCACATCTCCAAGTTCCCTTTTGCCTGTCTGTAAAATGTGCCCTATATTCTTACCCTATGTCATAGGATGTGGAGCTGGTATAGCTAAGTAATGCATGTAAGAGCCCAGCACGGTGCCTGGCACATAGTAGGTGCTCAATAAAACATAGGCATTTATACTATTATGACTGTGATTCATTATCACTATCGCTGTGACGTTATGGTATATTCATGATAATATTATTATATTATTATTGTTATTATTTTCTGCACCTCCCCTATTTCAGTCCCGACTCTAGCTTGACCTTCCCAAGCCCTGGTCTTTTTCCTATCCCAATACCATCTCTTTTTTCTTTTTCCCCCAGGAAAACCTTACAGACAATAATCAGATTCTCATAGACAAACTCAACCAATGACATTAACTACTATGAATATATTGACTCAGTAGTGGGTCCACACTCACTTTGAACAGAGATCTTCAATACCTTAACCTAAAAGCACAAGTTTAGGCTTCATAACTTGCTGATTTTACAGACTGATGGGAACCTAGTTTCTGAGAGAGGGAGGGTCCCAGAAAGGAGTGGAAACCACTGGCCTCACTCACATTTCCTGACGTTCCCCCCTCCCAACCCTTCTTTTTAAGGCTCTAGATTTGTAAAGCTCATTGTCATGTTTTATGAACTTTTACTGGCAGTGCGTTAAGACAGATGCACGTGGAAATCCTTGAAGTTGCCCCAATGACCCAGCCTCTGATGATGCCCCTAACCCCACCACGGATGGCATTTCCATAGTCTAAGGATCAAAAACAGCTGTTTGTTTTTGCTGAACAAACACCCGCCCAGCTGTACAACTGAGCCGAGGCATCAATAAGGCCAAGAATGTATTTAAAGAAGGTGTGGTAATACCATATACATAGAAGATTATGGATTTAATGGTTGAAAAAGCAGAGCAGAAAATAGGCTATTCGTAGTCATGACTGCAAACGTGGAGCCATATTCCATAAGTACATTGTTAGCTCATCAAAGTGACTAACCGGGATACGAAAACCAGGAGATATTCAGTTTTCAACTCACTGGTCTCACTGCTTGAACACAACCCTCTGATGGCTATATTTACAACTTCATCTCTCCAGATTTGCCTTTATTCCAAATAAATCATCACCAATGTCACTGACCCAGATCCCATTTCTTCCTAAATATCTTCATTCTCTCTCTCTTGAGCCTAAATGCAAGTGCAGTAAAAAATATTATGAATCCTTTAGGGTACTTTTCACCAATTAAAAGTGGCATATTAAATTTCTGAAAACCTTTGTAATCTGCAGTATAAAATCCCATTTTATGGTAGCAGATAATTTAGAACCCATAAGCTAATTAAATGAAGTGAATGACAACTGTATTCTCTAGATAAATGATATATCAGTCACAGATAATGTACAAATTTAAGAGACTGGAACCTTTGGAAAGAGAGGGAAAAAAAACAATGAAAAAATTTGAGTCACAAATGTTGGGTTTTATACATAAATCTGACTAATTGTATTAACTGCATAATGGAATTAATTGATGTAGTCTTTTTGCCTCCAAATCTCCATGGAGCTATGGAAATATCTTTCTGCTGTTAAGTGAGCCACCATCTCACAATACTGAGCTATGCTGTTGACATCCCTGAATCTGGAGATAGGATACAAGGCCCCTATCCCTGCCCCCATGTCTCTGGATAAAGGAATCACAAATACTAATGAAAAGGGAGAATGTTTCCAAATTAAGTTTCAAAATCTACATCTAGTGAAAATGTCTATTTCTTGGCCCAGAAGACTTAACATCTTTGAGATCATCTAGCTTGGTGTGGAGAAGGATTCTAAGGCTGTGTTTAGGCTCAGCAATAAAGAGCATAGAGATCAGCTAGAAATGTGTGGGATAAGTGAGACATAAATAATGTCAAACCTGATCAAGCTCAAATCACTCCTTTAAGAAATGAGGCATCAAACCCAAAGAAGGCTATTGCCCAAAATCAGAAGGTGGCGAGTGGTCAGAACTGGGAAGAGAATAGAAGAGCCTGAGATTTTCCCACCATACCATCCCTCAGAGTTCCCAGCAGCTCCTAAGACAATTCTGACCATCTTAAAGGAAAAGAGAGCAGCATAGTTTATGTCTGTATGACACTAGTAGACAAAGAGTGTATTCTCCCCATACTCAGATAGTTCCATAAAGAAGCGGATCCCAAGCTCCTCCAGGCTGAAACCAGTCCTCTTGGGGCCATAACTGAAGATCCACTGACCTCAATTAATCAGAGTGATTTTTTTAACAATATCAATTGAGCACCCAGACATACAGAAAAAAAATCCAACTGTATTAGGAGAGCTAAGGCAGAGCTGGCTAACCCATATACAATAGAAAAAGATCTGAAGGTCAGAGTAAAGCCGACAGAGCTCTAATAAAAATAAAAAAGAAAGAAAGAAAAAAAACCATCATAAATGAGATTCCCTGGAAGCATGGTTTATCTTGTTTCCTGAGTCCTTGGCTCCACAGCTCAAAGGGAGAATCTTGAGAGGAGGGATGGAGACTTACTCTCTGTGTATCAGGTCCAAACATAGTACTGAGCACAGAACAGGTGGGTTTTGGACACTATGGTGTTGTGTGGTCTCCTGCTTAGACTCAAGCCATCAACTCCTGGCATGGCAAACGTGACAGTAGAAAGAATTCTAACGGGGCAGAAGCCCACTGCAGACTCACTTAAACAAAAAAGGTTGATGTATGGAACTAAAATGCCAAAGTTAGATATAAATTCAGGCATGATTAGCTCAGAAAGTTGGTTATTGGATCTTGGACTTCCCCTCTGTGTTTTGGTTCTTTGCTCCTCTTGTTGGCTCTACTTTCTGGCAGATCCCGCATATGGTAGTGTCTGGCAGCTGTGGGCTTAGATCCTCCCAACGGCAAGTCTATCAGAGAAAAAGAGAGATCCCTTTTGCAATAATTCTTGCAAATATCCAGGTCTGAGTGTTTGGTGTTTCATTGTTGTTGTTGTTTCTTTTGAGACAAGGTCTCACTCTGTTGCTCAGGCTGGAGTGCAGTGGCATGATCACAGCTCACTGCAGTCTTAATCTCCTGGGCTCAGGTGATCCTCCTGCCTCCACCTCCTGAGTAGCACACCTCAGGTGTGCACCACCATACCTGGCTAATTTTTTTTATTTTTTTTGTAAATACGAGATCTTACTATGTTGACCAGGCTAGATTCAAACTCCTGAGCTCAAGCAATCCTCCCACCTCAGCCTCCCAAAGTGCTGGGATTACAGGTGTGAGCCACTGCTCCCTACCCAGGTCTGAGTCATATTGGGACTTGGGTGATACATGCTCATCCCAAAAGCACTTACTCTGGCACGGGGCAATAGAGCCCTCTGATTGGCCCAGCTGGGTTCCACACGAGGCACCATATACTCCTACTAAGATTTACTAAGCCACCAGTAAGTATTAAGAAAGGTGTATCATTCAAGGTGTAGCTTTGGAAAGAGAGGAAAGGTCAGTTCCTTCATACTACATGGGCAGAGTGGAGGAGATGGTTCCCCAAAAGAAAATCACCGCTCTGCTACCAACACCATAGGATTACCAGTGGAAGTAAGAGAGAACTTGGGGCTTTTTCTGGATAGCACCTTAGAGGTGGTTAAAAGCTTGAAAACTGGACCTGGGGGAAGGGGTGGATAGAGAAGCCTCCTGCAAAGCTCATGCCAAGTCAGTGGACAATGAATGTTTCCACATACAGCGAAGAAAAAGCCGGTGCTGATGAGGTTAAAGTTTCTTGATCCATGCAGCAGACAGAGGCAGATGCAAAATCCTGAGCCCATGGAGTGGGCTGAATGGTGGCTTCTGGAGACATCCAGTCCTAATTCATGGCACCTGTGCCTGTTCTTTTATTTTGTTTCTTTGAGACAGCATTTTATTCTCTTGCCCAGGCTGGAGTGCAGTGGGGCAGTCTCAGCTCACTGCAGCCTCAAACTCCTGGGCTTAAGCAATCCTCTCACTTCAGCTTCCTGAGTAGCTGGGACTACAGGTGCACAGCACCATGCCTGGATAATTTATTATAGAGATGGGGTCTAGCTATGTTGCCCAGGTTAATCTCAAACTCTTGGCCTCAAGCAATCCTCCCACTTTGGCCATCCAAAGTGCTGGGATTGCAGTTATAAACCACCACACCTGGCCACATGTTATCTTCTATGGTAACCGTGTTGCAAATGTGATTAAGTTAAAGATCTGGAGAGGAGGAGATAATTTTGGGTTATCCAGGTCTACCCTAAATGCCATCACAAGTGTCAAGGTAAGAGAGAGGCAGAGAGAAATTGGACACAGAAAAAGAGGAGAAGGCAGTGTGACAATGGAAGCAGAGATCATAGTCATGCAACCAAAAGCCAAGGAACTCCTGCAGCCACCAGCAACCAGAAGAGGCGAGGAGCAGATTCTCCCTTAGAGCCCCCGCAGGGAGTGTGGCCCTGCTCACATCTTGACCTGGGCCAGCGGCACTGATTTCAGACTACTGGCCTCCAAAACTGTGACAGAACTAGCTTCATTTGTTTTAAGCCACCACATTTGTGGTGATTTGTTATAGAGGCCACAAGAAACGAATGCAGACGGTCTGAGGGATGTGTGTACAACAGCAGAAAGGGTGAGGTCAGGACCGAAGGGAGAACAAGAACAGTGCTGGGATGGAGGTAGTGTAGCCACGGCAAGGCTGATGAGTAGGGCACATGGTCACGCCATCAGCAAAAAGTTTCACCAACACCCAAAGATTCCCATGGAGGGATGAAGTCATCTCTCTACCCGCAGTGGTGGTCAGAGCCCAGGACTTCCTTCAAGTCAGACGCTACATGTGTCATGTTGCCGGTTCACACACTTGGAATAATGAAGCCTGTTACTCACTGAGAAAAGGAGCTTGGGACAAGGAGACAAAACAATGTCCTCTGCTTTCCCGAGGGCCACTGGAGTGCAGAGTGTCCTTTAGTGGGGAGCATGGCTTGCCCTCTGGCTAGCATGCCTGGCTGGCCCCGGGCTGGGCAGGAAACAAGGCTCAGTTATCTCACCCTGTCCTGTGGCTGCCCTCGAAGGATGTCTCATCGGCACGCAGTGTCCATCAGGTCCAACTCTCTACAGTGTCCTCCTGGCCCCAAGGGGAGAAATATTTTGAATCGTCCTGATGGGTTTAATCCTCTTAATGGGTTACCTTTCTTTCATCATCCTGGGTTGGGGAGAGATTTCACTACCAAGAATAATAGTATTAATAGCAGCAGCTGGTGGTTACTGGGCACACATCATGCAAGGTGCTTCACAGCAACCTTATGCGGTTTACACCATTGGCAGATGAGGAAACTGAGGCACGGAGTAGGTAAACGCCTGATCTAAGTCCACATAGCTGGTAAATGGTAGAGCCATGCTCCAAACCCAGGCTCTCTGACCTCTAAGCCCACGCTCTCAGCACCATGCCACAGCTCAAGGCCAGATAGCCTGGTGGTCAGGACCCAGCTGACCCCTCTGCCCATCGCTTCTGCTCCCTCCTAGGGTCCTCACACCCAGGGAGCCTCCAGAGGCTGCTTTCTGTTGGCTTCTCATTCTTCAGGCTGCTACTTTTTAGCCGTGTTACTGATGAGAAAACAGCTTAGTAAAATCAATGGTTTTAAATTATACCTTTATGTACCAAGGATACAAAACAAGCTACAAAACAGAAATACTTTCCCGTGACAAAAAATCAATCTTGCTGATGCTACTGTTCCTGGAGCTTGCCTCCCCCGACCCTGCCCCCACTTCCCCCTCTTACTTAAGACACTCTCTGCTCTTGCATCTGCCGGCTTTGTGTAGACTTTCTTCAGGTTTCTTGCTTGGGAGACTCGTTTTATCTAAAAGGTCAATTCTTTCAGCGGGGCACCAAGCAGAATTGAATATAATTATCCCAATCTCTACCGTGTAGAATTCATGCTTGAATTCATTCAAAAAATAGCATGCAGTATAATTAACTCAGAGCCCAACCAAATCTATTGAGAAAGCCTCAGGTATCATACAGTTCCACTTACAATAGAACATTTTCATTTAAGGACATTGTACGTATTAACCCAAGTCAGCATCCAATTACTCTGAATAAGTGAATTCTCTGTTCCAGGAATGTAATTTGAAAATGTTGTCATGCAATCTGAGGCAAAAGGTCCTTTTTCATTAATCTAACTCTCATTAAAGTGGAAGCCTGCAGGTTATTTCAAATCCATTAGTTTTAAATACAGGTGATTACAATTCTATTGCACATAAGACAACAGAAGTGTCTATCAAGAAATATTGGGACTTTTCAAGGGATGGGACTGGTTGGTGGTTTTGCTGTCACAACGAGGATGAGATTTACCAGCTGATGGAATGGGAGACTCTTTTCTGAATCCCCTAGGGCATACACAGTCAACTGGATAAACTCACAAGGGGATCTGCATGCTGGAGGGAGCTCATGCTTGCTCAGTTCCCCAGAATTATCTGTTTTGTGTATTTTCAATCCACTTAGCTTTGGAAGCTTGGTGAAATTAAGACTTATCAGTTTTAATTCTGTGAGAGGCTGACAGTCCTTGAACACATGGTTTCATCTGCCTAGGTTCCCCTCCCCTACCCCTGTCTCCATCCTCTCATGCTTCTGGTCTCTGACACAAGGTCCCCTCTCCCAGGTGGCCTTCCTTGACCATCCCAGCTGGAAGTGATCAGCTTCTGCTTTGAACCCCTTCAGTCCTGAGCATCTGATCACTTTGATATTGGCATCTGCTCCCTCAACATTTTCCTCCACTTTTCATATTTAATTTAATTCAGTAAGTATTTCTTTTCTTTTCTTTTTTTTTTTTCTTTTTTTTTTTTTGAGAAGGAGTCTCACTCTGTTGCCCAGGCTGGAGTGCAGTGGTGTAATCTCAGCTCACTGCAGCCTCTGCCTTCTGGGTTTGAGCAATTCTGCTGCCTCAGCCACCGGGGCAGCTGGGACTACAGGCATATGCCACCACACCTGGCTAATTTTTGTATTTTTAGTAGAGAACAGGGTTTCGCCATGTTGGCTAGGCTGGTCTTGAACTCCTAACCTCAAGTGATCCATCCACCTCGGCCTCCCAAAGTGCTGGGATTACAGGCCTGAGCCATCGCTCCTGGCCGATAGTATTTCTTGAGTGCCTAGCAAATGTCAGGCACTGGACTGGATGCCTAGATGAGATTCTATGATGAAAGAGTCACAAACCCTGCCCTCAGGAAGCTCACATTTTAGTCTAGTGGGCGTGGGACAGGCAGGCAAGTAACCAGGCAGTGACACTAAGTGTCCCATGAGTGCTATGACAGGGCATGGTAGATGTCCAAGAGAGAAACTTCCAACCTGAACTTCAAATCACTTCTTTACCTAAACCCTCCCATCAGACACAGACCAGAATCCAACCCCCCTAACAAGGCCTCCAAGGTTCTGAATCTGGCCCTGCCTCTCCCCTCTCACCTTCATAGCTTCACATTCATCTCCCACTTTGGCCACACTAGCTTCTCTGAGTTCCCTAAACATCCTAAACCCTGCTGCCTCCGTGCCTTTGCACTTGCTATTCTCTATGCTTCTCTTTCTCAAGGACTTCCACTAACATTTTCCTCCTTATCCTTTAGCTCTCAGCTCAAATGACACCTTCTCATGGAAGTCTCCTTAACTACCTTCTAAGGTAGCCTCTAAATCTGAGTTACTCCCAGTGTATTTTTTCCAAAACCCTCAGCCATCTGAAATATAAAGTATTTGTTCAGTTTGGCTTTCTCTCTCTCTTTGGAGTATCAATTCCAGGAAGGCAAGGACTTGGTCGATTATACCTATTACAAAATCTATTGCACCTAGTCCAGAGCCTGACATGTAGGATGCACTCAATAAGTATTTGTTGGGTATAAGAAAAAAAGGTAAGAGTGAATGACTTGGGGATTCCTGAAGCTGAGACCTGTTTAGCAATTACCAGGCAAAAAAATGTGGAAGAGAAAGAACGTTGCCTTATTTTCAAATTGGATCACAGCTTTGGATAAGCTTCTTCATTTTTGACTTCCCAGAATCACTCTTTCTGTATAAATGATAATTCATATATTTCTGTTGTCGTGATTTACCCCATTTGTCAGTCACCAGGTAAATCCAAGAGATGAGCAGAAATGTTGGTATTTGGTTTAGACTAAATTTAACAGAAGGAGCCCTAGGGTCTAGCCTCTCTGCTGGCTGAACACAACATCGCAACTGAACACAAGATGGAATGCCCACTCCCAAACCCTCTTAGCTTCATTTACCACCTCAAGCATCCCCATCTGCAGGCCAACTGGTAAGACATTTTAAAAAATATATAAGTTAGGCCAGGTGCCGTGGCTCATGCCTGCAATCCCAACACTACGGGAGGCCAAGGTGGGCAGATCACTTGATCTCAGTAGTTCGAGACCAACCTGGGCAACATGGAAAAACCCTGTCTCTGTAAAAAAATACAAAAGAAAATTAGTCAAATGTGGTGGTGTATGCCTGTAGTCCCAGCTACTGAGGAGGCTGAGGTGGGAGGATCATTTGAGCCCAGGAAGTGGAGGCTGAGGTGAGCCAAGATCACACCACTGCACTTCAGCCTGGGCAACAAAGTGAGACCTTGTCTCAAATAAATAAATAAAATGAAAAATTAAAAAATTAAAAATAAGTTACATTCACTAAATATCCATCCAGAAGATATTTGTGTGGCTGCTTGGTGCAAAGCCCAAAGCTGGGTGTCTGAGGAACAGTAAAACTTCAATCACTATCTCAACTCTGGAGAGAATTACATTCACTTTGAAGAAATAAATCTTTCACAGAGCAATGAATGCTTTTCGGATTTTAAAGTTCATTTTCACTCATTAGCACTTTTTATACCTCAGAGAAACTTTCCAAAGTCGAAACACATTTACAAGGGAACGGAATGGACCTCAGACAATGGAGGGACTTGGTGAAAGTCCTGTATCTTGGAAGAAACAAAACTCAAACCTGAATCCAAATTTTTGATGCCACAAGATAATGTCAACAGGCTTGGCCACCCTTCATGAAACCATGGTATAGATCAGAGGAAATCAGTCCTCTTGGGAATTGTTCCAGAATCCCCTGGAACAAGCAAGGTCAGGTGGGCATGGCTATGCTTGTCTGAAGACCATCATGGAAGTGGCCTAAGGCTCTCCTTGACCATTGCCCTTGGAGAAAATCAATAAACAACAGTTTTCCGTTATTTCACACTTCCCATTCCAACCAGTTCCCACTTTTGAGGCAACCTCAAGAAACACATGTTCTTAAAGCTTTCTTTGAATATTCTAGCTCTTATTCCTCCATACAGTGGCACCAAACAATTCTGCAATTAATCAGATACCATCTTGTGTGTTCTCTAATTATTTCACAGGTTGTCTTATCATCCCAGCCACAATGAAAACAATGTGGGCAGGAACAATGCCTAATAACACTAACTGTATAACAATAATGCCTTTTATGTTTCTATACTTTCAAGTTTACACAGCGCATTAAAATCCTCACCAAATCCTCACCATAGCCCAGCAAGGTTGGCAGGACCAGGCCTATGATAATCCACATGTGACAGATGAGGAAATTGAGGTAGGAGAAGTTTAAATGACTTGAGTGGGATGCTATGAACCAAACTGTGACATAAAGCCTCTTCCTCTAATTGCAAGATTGTGTCACCATACCACCTGAGATCATCTTTCCGTCCAGCATTAATCCAAACCTGACTGTTCCTTCTCTTTCTTTGGCCAAAATCTTTGAGACTTTCTACTTCCCGTTTTTTCTTCCAACTAGTCCTGACACCTGTCTACCCTGAGCACTGAGCCACTGAGCCCCTTGGGCTTTCAAGTCAAGTAAGATGGCATGCACCAAAGAGTAATATTCTAATAGATTTTGCTGCTCAAAAAAGCAGTACAGAAATAAATGAAAAATGAAAGGCCCATTTCTATGATAGCTGCTTGTTTTGGGTTCCCACAGTTGGGCTTGTCAAAAATTGATGGCCATTGTATTAGTCCATTTTCTCACTGCTATAAAGAACTACTGAGACTGGGTAATTTATGGAGAGAAGGTTTGATTGACTCACAGTTCTTTAGGCTTAAAAGGAAGCATGACTGGGAAGCCTCAGGAAACTTACAATCATGGTGAAAGGTGAAGGGTAAGCAAGCAGGTTGTACCATGCCAGAGCAGGAGAGAGAGGGAGAGAAAAGAGGGGGAAGTGCCACATGCTTTCAAGCAACGAGATTTCATGAGAACTCACTCACTATCACGAGAACAGCAAGGGAGAAGTCCATGCCCATGATTCAATCACCTCCCACCACTCCCCTTCCCTGACATGCAGGGATTACAATTTGAGATGAGATTTGGGTGGGGACACAGAGCCAAACCATGTCATTCTGCCCCTAGCCCTTCCCAAATCTCATGTCCTTCTCAAATTTTAAAACACAATAATGCCTTCCCAACAGTCCTCCAAAGTCTTAGCTTATTCCAGCATTAACTCAAAAGTCCAAGTCCAAAATCTCATCTGAGACAAACCAAGTCCTTTTCACCTATGAGCCTCTAAAATCAAGATACAATGGGGGTACAGGCATTGGGTGAATGCTCCTATTCCAAAAAAGAGAAATTGGCTAAAACCAAGGGGCTACAGGCTGCATGCAAGTCCAAAACCCAGCAGGGCAGTCATTAAATCTTTTTTTTTGTTTGTTTTTGAGACAGTCTTGCTCTATCGCCAGGCTGGAGTGCAATGGCGCAATCTCAACTCACTGCAACCTCCACCTCCCAGATTCAAGTGATTCTCCTGCCTCAGCCTCCTGAGAAGCTGGGATTACAGGCAAATGCCACCACGTCCAGCTAATTTTTGTGCTTTTAGTAGAGACAGGGTTTCAGCACATAAGCCAGGATGGTCTTGATCTTTTGACCTCATGATCTGCCCACCTCGGCCTCCCAAAGTGCTGGCCCATTAAATCTTAAAGCTCCAAAATAATCTCCTTTGACTTCATGTCTCACATCCAGGGCACACTGATGCAAGGGGTGGGCTCCTAAGACCTTGGGCAACTCCATCCCTGTGGCTGTGCAGGGTACACCCCCCCTGGCTGCTTTTATGGTCTGGTGTTGAGTGCCTGCAGCTTTTCCAGGCATTAGGTGCAAGCTGTGAGTAGATCTACCATTCTGGGTTCTGGAGGACAGTGGCCCTCTTCTCACAGCTCCACTAGGCAGTGCCCCAGTGAGGACTCTGTGTGGAGGCTCCAACCCCACATTTCCCCTCAGCACTGTCCTAGTAGAGGTTTTTCATGAGGGTTCTGTCCCTACAGTGGGCTTCTGCCTGGACATCCAGGCATTTCCACACATCCTCTGAAATCTAGGCAGAGACTCTTAAGCTGCAACTCTTGCCTCCTGTTCATCTGCAGGCCCAACGCCACATGGATGTCACCAAGGCTTAGGGCTTGCACCCTCTGAAGCAATGGCCTGAGCTGTACCTTGGCCCCTTTTAGCCATGGCTAGAACTGGAATGGCTGGGATGCAGGGTACCATGTCCTGAGGCTGCATAAAGCAGTGGAGCCCTGGGCCTGGCCCAGGAAACCATTTGTCCCTTCTAGACCTCTGGGATTCTGATGGGAGAGTCTGCCACAAAGGTCTCTGACATGACTGGAGACATTTTCCCCATTGTCTTGGCTGTCAACATTTGGCTCCTCTTTACTTATGCAAACTTCTGCAGTCAGCTTGATTTTATCCCCAGAAAATGAGTTTTTCTTTTCTACCACTTTGTCAGGCTGCAAACTTTCCAAACTTTTATGCTCTGCTTCCCCTTTAAACATAAGTTCCAATTTCAGACCATTTCCCTGTGAATGCATATGACTATATGCTATTAGGATCAGCCAGGCTACATCCTGAATGCTTTGCTGCTTAGAAATTTTTTCCATCAGATATCCTAAATCATCTCTCTCAAGTTCAAAATTCCACAGATCTCTAGAGCAGGGGTACAATGTCACTAGTCTCTTTGCTAAAGCATAGTAAAAGTAACCTTTACTCCAGTACCAATAAGTTCCTTCCAGTTCCCAAAAGTTCCGCTTCACCATCTGAGACCTCATCAGCCTGGCCATCTTTGTCCATATCACTATCAGCATTTTAGTCCAAATCATTCAACAAGTCTCTTGGACGTTCCAAACCTTCCCTCATCTTCCTGTCTTTTTCTGAGCTCTCCAAACTGTTCCAACTTCTGCCCCATACCCAGTTCCAAAGTCACTTCCACATTTTCAGATATCTTTATAGCAATGCCCCACTCTCCTGGTACCAATTTTCTGTGTTAGTCCATTTTCACACTGCTATAAAGAACTACTTCAGACTGGGCAACTTATGAAGGAAAGTGCTTTAATTGACTTACAATTCCACAGGTTTAATAGGAAGCATGACTAGGGGGCCTCAGGAAACTTACACTCACGGCAGAAGATATAAGGGAATCAAGCATCTCTTACCATGGCACAGCAGGAGAGAGAGAGGGAGAGAAGAAGGGGAAGTGCCATACATTTTCAAACAATCAGATCTTGTGAGAACTCATTCACTATCACAAGAACAGCAAGGGGGAAGCTTGTTTCCCAGAATGTCTTGCCAGATTTTTGCCAAGGAAAACTAGTGTAGACTGCTCTGAGCTGAGTGTCCTCTTGGAAAGGGAATGTAATGAGAAAAAGGCACCAGAGACATGCTACAAAGCTCCTTTTTGTAATATGGATATCCAGGAGACACTTAGGGTTCCCAGCCTGTTGCTTGAAACATATATGGCAGACAGCATCCATGAACTTGTGAGTGATTTTTCGTAAGCAACATATGACCTTAGATGACCTTGACTTTCCCTATGAGGCATGGCCACCTCACCACTCTGGGGAGTGCCCAACATGTAAATGAGTGGCATTTACATATGCATAGATTGGAATCGTTCTAAAGCGTAAGAATTATTAGCAGATGATAACATTTTAATTATTAATTTTTTTAATCCCTAATTTAATTTTCTTACACTTCCAACTGATTACCACATAAAGCACGTCATGACCTAGGCATGATTATTGCCGCATAAAACATGACATGCCTGCAATCCTAACCAGCACTTTGGGAAGCTCAGACAAGAGGATCACTTGAGGCCAGGAGTTCACGATCAGTCTGGGCAACACAATGAGACTCCATCTCTGCAAAAAAACCTTCAAAAATTGCCCAGCATGGTAGTGTGCACCTGTACTTCCAGCTACTCAAGAGACTTAGGTGGGAAGATCACTGGAGCCCAGAAGTTAAAGGCTGCAGTGAGCCAAGATTGCACCACTGGACTCCAGCCTGGGTGACAGAGCAAGACCCTGTCTTAAATAATAATAGTAATAATAATAATAATAATAATATGTCATGATACTGGGCTGCTAAGACTGTTATCCACCATTTCCTTCCTCCTTTCGCCACTGTCCTAATGATAATGATGACGCTTAGCATTTTAAAGCACTTTTTTTTCCATTCCAGACCCTATACTAAGGGTGTTGTATCTGATTTAATCTTCTGATATGAAAATTAGCCTTTCTACAATCAACAGAGCTTCCTGTCACACATTAGAAAAATGGAAACACTTAACCAACAAATAATATCTTTATAATTTCACCTCTTTGAACAACCCTCAGTACCCTGAAGGGTCTTCTTCCCCTTTGTTCTTCTGAACTAAGCAAGGGACTCTTCTTTTTTTGAAAAGGGACATTTGAATTTCTTTTCAAAAGTATATTTGATCTCATTTACTGTGACTCCTTTTATTTTCAAAATATATGTTTGAATGTCTTTTCAAATCCTTTTGAAGTTTCTTTTTTTATTTATTTATTTATTTATTTATTTTTTTTATTATACTCTAAGTTTCAGGGTACATGTGCACATTGTGCAGGTTAGTTACATATGTATACATGTGCCATGCTGGTGCGCTGCACCCACTAACGTGAAGTTTCTTTACTTGTGAATACAAGATTCTTTTTTTCCTAGGGATTCTAAAGCATTTTCTGGAAGGGGTGTGTGGGGTGGGGGTGGAGGATATCATATTTATGGATTGTATTTTTCTGAAAGGGGTGTGTGGGGCAGGGGTGGAGAATATCATATTTATGGATTGTATTTATGTCTAAAATTACTTGTGTTTGTGTATAAATATATGTATAATGGATTAAGTATTATGTACTTAATCCATTATATTAAGGTATTATGTATAAATGCAAAACTTGCATTTATACATAAAAGAAAACTGGTAAGATGTATATGTTAAGAACTAAGGTAGGAAAGACCCCAGCTCAACCTGGGAGCCCTTATTTCTTTCTGCATGCAGATTTAAAGTAAAATGTTAAAAACCATACTTCAAGCCTGGTCTTTTCCCCACAATATCTCATAACTTTTTTTGAGAAATGTACTATAATTATTCTTATTTACAACTGAGATTCAGAGAGATTAAAACATTCACCCAATATCAAACAGCTAGCAAATGAAGAAACCAAGGTTTACACTAAAGTCTGACTCTTTCAAATTGTCTATGAAATATTGATTTTAAAAAGGTTTTGTTGTTGTTTTGGTTTTCATGTGTGAATTGCATACCTGTTTGGGGCTCAGTCTTAGCTTAGGAAACTGTTTGCCAGTTTCACCCATCCTCTGCCATGGATGCTAGGAGGACTGATTTCTGTAGGCTGCATCTCAGATTTCCATGTCACTTCATTCCCAGTTTGGTTCAGCCAGTGGGAGATCCTGGTGGAAGTGGGAAAGCAGTAGGAATCAAAGGAGCCAGTGCATTTCTCCTTCTTCCTTTCTGCCTTAGGAGAGGTCCCAGGCAGAGATTCACTGCCCTCCCTAATTCCAGATTCCACCTGACAGCCCACTGTGATTCCAGCTTCCATCTTGGACTCTAGCAATCCACCTCCTCCCTTTGACCCTCCAGCCTAGTGGCAGAAGTGGCTTCCTGCAATTTCTAATGTTATTTTCCCACTGTCCTCTGCTTGGCTTCTCCCTCATCTATCACCTGTGTGAACAACCCCTACATTAAATTCCTTTCCTTATTGTACTTACGCTGGATTCTGCTTTGCTGGCCTGAGCCTCACTAATCCAGAGATGAACACACATGAACCATTTGTGAAAAACACAAGAGAGTTCAATTACAATGGTGTAGAGAAGATCACATTTGTTGATCCCTTTTCCTGTATTTCAAAGCAAAACTTTACCAAGTATGAATGCAGACAGGGAGAAAATACTACCTGTGTAGGCAGATATGAAGATAAAAATCTTTCAGTGTAGTTTAGCAAGCAGCATTTTCCAGTTCCTTGAAGAGTAAGATGGTGATAGAGTTCCCTTGGACTTCACTGGCTAACTTACCAATTCTTTACTTGCCTACAAAGGGGAGTAAGACTTGGAAGGAAGCTGTTAATGACTATTAGATAAATGTAGTGTCTCTAAATCTGAACACACAAGTCCATCTCTGACTATTAGCCTTCCTCTCTTGCTTTACTTTACCTTCGCCATGTGTCTGGTTATGGTTAGTCTGGTAGGTGGCCTAAACATGGAGAATTTGAGTCATTACTGGGAAGCAGATGTTTCAGCTGGAACTATTGCAAAGACATACTACACTACCCATTGATTTCCCCTAGTCACCTTCAAGAAAACAGCTTCTTCCTTTCTCACCAAGGAAGCCCCTGCAGACATCTGTGTCTGAATATGGCATAAATGAAATATAGCAACAAATATTAGGTGGAAACATTAGATCTAATTTGGTTTCCAAATTGCCGTATTGCAGTGAAAATCTCAATACAGGCCATGGTGGGTATATCAGAGTTCTTTAGAGAAACAGAACCAATAGGTGATACATGAATGTAGATATAGATGTAAAAATAGTTTATTTGTTATAAGGAATTTGTTCACATGATTATGGAGGCTGGCAAGTCCAAAATCTGCAGAGCTGATGCTCCAGTCCAAGGGCTGGAAGCTTCTATAGAACCAGGAAGGTCTGGTGTACTTTGAAGGCTGTCAGACCAGAGAATTTTGTCTTACTCAGCAGAGGGTCAGATTTTGTTCTATTCAGGCCTTCAATTGATTGGATGAGGCCCACCCATATTATGGACGGGCAATCTGCTTGATTCAGTCTACGGATTTAAATGTTAATCTCATCCAAAAACAGCCTCTCAGAAACACCCAGAATAATGTTTGATCAGATATCTGGGCATCACATGACTCAGTCAGTACATAAAATTAACTATCACTGTGGATAAGGTGTTTTACAAAACAGAGGTTAGAAACCACAAGGATTATCCTACTTATATGAGGTCCCTAGAGTAGTCAAATTCATAGAGACAGAAAGTAGAATGCTGGATGCTAGGGACTGGGGAAGGAAGAATGGGGAGTTTGTATTAATGGGTACAGAGTTTCCATTTGGGATGATGAGAAAGTTCTGAGACAGAGAATGGTGATGATTCCACAACAATGTGAATGTACTTCATGCCACTGAATTATACACACAAGAATGGTTAAAATTGTAAATTTTATGTTATGTGAGTTTTACCAAATTAAAATATTTTTAAGAAATTTAAAAAAATTAATAAAAATTCTACTTATGTAATGGAGTTATCGATTGTTTTTATATGAATTAATACATTTTTTGATAGCTTCTCAGTTGAAAACAAAACCAAGTATTGTTTCATCAATAATAACTTGGACTTCACTGGCTAACTTACCGATTCTTTACTTGCCTACAAAGGGATTAAGACTTGGAAGGAAGCTGTTAATGACTATTAGATAAATGTAGTGTCTCTAAATCTGAACACACAAGTCCATCTCTGACTATTAGCCTTCCACTCTTGCTTTACTTTACCTTCTCCATGTGTCTGGTTCTGGTTTGTCTGGTAGGTGGCCTAAACAGGGAGTATAATTGGATTGTTTGTCACTCAAAGAAGAAATGCTTCAGGGGATGAATATCCCATTCCCATGATGTGCTTATTTCACATTGCATGCCTTCATCAAACCATCTCGTGTACCCCAGAAGTACATACATCTACTATGTACCCACAAAAAAGCAAAGGGAAAAAATAGTATTGTTTCAGTTCCTATTGTTTGCCTAACAAATCACGAAACCTAGTAGCTTAAAGCACCAGCCAGTTATTATGGTTACCATTCTACTTTTCTTGTTTGGGATCTCTCAGACAGATGCAGCCATCATCTAAGACGACTTTTCTCCCATGCCTGGCACATGGGCAGAGGTGGCTGGCAGGCTGGGTCTTCCCTCTCTCTCCATATAATCTCTCCATGAGGCCAGCTCTGACTTCTTGGCATGGTGGTTGGACCCACCACCATGAGTGTGGTGCTACAAACTGTGTGTTACAATACAGCCAAAGTGGAAATCGCCAGCCCTCTTAAATCTAGGCCTGGCATTCTGTCACTTCTATCATAGTTTAGGGTTACAGCAGTCAGAGGCAGCCCACTTTCAAAGGGGCAGAAAAATAAGCTCCACCTCTCAGGAGGGAAAGTGACAAGAATCTGTGGCCACCTCGAATCCACCACAAGGTGACTGAGCAATAACAGAAAACACACAAAGCGAGAGTACTCTTCCTTAACTTTCATTTCTAGTCATCAGTGATTAGTGGAGATGAGTATTTTGGCCAATCAAATCCTTGCTTGAATAGTTTCCAAGTATACCATCACACACAAATAGCCAGTTCTCCAAGGCTCAGTTTATATAACATTTATTCAAAGCTAAAACTCTGCAGAAATTCATTTCAACTTTCTAAGATGACTCAGAAGCCTGCCACATCCTGGGAAAGCCTGGGGTCACCACCAATAGCATCCATTATCATTTCCATGGTTCTGCACCCCAGGGCTGGTTGACAGAATGCCAAAAAGATAAACCACTTTTACTGTAATTCACACTCTGAAAAAAAGAGATTTACTAAGCAAATTAAGAGGGTGAAGAAACTTGCAGGGGGTGACATTTAGCCTACTCAAGTCTCCAAACTTTTCAAGCACTTTAGAAGCCCAATTTACATACAATTACAGGAAGGCTTCATTTTTCCACCCCTGTCAGAGGAGGAGCAGTTTCATGTAAGTGAATTTTTTCAGTTGCTTCCCCCTAGAGGCACCAAGTCATTTTAACCAGACTGGATGGAAATCTTTGCCAAACATGTTGTAAGCCTCCTTGAGCCTTCAAATGAGCTCACAGCAAATGGTTCCACCTTTCCTTAATGAGCCCAAGTTCTCATCTTGCAGGGCCCTAAAATGACAAAGGCCCTGAAATGACCTGAACACCATGTGGCTGTCTTCACTCATTCAAAACACACTTATTGGCTGGGCACATTGGCTCATGCTTATAATCCCAGCATTTCAGGAGCCTGAGGCAGGTGGATCACCTGAGGGTGGGAGTTCAAGACCAGCCTGGCTAACATGGCAAAACACCGTCTCTACTAAAAATACAAAAATTAACCTGGTGTGGTGGCACATGCCTGTAATCCCAGCTACTCGGGAGGCTGAGGCAGGAGAATCGCTTGAACCCAGGAAGTGGAGGTTGCAGTGAGCCAAGATCGCACCACTGCACTCCAGCTGGGCAATAGAGCAAGACCGCCTTTAAAAACAAAACAGAACAAAACTAAACAAAACAAAAACCACACTTATTGACCTCCCACCTTTCTGCCTGGTGCTGTGTGTGTGTGTTTAATCATTTGCTTACCATTTTATGTTTTTCTAACTTCAGGTGCAAAGGGTTGAGACAGCCCACTCCTAGGTAAGTGGTCTACCAATTTTTTTTCTTTTTTTGTGACGGGGTTTCACTCTGTTGCCCAAGCTGGAGTGCAGTGGTGCAATCTGTGTTCACTGCAGCCTCAACCTCCTGGGCTCAAGCAATCCTTCTATCTCTGTCTCCCAAGTAGCTGGAACCACAGTCATGAGCCACCACGCCTGACTAATTTTTGTATTTTTTCTATAGAAGGGGTTTTGCCATGTTGCCCAGGCTGGTCTCAAACTCCTGAGCTCAAGCAATCCAA
The DNA here is from genome assembly GCF_000001405.40 of Homo sapiens. Taxonomy (NCBI): domain Eukaryota; kingdom Metazoa; phylum Chordata; class Mammalia; order Primates; family Hominidae; genus Homo; species Homo sapiens. Next base: position 51,085,744 of record NC_000016.10, read on the forward strand.
CTGCCTTTGCCTCCCATATTGCTGGGATTACAAATGTGAGCCAATGTGCCTAGTCCACTATTTTCATCATTCTATTTTGTTTTATTTTCTTTTAAATCTCTGATCCCCTGGATCCTCCCTCATCTCTTCTTAGGCACCCTAGTCATATGTTTGATATATATTCTCTCAGATATGTTTCCTAGTAAAATGCAGATTGTTTTCTGTGTCTATGTCCTACATTAATACAAATGGTGGTGCTGTAGAATTCTTTGTTTCTGACTTTCCACTAAACTCCATGTCTTTAAGATAGACCTATTCTGCTTCTAAATGCACATCTCCACAAAATTTTCATCTTTGAGTTGCTCTAGGGATGGACAACCAGATCACCCCTAGCTCCCTGCCTCAGAAATGGTGCTGCAGTGAGCATCCTGGTGTGTGTGTGTGTATATATATACATATATATATATACATACATATATATATATACATATATATATATACATATATATATATATATATATATTTTTTTTTTTTTTTTTTTTTTTTTGAGACAGGATCTCACTCTGTCGCCCAGGCTGGAGTGCAGTGGCGCAATCTTAGCTCACTTCAACCTCCGTCTGACGGGTTCAAGCGATTCTCCTGCCTCAGCATCCTGAGAAGCTGGGATTACAGGTGTATGACACCACTTCTAGCTAATTTTTGTATTTTTAGTAGAGTCTGGGTTTCAATATGTTAGCCAGGTTTGTCTCAAACTCCTGACCTCAGGTGATCCACCCGCCTCGGCCTCCCAAAGTGCTGGATTATAGGCATGAGCCACAGCAACTGGCCCCTGGTATATCTAGAACAGTTTGCCTGGGGGTGAGGCCAGAGCTGAGAAGAAAAGATTTCAAGGTCTACATATATTCAGTTTCATACTTGAAATCAGATTACTGTCCAGGATGGCCATGTCGATTCATAGGCCACATGCAGTCCATGACTGGTCCTATAATGTGCCCACATCATTACCAACACTTGGTATTATTAACTTTTCTAGTTTTTTTCTTTTTTTTTTTTTTTTTTAACAATCTTACAGATATCAAATGAAACCTACCTGTTTTTCTTTCTATTTTTCTGATTATTAGGAGGTTGAGCATCTCCCCTGGGCCTGTCGGCCCCTATGCATTGCCTAGGCCTTTGCTCTCCCAGGCTGTCAACCCCAGCTGATTGTCCATAATGTCTTTTAGCAAATCAAACGCTTAGTTTTGATGTAGTAACTGCATTCCTTCCTGTGTTTTATAGTCCTTTTCTCTCCCCGACTAATCTCACCTGCCACTTTTAATCCCTTTCCATATTTTTTCTTCCCAATCCCCCAAACACAATTCCACACCTAAGCTTTATTCAGCCTTTCTCTGTCTGCCTGCCCTTTTCCCACACAAATTCCTATCAGGCCCTAAGCCAGATTCAAGTCTTCCCAAAAGCCCCAAGTAAAACTTATCTTTTACTCCAAGTTTGCACATCACCAGGCTTGTCTTTCTATTTATTTCATTGCATTACACCCCCTTTTCAAGTTAGTCATTGTGATCTTCGTCTCCCCCTGTAAGATGAAAAGCCCCTTGAAGGTAGATTTTGGGCTCTACCTACTTTTCCCTTGCTGGGATGAGCAGCACTGTGGCAGGCAGGTAACAAGTAATCAATAGACCCCTATCAAGCAAAAGAGTTTACAGGCTGAAGGTGAGCCATCTGTGGCCCGCCTTCATGCAACCTATCAAAATACACTGACACTGAAGACAACTTTAATATCAAGCCCAGCCAGACTCTTTCCCTTTGAAACAAGCAAAAACATGGAAGAAATTTATTCATCAACTCCAAGGCTCTAGACTGAACTGATCCCTATGGGATAGATCTTTCAGATGTGAGAGAAGAAAATGAGGAAGAGGAAAAATCTTAGATCTTCCTCTGGAAAGTGAAGATGTTGGATCATCCCATCTCACCATGGTGTACTTGCTTATGTTGTGGTTGTCTCTTTCTGCTTAACGAACCACCACAAAATGCTCCTTAAAGCAATGGCAATGACTTATTATTCTCTCTCAGTGCACCTGGGGGTTGACTGGGCTCAACTGGGTAGTTCTTGCATGGGAGGTGGGTGGGTGGGCAAGGGTTGCTGTCAGACTGGCTGGAGCTGGAATTATCCTGCTGCCTTCTACACTCACTTGCCTGGTGCATGGGCTCAGCCAGCTGGATCTGGGAAAGCCAGGGCTGCTGGAGCCTCTCGATCTCTAGCTGGTCTCTGCAGCATGGAGGCTTAACGGTAACCAGACTTTGCACACGTCAGCTCAGGGCTTTAAAGGCACAATATCCAAAGAGATAGAGAAAAAGAGCAAGTGAACCAGGAAGAAGTCATAGCCCTTTTTCTGACTTAGCCCCAGAAGTCATGCATCACTCACAGCACCTTCTATTCACTGAGGCAGTCAAAAGGCCTGCCCATGTTCAAGGGGAGAGAGATAGACTCCATATACCACCTTCTATTCATTGAGGAAGTCAAAAGGCCTGCCCATGTTCAAGGGGAGAGAAATAGACTCCATATACCACCTTCTATTCATTGAGGAAGTCAAAAGACCTGCCCAGGTTCAAGGGGAGAGAAATAGACTCCATATATCACCTTCCACTCATTGAGGCAGTCAAAAGCTCTGCCCAGGTTCAAGGGGAGAGAAATAGCCTCCATATTTTGACAGTGAGTGACAAAATTTGGAAAGACCATATTAGACCTGAACTGTTACTATGGCCATTTTTGTAAAATACAATCGGCCACACTTTGTATCTTCATATAAGCCAGAAACCAGGCTCAAGGTATGACAACAGTGATCTCTCAAAGCCTCAGATATCTGCTCTGCAGGTTGGGTCAGGGCAATGGTTTTCAAATTAGTGTATAGCAACTGTATCTATCAAAATCTTTTTCAGAAGCTTAAAATGTAAAGCAGATGCCTGGGTACGGTGGCTCACGCCTGTAATCCCAGCACTTTGGGAGGCTGAGGTGGGCAGATCATGAGGTCAAGAGATAGAGACCATCCTGGCCAACATGGTGAAACCCCAATCTCTACTAAAAATACAAAAATTAGCTGGGTGTGGTAGCACACGCCTGCTCGGGAGGCTGAGGCAGGAGAATAGCTTGAACCTGGGAGGCAGAGGTTGCAGTGATCTGAGATCATGCCATTGCACTCCAGCCTGGGTGATAAAGTGAGACTCTGTCTCAAAAAAAAAAAAAGAAAAAAGAAAAAGAAAAAAAAAAGTAAAGCAGGTAACAATGAAGCTGCTATCTTGAAATTAAAACAACCCAAAGTCACATCCACTTAGCCTCCCTTCCCACCCTGCCCTTTAAGCTCCCTTCCATCTGGAACCTTCTCTGCTTTGACAGTTGCATACCCTCAAGGGAGAACCACAGTCCCAGGACTGGGCTTCCTTCTTGGCTCCCCAACTTTTGCCTAAAGACGGAGGAAACCTCCTTCTCTCTCCATTCCCATTACCCAGCCTGGGAGAGGATTGATTTAACCTAACAGAGATAGATTGGCGAAATCACCCTTGCAGTGGGTGCTGAAGAGTAATGGTACCCAGGAGGGACAGGTAAGCAAAAAGAGAACAAACCCAGCAATTTTCAGACATCTGCACTGTCCATTACTTCATTCACTTAGATAAACAAATAACCCCCAGGCAATCTGCAGCCAGAACCTCCGGAGCTGCAGGAATGATTTCCTTTCATTAGACACAAAGACTCATCAATGCCCTTTATTCACACCACCACATGCCCAAACAGCACAAGCAGATCCCCAGCTGGCCCACTATGTCTGGACATCTACTCAACACAGGATGGAAATCCCCCCTTTCCACCCTGCTGAAGTATGGGAGTGCAATAGCTGAGAGAGGACATCAGCCCACCTCACACGGCTGGGGTTCTCTGCCGGTATAGGTAGCAGATGCAGCCCAGTGTGCCTGAGACGTTGGTAAAAATGAAGTGGCTCCTGGGAGGTGGACACCGTGAGAATCCTCCGTCTCCACTGCTCAGCTGCCTGGGCCATCAGGGTGGTTGACGAAGAAGTACCAAGTCCACTCTGAAGCAGCCCCTTCATCAACCTCTGTAGTCCACTCTGATGCTTGAACGTGTCCAGGAGTATTGTTAGCAGGGCCCTGGGCACACGCCCTGTTTCCTCAGTCAGAGGATCACATTGAGTCACACTGGTACAGGGACCACACTGACCCTCAGGCCAGATGACCAGGGAGTGACCTATCACAAGTGGCCAGAAACCACATTCTCCTCCCTTTGGCTGTGCTCCCAACTTCAACTCCCTTCCCCATGGGCCCATCCTGAAGTTAGTCTTGAAGTTAGTCAGTCTTTAGGGGTCACACATTCCCAGGCCTTCTCTAACCTTGACTTATGGGATATTGTTGCCATCTCCGATTATGAATTGAGTGAGCACCTCAGCATCAGTCAGTGGCCATTCCACGGAAGAAAGCCCCACAGAGGATTCTCTTATCTGCCACAGCAAGAGAATACAACGTTCTAATTCCGTAAATCTCAAATTCCTGTCATTTTCTTTGTACCATCATGATTTCGGCCATATTCCACAATATATTTAATATTTTTAATGAATTGACTCACTTTTGTAGAAAAAGAAAATATTTATTTTAAAGAAAACTTTTTATTGCTGCCCAAACTGGAAGATGAATATTGCACCTCATCAGTAGACAATGACCATAAAAATAAGCCCAAGAGAAGTTCACTGTTGATTAGCCACATATGCTTCACTCTACTCATTCCTGAAACCTCATAAAATGATAGTTAAGAAATAAAAAACAAAAAGGCATAAATCCACAGTGCCAAAAAGAACAGAAAAGGAGCAGAGAGCAAATGACAGGTATCAACAAAATTTTGGAGGATAGTGAGAAAATGGATTAACTGACATCTAGGCCTGGGAAAAAAAGAAGCAAAGAATTGAGCAATTCTTAGAAATACCATTTGACCTAGCCATCCCATTACTGGGTATATACCCAAAGGATTATAAATCATGCTGCTATAAAGACACATGCACATATATGTTTATTGCAGCACTATTCACAATAGCAAAGTCTTGGAACCAACCCAAATGTCCATCAATGATAGACTGGATTAAGAAAATGTGGCACATATACACCATGGAACACTATGCAGCCATAAAAAAATGATGAGTTCATGTCCTTTGTAGGGACATGAATGAAGCTGGAAACCATCATTCTCAGTAAACTATCACAAGGACAAAAAAACCAAACACCGCATGTTCTCACTCATAGGTGGGAATTGAACAATTAGAACACTTGGACACAGGAAGGGGAACATCACACACCAGGGCCTGTCATGGGGTGGGCGGAGGGTGGAGAGATAGCATTAGGAGATATACCTAATGTAAATGACGAGTTAATGGGTGCAGCACACCAACATGGCACATGTACACATATGTAACAAACCTGCATGTTGTGCACATGTACCCTAGAACTTAAAGTATAATTAAAAAAAAAAAAGAATTGAGCAGTTCTGAGCCATGATACCCTGGAAAGGCTTCTGGGGAGGTGAGAGTTCAGGTAGGGCTAAAGCCAGGAGGATTGATGGAAAGTCTGAATTGGAATCAGAGTCCCTCTCCCACCATCTGCAGCCAGGGACCACTCCTCTTGCTTCCCAGAAGATGGGATATTTATTATTTGGGGAGGTTGATAATGAAATCAGTCCTTCTACCATCAAAATAATTTTATAACACTGTAAAAGTTGAAAATGCAACTAACAGCAGTGACCAATTCTTGGTGTTTTATTATGTGGGTATCACACTCTCCTTACGTGATAAGAAGTTTGCCTGTGTGCGCTAAAATGGTAAGGCCCAAAAGGACATTGGTGGGCACTGCAGCTTCTGTTATACTCAGATAAGAAAAGATATTCCATCCATGAAATAGAAACACAAAACTATAAAAAAGGAACCCCCAGAAATTAAGAAAGAAAAGGCCAAAAATAATGGAGGAGAGCAGAGAAAGGATAAGAAAATTAGTGGATTCGTTTAGGTTTGCCATCTGAATAATAGATATTCCAGTCCAGAGACAAAAAAAAAAAAAAAAAAGAAAAAGAAAAAGAAAAAGAAAAGAAAAGAAATAAAGCTACAGAGGATGGAAAATTATTAAAGAAATAATGCAAGAAAACTTCCCAGAAAGTACAGACTTTGGTGTTCTGACTGAAAGGGCTCACTGAGTGCCTAACAACAAATGAACAGCCAACCACACCAAGGGGTGTCCCAGTGAAATTTCAGAGCACCAGAAATACAGCAAAAAGCCCAAAATCTTCCAAAGAGAAACAAAAATCAAAATTAAACAGTAACAACAACAACAACAAAAATCCAGGTCACATATATAAGAAATTGAGAATCAGCGAGGCAATGGAGTTTTCCTCAGCAACACTGGAAGCCACTAGAATAGTGGTTTTAAAATTCGGAGAGAAAATTACCTTGACTCTTGAATTTTATACACAGCCAAACTATCAATCCCATATAATCTAATAATAATTCTTATTTTTAGGTATGTAACATATTGAAAATTTGTCTCCATAAGACGCTTTATGGGGAATATATCAGAGGATGTGCTCCACCAAAACAAAGGAGTAAATCAGGAAAACTGAAGACATGGGTCCCCGACCGCAGGGCTCCTGCACAGAACAACAGCAGAGGGAAGTCCCTGATGGCAGCTGTGTTGTAGGCCTGGGGAGCGTTGAGATCGGATGGGGTCATAGGATGAACAACTCCAGGAGGGATGTCTCCAGGAAAAAATGGAGTTGACAGCTTAACTGACAGGAGGGGCCGGGTGTAAAATCAGATTGAAGGCCTTTGTACAGAGCTCCTGGAGGGTGTGGGAAGAGTCACCCAGACAGTCAAAGAAAGCCCAGCAAAAGGAAGCAGGGGCCAGGAAAGAATGACATCCTAAAACACCACTCAACTAAGCTGGGAATAGTCTGTACCCATTCATCATAATAAAACACTAAATCTGGATTAATAAAATACAATGCAATAAACTTTTGGTGGGGAGTTGGAAAGAGGGGAGATATATATGAGAAAGACATGACCACTCATTCATATTGGGAAATTAATAATATCTACGTGTGATGTCTGAAAAATCAGGAGAAAGTAGCATAAACATATCATTTAAAAGTACAGAGGGAAAAAATATAGAAGACACAGTTATAAAAATTGACAGTGGTTGTTTTAGGGAGCTAACATTCTGGGGTTGAGTGGGCCAACCCCAGGGGCCTGCTGTTTATGATAAGCCTCGTTCACTATGAGCCTTGCACTATACAGCTATATATGAAACAATTGTGTATCATTTTGACATCATGCTTGCAACGAATTAAAAATAATTCAATTAACACAAAGCAATTTGTTTCAATTTTCACTGGACATGGTTGCCTGTTCAAAGCTCTGAGCCTGAGACCTGATCTTTGTTTGAAAAGGAGATTGGAAAAAACAAGAGAGGCATCAAAGACAAGCTAGCAACCAACAGAGATTTCACTCAGGCAGGTGATTGGAAAGAGAGAAAGTATCAAAATCTAGCTCCCCAAATATTATCACCAACCCAACTGCTGCTAAGACAAAGCTGAATTTGTTGTTGACTGCAGCAACGGAGACACCACCATTGGCAGAGTTTTGATGGTGTCTCACAGAGGGGTGTAGGATGAGGGAGGGGAAGCTAAGTTAGAATGTATTGAGAATTGGAACTTTGGTTTAAGGAGGACGTCTCAATGCAAGGACTTGATCAGGATTGGGTAAAATCATGATTCAACAGGTCAGGATTGGTGGAAACAGCAAGGCATGGATTTTGAGAGGACAGATTCAACCAAATGTTAGACCACAAATTGTCTCTTGATTCTTTCACTGAAGAATGGATAGGTCTTTTGGGAGGTTCCTGTCATGAACAGTCAGACCATCTGGCTGGGCAGGACAGTCCCAGAAAAGCAAAGTCAGGCTAATGAGGACAGGAGACTAGAAAGTCATGTGAATGTAGGTGATGAGGTGTGGCTGGGTTCTCAGGACCCAGCTCAGTGTGGAGGTTTGGGTTCTTAAGGACAATGAAAGAGAAATAATTGACCAACGTTAATTAATGCCACCTCCCTATATCATCTCTGTTCAAGTACCTCGGCCTACCTTTTGGGGTAAAATGAGAATTATAGCAAACTGAATGTTACTATCTGAGAGTGCTAATTACACTCTGATAATGATGAAACCTCAGACTTGAGGACCTGAACCTCAGTGACCTTTGTCTTCCTTCAGTGATTCAGAAACAGAGAGAGAGAGGCCCAGGCTCAGGACAGGGGAGCTCTGCAGTTCCCTTACAGAGGTGAGGAGGAGCCTGCAGTCAAGGCCAATTCCTGGCCCATCCCGTGTCAGCTGGGCTGCAGAAGATGTGCAAGGCACTCACTATTGGTTTTTATTTTGTTGTTGTTTTGTTTTGTTTTGGAGATGGAGTCTTGCTCTGTTGCCCAGACTGGAGCGTAGTGGGCACGATCTTGGCTCACTGCAACCTCTGCCTCCCGGGTTCAAGCAATTCTCCTGCCTCAGCCTCCTGAGTAGCTGGGATTACAGGTGTGGGCCACCATGCCCAGCTAATTTTTGTATTTTTAGTACATAAGGGGTTTCACCATGTTGTTTGGGCTGGTCTCGAACTCCTGACTTCAAATGATCCACCCACCTCAGCCTCCCAAGGTGCTGGGATTACAGGTGTGAGCCACCATGCCTGGCCTGTTTTCTGAAGGAGAGTGCATTTCTAGTTTCCAATATCTTAGGAATTTGAGGCATTTCATCTTCATTCTTTATATAGACATATTTTTAATTCACTAAAATATTTTTAATCATGCACAATGGAAGGCACCAGCTGCATTTGCTGCCTGCATTTAATATATCCTAGGATGTTCCCCTTACTTTACTTGGCCCAGCCCACAGGAAAAATAAGGAGGCCAGGCCTGCCTGCGTTCTGCTGCATCACCTGATTTGATTTGGGGTCCGTGTCCCAACATTCACGGTTCCCTGAGGACTGCCAGCCCACTGCACGTACACATGCTGTTGAAGTCCTCCCCGCCCTGGAGAGAGTGCTGAGTGATAGTCTTTCTCCCACATATGAAGTTTGTTTTTCGGCCAGGCGCGATGGCTCACGCCTATAATCCCAACCCTTTGGGAGGTTGAGGAGGGAGCATTGCTTGAGCCCAGGAGATTGAGACCAGCCCAGGTAACACAGCAAAACTCCATCGTGAAAAAGTAAAAATAGAACATAAGTTTATTTTTTAATGAAAACAGAACGAAACTGGATTATTTATTTTCAGAAACAATCTGTGAGCAAAAATCTTCCACCTGTTTCTGTTGAGGAAAACCCCCTTCTTGCTCGGAGGCATCAGCCTCCGAGGGGCCCCGCTGCTGGGGCCATCTTTCCTTTTACTTTCCCAGATCATCTACATCTGGATAAAGACACAAACCTGGGGGATTTGTAGACCAACTCTGAAAACCAGTGAGGCAGGGGCCTTTTCAAAACGAGCGACGGCCTTAGCTTCACCACCACCATACTGGGCAGGCAAGTGGCTTTTTCTCAAAGAAGCAGCAAGACCAGGCACTCAGGTTTCCTGCAGCCCTGGGCTGAAGTTTCTATCAGATTCCAGCCTCAGAGGCTAACGGGAGATGTTTTTAAAGTTAAATCCACTCACAAAGGCCTGGGGGAGGGGTCCGTGGCAGCTCTCCGATGCCATCACCAATAACTGAAATACAAAATAACAAAAACAAACCCAAAATGCAAACCAAAAAAACTCAATTGATTTAATTTTTTGAAATTTTGATTTCAAAGCAAAGTCAGGTTTTGTTCTGAAAGCTGGACTTGGGGATAGAACCAAAGGGCAACCTTGGGCAGCCTGTTTCGCCCGCCTCTCCTGGAAGCCACAGCAGGGCGGTGGTGACTCGCTTACCTCCCCCAGCCCCACCCCTCCCTGCCCATTCCACCCAGCCCGAGACCCAGAACTAGACAGGGGATTTGTTACCGCTGATGTGTGGCCCGTCCGAATGAAGGGGGCTTTTCATTAACAAAGTAGCGGGCGGTGTCATCTTCCCCTGAGTCGGAATCATTCACTATTAGCACAATGTGTTATTATTGTATTTTTAATTGAAATGTAAATTCTGGGAACACTCTGACCCAATTTACTCCCAGGGAAAAAAGGGCAAAATTCTCATTTTCAAGGCTCTAGAAATGCAAGTTAGTGTTATTAATGATTAAGCTCTTTTTCCTTCCCCCCTGCTGCGGGGTGGGGGCCGGGATGGGGATCTTCTTATCCAAGCACAATAGTCCTGTTACCCCATCCTCAGAGCGCATTTGATCGCGAGGTAGATGACTGGGTGGGAAGCTCGAATATTTCCCGCAGCCGTTCCTGGGGTTCACACCTGGGCCGGGAAATGGCCAGAGTGTATAGATGCGGTTTCAGGTTTTAAATAACTATGATGATTGACGCATGATTAAACGATTGATTTGGAGAGGAGATTACTGTCCCGTCTATTTCAAAGAAACTCTTTTGTAAAAACAACCAAATGGAGACAGGATGATTCAGGGGTCGATTCAGACTTTGCCCACAAACATTGTGCACTCACACCCTTTTGGCTGATGTTTCTAACTTACACTAGAATTCAAAGGGCAATGGGTATTGGCAGCACTCAGTCTGCTCGCACAGAGAAGAGAGAGCATTCACCCCACCAACAAACATTTGCTGAACACCTACTAAGTGCCAGGTACTAGGAAATGGATAAATAAGCAAAGGTGAATATTTTATAAGCATCTCTGCCTTCCTAAGTTTTAGCGACAGCCCACATGTCACCTTCCAAGAGAGGTGACCCCTATTACCACCTAGTCTGAGACACCCACAGCCTAGTCACTCTCTATCCTTGGCCCTTTAAACATTTTCTTCATGGAGCTAATTATTGCTGGAAATTATCTTGCTTATTTATTCATTGCATATCTCCCGTCACCGCCCTATCCTTACTGGACTTTAAGAAAGTTCCACAAGGTCCTTGTCCTTGGCTGCCACATTCTGTAGTATGCCCCCAGAACAGAGGTACCAGGCACCTACCAGTGATTAACAAATATTTAGTAATAAAAGGATGAATACGGTGCAAGAAGTACAAAAAGTTCATCTGATCCAGACACCTACTGTCTCTTACCAGTGTCATTAATTCCAGGAGCCTACTCTGTGCCACAGAAATGAATAATCACAGTCTGGGCCCAGAGTTACTGCAAGAGACAAATAATAAGTACAGCCTGATTCAATAATGTTATAGACCATGATTCTCAACCAGGGGTGATTTTGCACTCCCCCTGCTCAGGGGACATTCAGCAATGTCTGGAGATGTCACAGCTGGGGAGAGCTGCTACTGGCATCTTGTGGGTAGAGGCCAAGGATGCTGTTAAACATCTTACAATGCATAGGACAGCCTCCACAACAAATAATTAAGAACTCTCTGGTTCAAAATATCAATAGTGTCAAGGTTGAGAAACTCTCTTATAGACAGAGAATTGTATAGGCACAGGTAGGGGTGAGGGAGGGGCCTGCAGGTAATGGTCTGGTTAGACTTTGCAGGAGAGGTGGGCTGGGAGCACAGCAAGATCACACCTTCCATGGAACCTCAGAGCATTGCTCCTGGAGCCACCTCTAAATTAAGCCAGAAGAAAGAGGGCTCTAGAAGCTGCCAACCTTCTCTTGCTTGTCAGTTTCGATATGTAAACTCTTCCCATAGGAACCCCTGATCTAATCCATTATTTTATAGAAGGGAAGGTGGAAGCCCTGATAAGGGAACTGTGAGATGACCTCATAACCCTTTGATTAACGAAGGAGGTTAAAGTCCCTGGGTTAGAAAGGAGCAGATAGTCTAGGCTGATGGGACCCTGGAGCTCACCTTCCCCACAAGTAAAGGAACAGAGCTCTTCCATGCAACCTTATGGGGTCACACTTGCAAGCCAGAAAGGACCAAGACCAACATCCTTCTTACTCCAGATTTGTCTCTTTGCTGAAGCAGGAGCTAAGGAAGGGAAGGGAGCCTCTTTGCTCAGCTTTTCATGTTACCTTTAAACAAATTATTTGTGGCTTCCTGTGAGCAAAATGAAAATAAATACAGGTTAAGAGAAATGGTTAGTGAAACCACATAGCACACAGCGACTCCAGGTCTTCAAGACTTTATGCAGGTGACATGCTCCAGCCCAACACAAGTGAGCAGAGCATTATTGTCTATTATTGGACGATCCCCAGGTCCAATATTTGGTGTTGGCAGTGAGCAGGGGAGGGGGGATTCTTTTTAAAGAAACTTGGCATTTCATTATATCTACTTATAGTCCATAGATCAAATGCAGAAGGCAGAAATGTGGGGTGGGAGAAGTCAAGAATGATGTATGGAAGGTCAGGGTCAGAAAGGGTGGGATAAAGCTATAAAATGAAGCAGCTCTTACATGGCCTCCACCTTCTCAGAAACTGGGACTCTACAACTGTGTGTTTACAAACCAGGAGTCAGGGCTGAGCTACAAATGCATCTGCCTCTGAGAGCTCCTTGGGGAGGGGTTGGGGACCTCCATGCCATCAGCCACCGTGTTAACAATGCTGGCCCTGTGAGCTCAGGGCAGATGTCTCAGGATCTTTTCGATGGCTCTCATTCGTGGTCAGATATTCCCTTCCACATGGATTAAGGGCAAATTCTCTATTTTTGTAGATGCAGAAGACAAAGCAGAAAGCCTCAGAGCTTTCTCTGGGGGACGGAATCCACCCATCAATAAGTCAGTTGGCAGCTGACAGATCCCAGCCTTGTGCCAGGCTTGGGGGAATGTGAGAGAAAAGGAGTCGTTTCCCCACCCAGGAGTTTATAATCTAGTGGAGGTGAGGCACAGGTATATCAAACCTGCCCATGGGCAACAACTGCAAAATGGCCCTAAAGAAGAAGCCATGTGATAAGAGCCCAAGGGAGAGAGAGATAGCTCTGCGCTGGGAAGTGATCAAAGAGGCTTCTTGCAGGAGGTGGTCATCGGTTCCTTAAAGGTTCTCCTTACAGGATGGACCCAGCCCTAAGGGACATTCTCTGGAAGGTACAAAAGAAGAACAAATTGTGCCTCAGGCCAGGAGGAGTTTTCAATCCTTTAGGGAGGAGGAGGTTCTCAGGAGTCCAGATCTGTCTTCAGGCAGCATCCCAGATGAGCCGTTAGGTGCCTCAAACCCAACACCTCCCAGTCGGAACTCTTCATGTCGCTCCCAAGCCTGTGCCTTTTTCCATAATAACTATCCCAGTGACCAGAAATGAGGAAGTCACTCTAGATGCCTCCATCTCCCTCATCCATTTCTCACCACTGATGGCCACTTCGACCCCTTAACGTCTCCATTCCTTTGTGTCTCCTCCTTACTAACTGATATGGTTTGGCTATGTCCCTACCCAAATCCCATCTTAAATTGTAGTTCCCATAATCTCCACATGTCCTGGGAGGGATCTGGTGGGAGGTAATTGAATCATAGGGGCGGTTACCCCCATGCTATTCTTATGATTGTGAGTGAGTTCCCATGAGATCTGATGGTTTTATAAGGGGCTTCCCCCCTTGGCTCCGCACTTCTTTTTCCTGCCATCTTGTGAAGAAAGTGCCTTTCTTCTCCCTTGCCTTATGCCATGACTGTAAGTTTCCTGAGGCCTCTCCAGCTATGCAGAACTGGGAGTCAATTAAACCTCTTTTCATTATAAATTACCCAGTCTCAGGCAGTTCTTCCTAGCAGTGTGAGAACAGACTAATACAGAATCTCCATTCGCTCCCGATGCCTTCACTCAGGATCCTGCCATTTCGTGCCTATTTGTCCTATCAGGATCCTAATTTATCTCCCCATTTCCAGCCTGGATTTCTTCTAATATGTCCCTTCCAGTACAAAATTTCTAAAATGCAAATCTGCTCATGGAAGCAGCTGCTGTTTATTTAGCATTTACTATGTTTCCAACGCTGGTACTAAGTCACCTTCTCTATCTCCTTTAGTCTTTGCAGCCACCCTCTGAGATGCCTTTGTTACTTGACAAATAAGGACTTGGAGGCTTAGTGAGGTGTGACACACACTAACTAGCTCAAGGAGACACAGCTCTTGAGTGAGAGTCCAGCCTTGAACCTCCATGGCTGAAGCCATACTCTCAGCTATGAGCTGTATGCTTTCACTCACTCACTGCCATGCCCACAATTCTTCCATGGATCTCCGGTGCCTTGTAGATGGAAGTCCAACGTGCTTAACCTGCCAGTCTTATTTCCTAGAGCTCCCCACTCCCTCCTTCTTTACGCAGCCTCCCACCGTGTCTTGCCACTGTGCACCAGCTAATATTTGTTTTAGAGATGCAGTCTTGCTCTGTCACCCAGGCTGGAGTGCAGTGGCACAATCATAGCTCACTGTAGCCTCAAACTCCTGGGCTCAAGCAATTCTCCCACCTCAGCGTTCTAAGTGGCTAGGACTACAGGTGCATGCCAGTATGCTCAGCTAGTTTTTAAATCTTTTGTAGTGATGGTGTATCGCTGTGTTGCCCAGGCTGGTCTTGAACTCCTAGGGTCAAGAAATCATCTGGCAGGCCAGGCGCGGTGGCTCACACCTGTAATCCCAGCACTTTGGGAGGCTGAGGAGGGCAGATCATGAGGTCAGGAGATGGAGACCATCCTGGCTAACACAGTGAAACCCTGTCTTTACTAAAACTACAAAAAATTAGCTGGGTGTGGTGGCCAGCGTCTGTAGTTCCAGCTACTCGGGAGGCTGCGGCAGGAGAATGGCGTGAACTTGGGAGGCAGAGCTTGCAGTGAGCCAAGATCGCACCACTGCACTCCAGCCTGGGTGACAGAGCGAGACTCCATCTTAAAAAAAAAACCATCTGACCTCGGCCAAAAGCATTGGGATTACAGGTGTGAGCCAGTCACTGTACCCAGCCCCCATTCTAAACTTCTTAAAGGAACCAACCATGCTTCCAAATAAACCAATCATCCTTGAATGCAAACCTTTCTCCACCTCCCTATCGCCACCCTCTCTTCAAGATTTAGTGCAAACACTACTTCCCCCAGGAGGCCTTCTCCATGTGGCCCAGGTGAAGCATGCTGCCTCAGTGCCACCACAACATCCCAGGTCTCTGCCACAGGACCTACATTCTACCGCAACTGTTTTTATACATTCACCTAAACTAGACTGTGATTTCCTGGGAGCACGAACCATGTTTTTCTTTTTCCTAGCACAGTGTCAGCATGGGGTAAGTGCTTGGCAAATTGTTGTTCAGTGAATATATGAGACAGGTCTTTAAAACATTGCGAGTAAGAAAATGTGCTACCAGACTCAGTTGCAGAGAGAGAAGGAGACAGAAAGTGGGTGGATTGGATGGGGAGAGGTTGAAATATACACGGTGCAATAAGTGTTGGCAATGGACTCAATGTTCGTGTCTCCCAAAAATTCTTGTGTTGTAATCTTAGACCCCAAGTGATGGTCTTAGGAGGTGGGGCCTTTGGGAGGTATTAAGTCATGAGAATAAGGTCCTTATGAATGGGATTAGTGCCCTTATAAATGAGACCCCAGAGAGTCCCCTCACTGCTTCTACCCTGTGAGAACACAGAGAGAAGGCACCATCTATGCACCAGGAATTGGGC
Source organism: Homo sapiens (assembly GCF_000001405.40). Lineage (NCBI taxonomy): Eukaryota > Metazoa > Chordata > Mammalia > Primates > Hominidae > Homo > Homo sapiens. The sequence goes on from NC_000016.10 coordinate 51,101,401, forward strand.
TGTCACCAGACGCTGAACCTTCCAGTCCCTTGAACTTGGATTTTCCAACCTCCAGAACTGTGAGAAATAAATTTCTGTTGTTAAGCCACCCAGTCTATGGTACTTTATGGCAGCTTGAACAGACTAGAACAAGTATTCCTACAGTATTATTAGTTAAGGCATTCACCAGGAATCAGGCCTTCTTGGGAATTCTGTATTCCAAAGGCTGCAAACAGACAGACAGCCTGCATGTAGTGGCTCACTCCTGTAATTCCAGTACTTTGGGAGGCGGAGGCAGGGGATTACTTAAGTCCAGGAGTTCGAGACCAGCCTAAACAACATGGTGAAACCCCATCTCTACAAAAAAAAAAAAAATACAAAATTTAGCTGGGCACAGTGGCATGTGCCTGTAGTCCCAGTTACTTGGGAGGCTAAGGTGGGAGGTTCACCTGGGCCCGCGGAGGTGGAGGCTTCAGTGAGCTGTGATTGTGCCAATGCACCACTCCAGCCTGGGCATAGAGTGAGACCCTGTCTGAAAAAGAGAGAGAGAGAGAGAGAGAAACTTGAAGGATAAAGGAGACTGTAATGCCATATTTTGAAACCTGGCATCTTGATCAGATCTCATCACAGGGCTGGTAGCCATCACACACAGCAGTCAGTAGTGCCGGTGAGTTTTATTGTCTTTGTGCAGTGGTGAATCCCTCAGTATGTGCAGCCGTTTAGCATGGTAGCTATTCTAGTTCCACCATGAGCTAGCTCTGTGATCTCAGGAATGTTTCTTGACCTCTTTACCTCAGTATCCTCATCTCCAAATAGAGATAATAAAAATATCAACCTTTTTGCCTTTCTTTGACTATAAAATCAAATAAAACATGTAAAACAAAGACTTCAAAAATACTAGCTGATATTATCATGACATACATAATAGCATTGCAAATAGTGACAAATTTAGAGAATTTTTTTTGTCTAAGAATCTCATAGCATCCCTTCAGATTAGCAGACACCTTCCTAGAAATTTCAAAGGTAAAGTTGGAAGTCATGGAATTATATGTGCAAGAAGCTGCATCTGTTGGCAAATCCATATCCCAGGAATTAAACCCAGTCATCCAATATCAAGAAGAGCCATTTGGCATCTTGTTTTTTGCCGTGTAAGCTGAGGAATCACTGGAGACTGGTCATCTCAGGGAGAAAGTAAGCCCAGTGCTAAGTAACTCGGGATTAAAAGACCATCGATAGCTTGTGACAGGCGCTTCCTGAGAAACGCATCCTGGTCAAATAGCAGCAATCATTAAATATATGAGGATCAGTCAATTTAATCTGTGCTTTTCATATGGATTGATTGGGTTAGCAAAGTAACAGAGCCAGGAGACAATTGACATTTTCACATCCTTTTCAGACATGCTGGGAGGGAAGAGAAGGGGGCAGGGAGACTTGGAAAGGGAACCTGCCCCCACCCCTCACCTCTTGTGGTTTCCACCTGTGCCTTGCTTTAAACAATCTAGAAGCTCAGAGGGCCACGATCAGGGGGAGGTTCAAAGGCACAGACAATGAAGCTGGTGCACAAGTAGCTCCTCCTTGAGTCCTGACCATGGCCTTTTAGCAATTTCCTCTCCTTTCCTTCCACTCCCCACCAAGACCAATTTGCTCAAATCCCAAATTACAAGTGGAAAGAGGCCACTGAGCCCTAAAGTCAGTGGCCCTAAAGAGCCCTCTCCACCTGGGTATATAGCAAAGGAAATAAGAAATCAATGTTAGCTTGAAATAGTCAATGGAGTCCTGCCATGCCAAAGAAAGGTTTCTCTAACTGGAACATGTCCCCAGAAGTTGAAGGGTGAGACAGCTTCCTTGAGAAAGGCCTGGTGGGGTGTGGAGAGAGGTCAGAGTACTGTAAGGCAAGACTCCATCCATTCCATCAGCCACCTTCCTTCACCGCCATTTGGGGTAAATACAAAACTTTGCTGCCAGGCGCGGTGGCTCATGCCTATAATCCCAGAACTTTGGGAGGCTGAGGTGGATGGATTACCTGAGGTCAGAAGTTTGAGACCAGCCTGGCCAACATGGTGAAACCCCATCTCTACTAAAAATACAAATATTAGCCTGGCGTGGTGGTGGGCGCCTGCAATCCCAGCTACTTGGGAGGCTGAGGCAGGAGAATTGCTTGAACCTGGGAGGCGGAGGTTGGAGGTTGTGGTGAACTGAGTTCACACCACAGCACTCCAGCCTGGGTAACAGAGTGAAACTCTGTTTCAAAAAAAAAAAAAAAGCCAAAAAAAAACTTCGCTTCTTGGGGTACAACGTACCTTTGGCTTCCATAGCACCCAAATTTGTCACAGTTGGAGAGGGAGGCAATGATTTTTGTGCTCTGAGCCATGTCCCCTTGGCACACCTGATTTCAGCACTGGGGTGGTAGACAGTTCCACATCCAATGCCAGTGGACCAGTGGCCTCTCTCCAAACCTAAGGCCACCCTCCACCAATGGACGTGGGAATGTGCATATAATCCTACTTTCATTCCGTGGGCAGGATAGTACTAAGGTGAATTCTGTGTTATTCTTCAAACTCATGCAGTCACCAAATCACTTTTTCTTTCCCCTCCTTCCCTTTTCTGTTCTCCCTTCTCCTTCATTCCTGCTTCCTGGGATCATCGCTCAACAAAATGCCTGCACCTCAGTCCTTGTCTTAGGTTCTGCTTTGGGAGAACCCAAACTAGGACCCATGGAAGACAAAAGACCAGGAGCCCCTCCAAGGGCACGCACTTCAGAGTTGACAGATACCTGGTTGGCCCTAAATCAAGCTAGGGTTGTGCTGTGCCCTCAACATGCCCCACACATCACAGGTAGACTTCACTCCCCAGAAGGTGTTGCTCTGAGGCTGTGCCCTGTTTCCTTCCTGTGGTGGGGGTGGCCTGAAGGAATGATCCAGAAATTTCTGGAGACAGCTCATTGGTACAAGCACAGCCCTTGGACATATGACATTCTAATTTGAGCCTCATGACCATCTCAGGGTGCAGGGCAGGGGACTACCCTCATTCCCAGAGGAGCAAAACTGAAAGTATTCTTGTAAAGAGTTTCTTGAAATAGGTTTGATTGATTCTTTAATAAAGTTTTCAACAAACACATGCCAGTTTGGCATTTTCTAATTCTTTTACATAATAAATCCTTGCAATATCCCATCTTTGGGGCATGTGGTAATAACACATTTTATTTCACCTCTTCTAGTCCAGTATTTTTTAAAGCATGACATATTTTAGATGATACTGTGGGACATTACTTAATAAACTTGAATCACACAGTAAAAAAAAAAAATTCCTTTTTATGTTTTCTTCCAATAATATAAAAACAAGCAGAAAGCCTCAATTTGGTGCTAATATATCTTTAGCACCTCTCCAAAATTTGATGCTCTTTCTGTTTAAAAAGGAGAGAGTAGGCCTCAGGTGAGCAACCATATCTGGCTAGAATTTTAGGATGATGTTCATGGAGTTAATTTTCAGGTTTGCATCTTTGTATAGCGAAAGAAGGTCAACTTCCATTTATGGAAGTGATGTAAGCATTTTCTTTTGAATAATGCATTAAAGCAAAAAAAATGGAGTCAGTTAAAAATATCAAGTCATTGATCATGGTAAAATTTATGAATGCTGAGGAGAATGCCTGAAGTCTAGAAATCGTTGTTGTAAGCCATTCATTTCTCCACTTAGGCTAACCCTCCTCTGCTTACGTAGTCAGTTCCCTTATTTGATCATTCAAATGGAAAACCTTCCACTAAAAGGAAGAAACCATCTGGAAAAGGATCCCAGAGATCTGTTGTAATCTTGATAAGGTCCTTCCCCTTCCTGGAACTCAGCTTCTCCATTTTTAAAGTGGGTGGTGGTAGGATGAATAAGACAATCTCTAATAACCCTTGAAACTCTGATGTTCTAGGTTTCAAATGTGGATAACTCCCAAGTTTGGACCTTTTGCCCTGACTTCTCCTGCAATGGAGATGTTGGTACCAAATTCTGGTAGCTGGATCTGAAGGAAAAAATTAATCGCGTTGGGACAACATGCAAGCCCTTTACCGTGGTCTGCAAGATCTGCCACTATCTGTCTTCTGTTTGCAATTTCTCTATTGACATCTGTTGCCGTCTCGCACCTCACCCCTATCTGTTACCTGGCTCATTTCTCCTCATCCTTTAAGATTCATCTAAGGTATCACCTCTTCCAGGAAGCTTTCTTTGATCAACTTACCCATTGCCAGTCTGAGATAGGCATGGCTTTCTTCTGAGCTCTGTCATCACCTGGCTTTGGCTTGCATCCTGTCGCATCATAGATAAGTGTCCATGTCCCCCACCGGACTGCCAGCTTCTTTGTGTGCTAAGTGTCCAGCACAGGGACTGGCATAGAGTAGGTGTTCAATAAATGTAGGATCCAGCCTGGGCAACATAGGGAGACCCCATCTATACAAAAACTAAAATAAATTAGCCAGGTGTGGTGGTGGAGCCTGTGGCTCCAGCTATACAGAAGGATGGCTTGAGCCTGGGAGTTCAAGGGTGCAGTGAGCCATGACTGCACGACTGCACTCCAACCTAGGTGACAGAGCAAGACCCCATCTCTAAAAAAATCAAATAAAAATATGATCAATGCATGAATGATTCCATTTCCAATTTATCTCATAACTTTGTAAGTCTATCACTTAGTATACAGAATTCTTTCAGTTCACTCCGTGGTCTTCCTCTTCATGTCTTGACATTTTTTCACCTGTTACCTGATGAGGACAAGGTTACTGTGTCATCTACATCAATCCAGTTCCTTCCAGGAGGCTCGAAACTTCTGCAGGACAGAGATTGCCTCCCACTTCCCTACTCCCCGCTTGCTAGGAAAACCATAGGCACTCATGAGTAACTATAATTGTCCAGAGAGACACAAACTCCTCATTAACACAAATGGAATGTCCTCCAGGCCCCTGACACTCCCCCGTTTCTATTTTGTACCTTTCTAAGTCAGGCCCATTCTGCTGCTCCTAAGTCATAGCCTCTATGAGCTATAGTATGCCAAAGTACCAGATACAATTATATATGGGGGAAAGAAATTTCTATTTTGGTCTCAAGAAAATTATGTGATTTTGCTTAAGTTCAATTTTAAAACATGGAATATGACTGAACTTAATGTTAGTACTTAAGAAAAATGTTCACGGTAATTACAGATGAAGATACATATCTACAATTTATTTCAAATTTAGTAATACAAAAAAATTCTGGATCCTAACATAACTATTTATAGCTTGGCCAGGAGAACTCTAAGGATACCAGTTATTTCACCAGAATAGGTTATTTTTCATGTATCTTATTTAAGCAATAATGCATGACAGAGCATGAATTATGGCATATTAATTCTCACCTAGTGTGCTATTAGGCTAACGTTGATGGCTGAGAGCTGTCAGTGCAACTAGGCATGAATTACTATCTAATAATTCCCCTGCTGAAATGTCTTATTGAGATTATAGCATTTTATTAGTAAAGGTTATTCCTTTAAAAATGTTTTTGTATGCTAATTGAGAACAGGGGGCTCAGGAAGGGAAAAGCTTCTCGGCTTTCCCCAGTAGCCATTTCTGAAACTTCTCTTTGAGGTCCCCAACACTTCACCCTTGTTGACACACAAATATCATCTTTTGGAAGTTTTCTTAGACACTTGGCACAGAGGAGCCCCTCAGCAGTTGGGAATCTGGACGCAATAACTTGCTTTGGCCAGAGATTTCATTCGATGAAATTCAAATGGGCCTTGCAAATGTGAGTCTGGCCCCGTGAGGTGCTAAGGGAGAAGGCAGCATGCTGAAAATTCTTCCAGCACCAGCGGGGAGGCCACTGGTGAATATGGCAAGGACAGTGCAAGGTTGGAGTTTGAGACAGAGGGTTCAAATCCTGGCTGTAGCACTTGCTAGCTGCAACTCTTGGGCAAAGTCCTTTAACCTTCTCTGGCTCACAGTTTCCTTCTAATATAGTGGGCATTCTCCCCACCTCCTGAGCCTGATGCAATACAGAAGTGTCCACTGCCTGCAGCCCCTCTCCTTACCTACCTGTTCCTATATTGAAGCCAAAGTGATCTGTGTTACAGGCTCATCATTTGAAAGTCAGCATGTGCTGCCATCTCCTGCAGTGTCTCCTGTGTCCCTCACACCTCTCAGAGCCCAGACCAGAGTGTGGCCCCTGGAGTCATAATGATGAAGGTCATGTACATGTTGAAGGGCCAGAGCCCGGTGCAGGGCACCATCCACTTTGAGCAGAAGGAAAATGAACCATTTATGGTGTCAGAATGCATTACAGGATTGACTGAACGCCAGCACAGATTCCATGTTCATCAGTTTGGAGATAATACACCAGGCTGTACCAGGGCAGTTCCTTACTTTAATCCTTTAACCAAAAACCACAGTGGGCCAAGGATCAAGAGAGGCAGGTTGGAGACCTGGGTAATGTGGCCGCTGGCAAAGATGTGTCGCCAACATGTCTGTTGAAGATTCTCTGGTCTCACTCTCAGGACACTATTCCATCACTGCCCACACAATGGTGTCCATGACAAACCAGATGACTTGGGCAAAGGTGAAAATGAAGAAAGTACAAACACAGGAAATGCTAGAAGTTGTTTGGTTTGTGGTGTAATTGGGATTGCCCAATAAACATTCTCTTAAATGTGGTCTGAGTTCCATTAACTCATCTATTATCCTGCTAGCTGTAGAGATGAAATTTGATAAACATTAAACACTGAAATCTTTATTTTTTATTTTATTTTATTTTTTTTTGTGGCAGAGTCTCACTCTGTAGCCCAGGTTGGAGTGCAGTGGCATGATCTCGGCTCACTGCAAGCTCCACCTCCCAGGTTCACGCCATTCTCCTGCCTCAGCCTCCTGAGTAGCTGGGACTACAGGTGCCTGCCACCACGCCCGGCTAATTTTTTTGAAATTTTTTAGTAGAGACGGGGTTTCACCGTGTTAGCCAGGATGGTCTCGATCTCCTGACCTCATGATCTGCCTGCCTCAGCCTCCCAAAGTGCTGGGTTTACAGGCGTGAGCCACTGTGCCCGGCCTGAAATCTTTAAAAGAAAATAAAAAACTCAGCATGGCTTCTCTCCTGCCCCTGGCGTAGAGATTAACAGTCTTATGCTGGCTTCTATTTTTAAATTTTTAAAAAATAATTCCAATTAATTAATTAATTTAGAGACAGGGTCTCACTCTGTTGCCCAGGCTGAAGTACAGTGGCACAATCATGGCTCACTGCAGCTTCAACTTCCTGGACTCAAGAGATCCTCTTTCCTTGGCCTCTTGAGTAGCTGGGACCACAGGCACACACCACCATGCCCAGCCAATTTTTGTATTTTTTGTAGAGATGGGGTTTTGCCATGTTTCCCAGGCTGGTCTTGAACTCCTGAGCTCAAGTGATCTTCTCACCTTGGCCTCCCAAAATGCTGAGATTATAGGCATGAGACACCGCACCTGGCCCATATGCTGGCCGTGCCTTATTGGGATGAGGGCTATTGTGGTCTGGGTTCTGGTTCCTCGGGCTTCTTTCTGCTCTTCCATTAGGTTAGGATTCCCCTGCCCAGGGACTGTCACCACTTCCTAACCCCTCCTCCACTCTTCCTTCATGTTAGCCTGTCACTAGTTAAGTCTTTCACACAATTCAGATCTCAGCTAAACTAGAGAAGCCTTCTCTAAATCTATGCAGCAGGCGTTCTGGATCTCCTCCTTCTAGGCGCATGGGGGATTGCCCATTCCCATTCTCCTTCAAGTTGGGTGTGGCCATGTGACTTCAACTGGGGATGAAATGTGGACAGAGTGATGTGTGTTGCCTATAGGAAGAAACATGCTTTTATTTCCCCTGTGACTGTGGAAGCAGGGTTGAGATGAAGCCCCTCTCATTCTGTTTCTGAGTGAACGTAAGAAGCAGAATGTCCCTTCTGACCTACCTGAGAGAAATAAATAGCTCCTATTAACCCCATGAGGATTGAGGGCTATTTGTTACACAGCAAAACCTAACCTAACCTGCCTGATACACCCACCCTACCTTAATCGGTCCACCCTCTCCTCATGCTTGGGCAAGTCCTTATGTAACACCTTGGAGTCTGTCTCCACATTACTTACCATGACTATAAATAGTTTTGTGTAATTATTTTCTTAGTGTCTATTAGCTCCACCAGTGTTTCATAGTTCAACAGATTCAAATTTCTGATGCATAGGTCAAAGATGACTCCTACCCTCTGAGCAATATACTCTGTCTCAAGTTTGCTGTGTGACCTTGAGCAAGAGTCTTCTGCTCTCTGGGCCTTGGCTTCCTCATTTGTTAAGTGAAGGTAATCTTTTCTGGTACCTTCCATATGTGGGGTTGGGATATAATAGTAAAGTATGTATTTCTGTATTAATAAGTTGCACAAATACATCCTGTTGAGCAGGAAATCAGAATCTTCACACTGGGGTGAAGATTCAGTACCCAAGTCCTGAAAGCTGCATGGCAGCTGGCATGGCAATTCCCACTTAGAAACCTCTTTGTAGTGTCCTTAGGCAATGTCAACCCTAGGACGGCCCCCACTGAGGACAAGAATAAAAACACATTTTCTCAGAGAAGCTGGTGAGCATCCTTTCTGATTTGAAATATATGAGGGTTGCTTCGTACAACACAAAAATGAGACTGGGAAACAATAATTTTGTATCCATAGGCTACTGGCAAGAGAGAGGCTTATCTGGTCTTTGGAGCTCAAGAAACCTTCTCACTCCCTCCCTCCAAAACAAAAGAGAGTCTATGAGAACAGAACCAGTGAAGTTGCTCACATATTACAAAATCAATGCCCATCAGTGCCGAGCTGCTTGGCTGGCCCACCTGTGAACAAATGTGCCAGAGCAGACACTGCCCAACATCCACATAAGCACTGCTTCGCTCTCTGAACAGTTTTTACAGCCATAATTAGGTTTTGAAGGGATCCAGGAGAGCCCTTCACAAGGGAACAACCAAACTAAAAGGCCAAGGAGAAATCATATCCTGAGCCCTCTTAGTGGGACAACCTGTCTCTCAAATGACAATTTTTCTGTGGAGGCATGGCCTCAGGGGAGGGGTGGCCGACAACACAATGAGGTCTCCAATAAATCCTTGAGAGCCTAGCATTTCGAGACTCTCCACTGTAGCTTGGGATTCTCACGTGACTTCTGGTTTGACTCTGAAGCTGCTTGTGTCTATGTGTACTCCTAAATACAGAAAGAATCCAAATTTTCTTTCTGGAAGTCTAGGGGCAGACAGGAATCTGAGCTTCACCCTCCTTCCTTTCTGACCCCTTGTGGAAAGCTGGCTTCTAGTCTATGACAAGGCTGAGGGGTACAAGTGATGCATCCAAATGTTCTTTTAACCCTTAGTGGGCCCCAGGTCTCCACATGTCAGGGAGGATTTACTTCAGTTTCAATCTTTGTCCAAAGTCCCCATTTCTGTCTCTGCCAGGAGATAGCCTCAGAGATCAGCCCAGAGTTAATAAACAAGCTGCAGGCATCATTTGCAAAAGAAACCAGAGGCCAAGAATTACTGCATGGCAAAGGTGGTCACTTCTTGATGACCTCATCTACCCTCTGTACAAGATATGTATGTTATCTCCTTAGGAAGAAAGCCACCTGTTAGCGAGAACCGTGCCCTGCCCATGTGTACCTGCTCAGAGGCTGAGTTCTGAGAACCATGTGATTGAGAAGAGACTGAAGAGCAAGAACCCATTGTAGAGATAGGATTACTGAGGCAAGAGGAGCAACTAACTGTGATCAAAGGGAATCAAGGCCTCTCGATTTTCTCTGTGGGTTACCCACTAAACCAGAACACATGCATCAGAACCTCATGGTGCTTGTTAAAATGCATATTCCCAGGCCCTGTGCCAAGATCCACCACAACAGAAGCTCTGGAGCTGGGGCTCTGGAATCTGCAGTTCTAGCAATTTGGAAATCAGGAGCCTAGATTCATGCTTTCTCACACGCCCTCAGCCAACATGATACTGATGAGCCATGAAATCCAAGAATCTCTACAGTAAAACTTAATTCCTCCCATGTCTCTTTAAAGTTACCTTAAAAGGAGGCAGATTTGAAAGTCGACAAAGACAGCGCATTAGCAAGAGCTAAACTGGCCCAATGGACAAATACAAGTTTCTAAAAGTCCCTTTCTTCTGAATAGTATTTATCGGGTGGTTGTGGTTGCTGTTATTAAAAATCCCTTCTCTATGCACTTGTGCATAATCCAGCCTATTTCTGAAGCCGTCCAAAGGAATCTGAACCAGGTGTCACCAATTTTGGACCAGCCTCAGAGAAAAGTAGTGTGGAGACAATGTCAGGTCTCCAGTCCCAGGACTGTACCTCTCTCCAGGCCATGAATTTCAATTTCTTCCTCCTCTTCCTCTGGAAGTGAAGTTCTTCCCTGCCCTTGCCTCCTCGGAGGTACACTTCCCCTCTCAGTAAGCAGCTGCGCCCTTCTTGGCAGCTGCTGCAGATTAGTAAATTACAAGTTCGAGATTAAAAAAGAAATGACTAAAGAATAAAACCTTTAGTCTGGCGATTTGAAGTCAGACTGCCACAATGAACACCTGTTGAGAAAGACCATTATTAGAAACTGGAGGCTCTGGGTGAAAAGATCACTGTGAATTAATTTTGATTGCCTCACGAAACTCTGCATAACAAATGATCTCCAAAGGGGGTGTCATTGGACTTGCATTTGAAGGGGGTGGGGGGGAGATTTTGTTTCGAGCAAGGTAATATAAGCTCTACCATGACATTAAAATCCACCATTGGTTGCACTTGTCTGTATCCCTCTGTTGAAACAGATTGTGCATGCTAAGGTTACCATGTATTATGCTTCTGGGGAAAAAAGAGAAACAATTGATATCAAAATCTTTTAAAAAGGTTAGTTGAGAAAGCATGAGGTCAGAGACTCATGACTCCCAAATTGTTAAATCGTTTATTTATGTCTGTGTCTATGTAAATGGAGATTTGGGTGTGCTCTTGGTGATTTAACAGCCCTTGTTTTATTTTTTTAACCATATACACACACACACACACACACACACTGCACACCTCTATAATTTTTTTTGTAAGGGAAGAATAGAGTGAAAAATATGTTAAGAAATGGATTTGCTTGCAGTTGGATGACCTTTGTACTTTGTAATGTCATCAGAAATGAGAAAAAGGCGTGAGAGATCACAAGGTACTGTGGAATAGTGGGGCTGGGTGGGTGATGGGGGGAGGATACACTGAATATTAAGTAGTTTCATTCTTTCCTGAAAAGAAAGAGACTCCAACTAAAATATGCCGGCGTCCTACCTGTCTGTCAGCCCTTGATTAAATCTAAAAGCAGGCATCCCATCTGTTTGCCCAAATGAAAAGTGTAATATTCTACTAACTACTTTATATTATTACTCAACTTCAGAGTTTCCTGCAAAATGATCCTCAGTTCATCTGAAGTTTATCTGGCTCACAAAAAGAAGCTCCAGAAAGCTTTGTGCTTTTAAGCTAATAAGCAGTATACCCAGCTGACTCTGTGGCTGAATTTTCAACACTTGGCCATTAATATCACATGAATTTTCATAGCCGTGGACTTCCATTTGTTATGAGACATAAAACCTGGAAGCACTCGGAGAGCCATGGATAACTATGAATATAAGCAAAATCTTAATCCTCTGCCCCAGTCAGACTCTTCCCAATAGTGAGAGTGTGGAAGTTATACAACTGTGTTGGGTTATGTAACAATATTTCCCTGACCAAGCGTATCATTTTATTACATGATTCATAATTTGTTCTTTCAAATGTGTTGGGACTTAGCCCCAACGTCCGAGCAGAACACATGCAAGAGCCCCCATCCCCAAACCTCCAAGGGGCACCAACTCTCACAAAGTTCGAAGATGCTTCTGGTGCCTGCTTTTGTTTCTAGGTCATCAGAAAGATTTGGGGAAGCTTGCTGTGAGCGGAGCCTACTTGGGTTGCCTACAAATGCTCTCTCTCCACGAGCAAACGCTTTTAAAAAGAATTCCAATTTCTGCACGATTTGGAAAATCTCTGGGGGGTTCCTTGGAGATATTAGATAATTGAATACAGCTTTCTCCCATTGGAAAAAAAATCCTCACATCCAACAACATCCCCCTAACTCCCAACGTCCCTTAGCACACCAGTCAATTTTATGACAAAATTAATCTGCAGCGTGACTTGTGGAGCCCCAGAGGGAGGTCACGGAGGCCGGTAAATATGTAAACGTGGGTTTTTCGGTTTCCGTTTCGCATGAATACAAAATAAACTGCGGCCCTGCCCACGCTGGAAAGTTCTTCCTTAAAGTTAATAAAATCTGTCAACTTCCATAAAGGCCGAGAGAAAGGGGGTGCACAGGTGCAGACGTTCGGGCTGAGGCTCGAGAAGTCGAGGCAGCTAATAAAAAGCCCTGGGCACCGCGCGCCTCCTTCCCCATCAATTCCCATCAAGCGTTATTAGAGTCATCTGCCGTCTCCGAGGTGCGTCCCCCGCGCTCGCCCCGCAGAAGCGACAATGACATTTGGCTGCGCTGCAGGTGCGGCTGTGTGTGGCCGCGCGGCCGGAGTGGGGCCGCCTTTGTGGCGCTCGGGTCCTTTGATCTGGGCCACAAAGGGCCGAGAAGCTGCAGCCCCCGGCTTTCTGCGGACGACTCCGCCCGGGCCTGGGAGGGGGCAGGATGGGGGTGGGGGCGAGGAGGGAGGAGAGCCGGGAGAAGGAAGGGGGCCGCAGGAGGGGGTGATCCATAATATTTATTTCAACAATAGCTTCAAATCTTTTTAAACATCATAAGAACACGGCTCATTAAACCCACAACAGCCTTGAAATTGTGTTATAAAACCGCAAAACAGAAATCAATACATTTGCTAGAAAGGAGGTAATGAAATATATTGAGTTGCCTGAGAAGTGGTTTGTATGAATCATAATATTATTATGTGCGCATCAATTCCATTTCCAATACTTAAAGTTAACCAGCTAGCGAAGAGCACCCTGAACCCTCGTTAAACAAGCTCTCCCCGATTATTTGCTAGCCCAGCCCATCCTATAAATATCCTGGGGCGGGGGTCCGATCAATGCGGCCCACCCTAGAGCTTCAGCTGCTGCAGGCCTATTGCTTCCCGGCCTGATCAATACACGCTCACAATGGCCAGAAGAAAGCCAGGGGCAGGCCCGGAGCTCCAGGCTGGAGCCTCCAGCCCAGAGGAAGAGCATGGCCAGTTTCTACAAAGGGGCCTTTGGCCAGCTGCTCGTCTCCTCCCAACCAGAGACTGCAGCTTCCCTCCCCAGCCCTCTGGTGAGGAGGTCCGGGTTCCTACTGCTTCCTCTACTCTAGGGTGTGTGAATATGAGCAACCAGGTCCCTGCACTCAGCACCCTAGTATCCACCCCATGCAATGGGCAAGCTGCAATTTGTTTTCTCATTCCTTTGTTTGTGAATGATGCTGTATTCTTTACGCTGCACTGTCAGTGAATTAAAAGTGGATGCATGTTCCTCATTCTCCTTCTTGATATATTTCGAGTAGGACTCAATTCTATAATGTACAGGAAGCTGAAAATCAGGGAGAGATTCTGGTTTTCTGGGGTCTGTAGCTTATGCAATTTGGAGGAGAGGCTCTCTTCAAGAAAAATGATCATACTTTTGCAAATTTCATAAAAATATATGAACACATTGCTAAGATCGTTCCCAGGTCTTAGAGGGGGCTTGGTGGTTGGGGACCCCAAAGCTGGAGCTTCATAGCTTCTGCAGGAGTCTAAGCCAGAGGAAGGCCAGGCTCCCTGAAATTATCCATACATTTCTGTGCTGCCTCCACTTTCTGGAATGTGTGTCCCCTAAAGGATGCAACTTTGGCTTTCTTCCCTCTGTGTCCTGAGAAATAGTGACCATCACCTAATAGGTATCGGGTGAGCAGGTGGATCTGGGAGTGATTAGCTCTGTAGGGTCAGCCTGGAAGCCACAGGCTCGTGTCTCAGCCACAGCAATTTGTCTGAGGGCTTGAGATGGGCAGCCTCTTTGTACACCTTCTGGCTCCACCTGTGGCCTTTGCACCCGTGCATTTGGACTGACTTAAAACAAGAACTGGTTGACTCCTGGAACATTCTCGGGTAGTCAGTAGAACACAGGACAGCCGCATGTAAACCCTTACATGTGAACACGGGCACACACACCATGCCAGGTCAAGGAAGGCGTGACTCCCCAGGTAATCCACGTGCTGATAAGGCTCTTTCTGGTTTTGGGTTGCCACTACCTGGAAGGCAGGGAGGAGGTAGAAGGGGTGCAACGGGTGTTTAGTGAGTAGAGGCCAGGGATGCTGCCAAATATCTTACAAGGCACAGAGCAGCCTCCAAAACAAAGAATGTCCAACCCCAAATGACAATGTTGCTGAGTTTGAGGGACCTTGGGCTGAGGCTGCACCAACTTTTTTCTTTTAAGAATTTACAGTGCTGCTGTAACTGCGTCAACCACAGTTTCTTTGACATTCTCTCTAAATGGGTTTGGGGAATGCTGAAACTCCCTGTTCCTCTTCTGCTATAATATCATGGCTGGGGAACAGGACTTTTATTCCAGCCTTCCACCTGTTTACCACCAACAGCTGTTGTCCCCAGTATGCTGCTGCTGCTCCTGTTGCTGCTGCTGCTACAGCTCCAGGCCCTTGCTCTGGTGCCACTGGAGCAAAATCTCTCCCCAAGACCCCGGGTGAAGAGTGCTGCTCCAACACAACAACCAGTCACCTGCTTGCTGAGGGTTGGTTGTCATGCTCCTGCTTGGCCCACAAGGTATCTGACTTGATTCATTTCAGAATCATTGCAAAATCATTGCAGATTCTGCAGTACAAATACAGGAATCAGACAATAAATGTGCCTGTATTTCAGTATCTAAAAGCTGGGTGACAATAATTTTTCCAGCACTAGACTTTCTCCCGCTGATGTTGTTCTTATTTTCCAGCCCCCTTCTCCTTTTTCCCCTCCCCCACTGCTTGTTGTCTCGTGCTTATCCCAGAACTGATCATCCCTACCGTCCTGGCCGTCTGCAGAGACAGACTTTGCAAGAACCCAAGTTTCTGCTGTCACTGGCCAGGAGAGATCAGTGGTCACCTGAAACAGCACAAATGTGATTTTCTTTGTCTGGAGAGGGGACTGCAATTCCTGCGACATAATCCCAATTATGCACAATTAGCTGACTCAGGCCAATGCTGGCCACTTATTGACCAGGCAGATGCTCACCCAGGCTATGATTTTGTCATTGCAGAACCTGGAAACCAGTGTAATTTGAGCACAGAAAATTGAGAAATAGCCCCATATTTCCATACCTACAGATAATCCCCTTATCATATTAAGAGCCAAACTAGAAAGTAATCTGTTCTGTGTTTTTTTTTTTTAGGGTTTTATTTTATTTATTTATTTTATTTTATTTTGAGACAGAGTCTCGTTCTGTCACCCAGGCTGGAGTGCAGTGGCGTGATCTCGGCTCACTGCAAGCTCCGCCTCCCAGGTTCACGCCATTCTCCTGCCTCAGCCTCCCGAGTAGCTGGGACTACAGGCGCCTGCCACCATGCCCGGCTAATTTTTCGTATTTTTAGTGGAGATGGGGTTTCACCGTGTTAGCCAGGATGGTCTCGATCTCCTGACCTTGTGATCCGCCTGCCTCGGCTTCCCAAAGTGCTGGGATTACAGGCGTGAGCCACCGCGCCCGGCCTAGAGTTTTATTTTAAAACATTATCCTTAAAATTGTTTTTAGTTCCAGCATGAATCTGAGAAAGGAGACTAAAAGAAAAACTCTATGGGATAAAATTCTCCATATTGTAGAGCTCAGAAATGCCTAAGAAAAATTAGCCCTGATGATTTAATTGTAAAACTTTGGAGAAGGACAAAGTTTAGAAAAACAAAAAAAAAAATTGCCCAGTTCTGAACACATTAAACTAACTCAAACAAAATAACTCAATCCTCCTTTGAGTCAGAGTTTGTCATAAAAAAGTGTTTTTTTTTAAACCAAGCACACAAAACATTAGGAATTCCTCCAAAGTTTTAAGCAATTTATTCTTGTTTACTATGTTTATGATCTACAGTGTACCCATGAAGTCTGGAAACAGACAAATATTTAATAATGTGGTCAAAGACATCTTCAGTCATAAAAGCAACTCATAATATCTACATTTCTAGACTTCATGGACATCTTTTATTATCACTGTCATGTAGACAATACAAATGAAAATCTAATTAACATTTCTCATGCCATATGCAAATATGTAGGCAAGTTGAGAGTAAATGTATCTTCTTTTACCTGACAATGTATTACAGTTGTGTAAATTTTTCAGAGTACAGATCAAATTTTAAACTATTGAAGATGCCTTTGTAAAGTGAAGAATCTTTATGAGAAGTAAATTTACCAGTTCTTTAAATAGAGGTTTTCTTTTTCTTTTTTATTAAGAGGCAGGTCCTCACTACGTCATCCAGGGTGGAATGCAGTGGCTGGATTATAGCTCACTGCAGCCTCAAACTCCTAAACTCAAGTGATCCTCCTGCCTCACCCTCCCATGTAGCTGGGACTGCAGGGGTGTGCCACCATGCCTGGCTACCTTTTTTGTTTTTTGTTTTTTGATTTCAGTAGACACAGGTCTCATGATGTTTCCCAGGTTGGTCTCTAACTCCTGACTTCAAGTGATCCTCCTCGGCCTATCAGAGTGCTGGGATTTCAGGTGTAG
Organism: Homo sapiens; assembly: GCF_000001405.40. Lineage (NCBI taxonomy): Eukaryota > Metazoa > Chordata > Mammalia > Primates > Hominidae > Homo > Homo sapiens. The sequence continues at coordinate 51,118,072 of NC_000016.10, forward strand.
GCCACCACACCTGGTCTAAACTAGAGGTTTTTGTAGATTGGATTTGCTTAAAGTAAGACACAAAATGATGATAGTAATCATGATGATGAAGATGAGGATAGTAGTTCATGTTCATTGAACTTTCTTATGTGACACACATTCTGCTGTGCACTTTACATGGTTTATTTCAACAGAATCTTCTTCTGTCTTTCCTGCCTGGATCAGGATACATCTTTCAGCATATAAACCCAGTACAGCAAAGATCTTTGACTTGATTTCTAGGCATGAATTCTATTATGAATTAGGCATGCAAGAACAGGAAGATCATAGAAAACTCAAAATCTACAACCCTGCATTCTGCTCCCAGCTCTTTCAAATAACAGGCTATATGACCTTGGCCAGATCACTTACCCTTTCTAGGCCTCGGTTTCCCTTAGTGTGAAGCAAAATTGTTCTAGGGCTAAAAGTTCTAGAATCATATTACCTTCAACTCTATTGATAAGAAAGCTCCCTTTGTTTTTAACAAAGAATCCAACTAACAGACGCCATTGCTTATGGGTAGGTAAAGTGTTAACCACAACCCGGACTTTCTGTTCTACTGGGAGGCCCATTGCACTAATGGAACCATTTGAAAGAAATCTTAGGAACCAATTCTAATGCTCTTACTTAGAATTGCAAAGTCAGTTTGAACCAGGGCTTGATGACTTACTTGACAACTATTTGTAAGCTTGTCTTATGCCCCACTTAGACTTCTAATTCTTGAGGGCAATGTTAATATCATATTCACATGGTATCGCCATGGTATCTGGCAGGCAGATAGATGCTGCCTAAGTAATTGTTGAATCAAAGATGAATTGTTGAATCAAGATTTGACTTGGAGATTTCTACTTGAGTTGGAGTCATTATTTTGAGAAATTCTGAAGCTGGAAGCACATTTGTCCACATTTTGAAGTTTATTCCCTACAACCACCTATTCTTAATACCTATACCACACAAGCCAACTCTAGTCCAAACTGTTTGAATCTGGGATTCAATTGACTATGAGCAAATCCCATTTGTCACACTGCCTAAGTTTACAGTCCTTTCCAGCTGGGGTTTGATCAGTTGGATCGTATGTGGGTGTGTGTTTTCAGAAGTAAGTTCTTGTGCAGCCACTTGCATGCTTTGGTATATTTTTATGTCTGCATACATGTATATCCTGCCAGTGAGAAATGTGCTGCCTTTCTACAGCCTTGCAAATCTTAAGCACTAGCTATATCATTTTCAGCATTTGAATCAATGTGTTAATGGAAAATTACAAAGAAAATGAGTATTTGGAAACCAAAGGTTGCCAACTAAGAGCAGAAAAAATAAAATACTGCACCTGAGAATTGACTTCCCATCCATCTCTTTTATTCTTGCACTTATTTTATAGCCAACATACTCTCTTTTAGCCCATGATTGCTTATTTTAAATTGTCTTCCAGTCTCAGGACTCTGTCTCTCTTCCCCAGCTCCCCCTTCTTCTCTCAGGCCTCCCAAATGATACAGTCTGTGTCATTAGCCGATGCTGTGGATTAGAGCCCAGAAAAACTTCTTGTTTTCAGCCAACCCTGGGGAGAGGAGATGAGGAGAAGGGAAAATGCCTTCCCCCAGAAGATGATCCGATAGCAAGTGAGGCTCCACTGACCCCTCACTGCCAGTCTGAGGCTCTGCAGATGAGCCCCATAAAATACTGCAGAAGGCTTAGCTGCCAACAAGCGCAGCACACAGAGATGATCTAGTCAGAGGCACGAATCGATCTCAAGACGTGAATCACTGACCTTAGCCCACGCTCACCCTCCCTAAATCCTGAGTCCATGTTAACTAAAGATTGCATTTCCGTTGTTACATCTCAGGCAGCAATTCTTGATTTCTGTTGAGTTTTATATCTCTTACCCAGCACCCATTTGGGAAGACTTTTTGTTTAATCTTCTAAATATCTGAAACACAATTCCAAACATTTCCAAGTTAAACTCCCCTTCCATTCACAATAAACCCCAGCAAGAATCTGATCGAAGAAAAGGTGCCGCAGACATTCTCTTTGTTCTGGATTGAACCAGTGGTATTTGGATCACCCAGGAGGTATATCATAACAAATTATCTCAATACCAATTGTCTCTGTGCAAAGGTTGGGTAAAGTCCCAAAGATCTAAGTCTTGGATAAAAGGGATGAGCGCATTTCTCAACAGAAGGGAAGGGGGCTGTTTTCAGTGATTTTGCCCACTAAATGTGGAATTCCCCAACAAATTCACATATTGCAAAAGCTATAAAGTTGTGAAACCTCCACTCAAGGAAAGGCTCAGGGAACACGATTCCAAACATCCACACTTAACTAAGTGCTCATCAAAACTCCTTTTTGAGTTTAGAGATCTAATTTCTCTAATGGCCAAATCACTTCTGTGTCTTAGAAAGTGTTTTCTACTGAGCTCGATCAACTAATAGCCTGGGACTGGCCTCACACACTCTCTATGCAGCAATGTTTACATGAAAGTATGGACCCAATCGAGGATGAATTCCAGAATCAGTAAGTCCATTCCTGGAGCTTAATTTTAAAAATACAATCTCTAGTTTCACTTTCCAGTTTCACTGGAATAACTGATATTTTAAAATTTCTAATAAAATAAGAATTATGCAGGTAAAATATCAGTTATTCTAGATTCTAGTAACTCAGTTATTCTAGATTCTAGTAACTAGACTTCTAATTAGCTGAGACATGATTCTAATGCAGAATCCCAGGGCAAAGTCCTGTACTTTTAATGATAGCATGCTAATTTGAATTTTAAGTGGATGTTGAATATTAACCCTGATACTGTCCTAGATAGTGAGTTTCTCAACCTCGGCACTATTGACCTTTGGGCTGGGTAATTCTTTGATGTTAGGGGGCTGTTGTGTGTGCTGTGGGATGTTTAGTAGCAACCCTGCCCTCTGCCCACTGGATGCCAATAGCAGCCCTCCTCTCCCCAGTTGTGACAACCAAAAATATCTCTGGACGTGACCAAATGTCTCTTGGGGGCAAAATTATCCCCAGTTGAGAACCACTACTCTGAACAAGGGAAAAATTCGTTTATTAGATGTTTCTATTCCATTTAAAAGAGAGCTAGCACAAAGTTAGAATGCTTTTCTGAACATAGAGTAAAATAAATAAAATTAATGATGTATTTCCATCCACATAATGGAATATTAAACAATCACTTAAAAACATGTTTGTAAAGATACTATAGGCATTAGAGAAAAGCAGAACATGGAATTATATGTTATGTGCCCTGTATGGATTCTGTAAGATATACAGATTTGAAAATATAGAAAGTATTTTAAAAGGAAAAACACAAAAATGAAAACCATAGCTCTCCGTGGGTGGTAGGACAATGCCATCTATATTTTCTTATTTAAATTTTTCTGCTTTCCCCAATTATCTACCATGAGCACGTATTTTTATAATTTCAAAATCAGACACAGAAAAAGGACAAAGAATGTTGTATTATACAGCACATGAACAAGAAAGCTGCAACATGCTGCCATCCTCTATTCCTAATTTAATTTTCTTCCACACCCTGAAGGAAGCAAAGCAATTCCTTTCCTACTCATCTGATCCTTTTCCTCATTAAACCCTCGCATCTGCTTCACTCTGCAGTCTGAAGTTTCTAAGGCCAGAACTCATGACATTATTTTATTCTACACCTTGCTTCTCAACCTGGGTGGACTCATGCATCCTTTCATTCATTCAATTCTCTGGCACTGTGTGAGGTACTGGGAATTCAGTGGGGGGAACAAGGCAGGTGGAGCCCCTACTCCCATGGAAGACAGACAGTGAATCAATAAACAAACACACAGACAAGATCATTCTAGAGAGTAACAGGGATTGTGAAGGCAATAGAGAGACTACGGGGGAAAAAAAAGAGAGAGACTATGGGAGACAGCACTACTTTAGCCTGGGTGGTCAGGGAAGGCCCCTCTGAGGAGGTGACATTTGAGCTGAGAACTGAAGAACAAAAGGAAGCCGGGTGCAGTGGCTCACGCCTGTAATCCCCACACTTTGGGGGGCCGAGGCACGCAGATAGCTTGAGCCCAGGAGCTGGAGACCAGCCTGGTGAAATTCCATCTCTACAAAAATACAAAAATTAGCCGGGCGTGGTGGTGCATGTTTGTAGTCCTACCTATTTGGGAGGCTGAGCTGGTAGGATCACTTGAGCCTGGGAGGTCGAGGCTGCAGTGAGCTGAGCTATGATTGCACCACTGTATTCCAGCCTGGGTGACAGAACAAGACCCTGTCTCAAAAAAAAAAAAAAAAAAAAAAAAAAAAAGATACAGAGAGTCACCAGGAAACTGGGAAGATTTGGGGATAGTTTTCCAGGTTTGATTTTTTTAAGTTCAAATATACAGAGCGAGCATGGCACATTCAGAGAAGAGGAGAAAGGCCATCAAAGCTGGAGATTTTCAAGAAAAGCTGGAGGCCAGGTTGGGAAGATGGCAGGACCCTGACTGCCTGGTCCTGATGCCACCAAGCTCAGGTCTACCCACATAGGGAGGTGGCAGCAGCAAATCAGAATCTTTGGGGCCAAAGCCCTGGAATTTGCATTTTACAACAAGCTTCCAAGGTGATATTGATGCACTGGAAATTTTGAGGGCCATAGCTCCAGAGTATTCCCTCACTCAAACGTTGTTGGGGTGGCTGGAACAGAGATGATGAGTGAACTAACTGTGTGGTCCACATGCCTGCAGCAACAGCAGCAGCAGCCCCTGGGAGCCTGTCAAAATGCAGAATTTCAGGCCCCTCCCCAGGTCTACCGGATTAGAATCTGCGTTTCAACAATAACATTCTATGTCATTTAAATATACATGAAAATCTGAGCAGCACTGATTCAGACCAGCATGATGTATCGTAACAAAGCTTTGACAGAGAAGAAAATGGAAGCTGTGTGATTTTTAGTGATAAATGATCAGAGAGTAACAAAATACCTGATCATACTGTGATTTTTGCTTTGGAATTAGGAGGCCACAGGTTATACCTATGTTAGCCTTTCTGGCTGAACTGTAGGGCCTGAATTGAAACCTTGAAATCTGAACTTATTGGCTCTAGAAAGATTCTTTCAAGTGGGCATTAGACCTTGAAATTTATTTTACCATTTATATATATATATATTTTTTTTTGAGACGGAGTTTCACTCTTGTTACCCAGGCTGGCGTGCAATGGTGCGATCTCGGCTCACCGCAACCTCAGTCTCCCGGGTTCAAGTGATTCTCCTGCCTCAGCCTCCCGAGTAGCTGGGATTACAGGCATGTGCCACCATGTTGGGCTAATTTTGTATTTTTAGTAGAGACAGGGTTTCTCCATGTTGGTCAGGCTGGTCTTGAACTCCTGATCTCAGGTGATCTGCCTGCCTCGGCCTCCCAAAGTGCTGGGATTACAGGCGTGAGCCACTGTGCCCAGCCCATTTAGATTATTTTTAAAAGACAGGGAATGTTCTTCATTAATGCAACTAAGCATACACATTTACTATGTTGTATAGTATTTCATATTTTAAAAAACAGAAATGCAAACACTGCGGAATCAGTAGAGACTTCTTTCACTAACCTTTAACAATCATGAATCTCACTCATTGCCCTTTTCCTCTTCCCCACGATACTTTGCAACACTTTACACGTCTCCTTGGCGTGGTCATCTATGTGATCTTCCTTGACTCTGTAAAATGTCTCTCTCTTTTTCTCTAATTAACATGGACTTTTTTTTTTTTTTAATTGCAACAGCTTTTGGTAATTTTAGGACAGGTCTTGCTTCTTTTCTTTCAGTGGTCAGAAAAAGACCACGTTTATCCAAGCCCTGTGCCTATGCTATAGCTCTCTAATCAAGAAATGTTTCTTTCAACTGACCACGGCTCCTAACTTTATCTCTTTGTCCTTTGAAGCCGATAGCTATTATTTCTAACGACCATCACTAATTCAAGAATAAACACTCTGTTTTCTCCCAAATTGCTACATTCTGTTAAAGGGAACTAGAATTAAAATCCCAATTTCTATCAGCACTCTATTTTATGAAAGGGTACTAAAGTAGGATGCCACAAGGCTTGAGAGCAGAAGCAAAGCGTGACTTCTCTGTGCTCCCTGAGTGGCCCCTTCTCCCACTGTGACGGTCAAGTCCACCTACTTACGGGTGTTCTCAGATTGACTCTACGTGGTGAATGAGGACTCAAAGATAAGGACTGCTACCTTTCTTTTTTCTTTTTCTTTGTTTGTTTGGGGGCATGGACGGCTACTGTTTTTTTTTTTTCCCCTGTATCATCATAAAGACATTTATTCTGGAAAAGATTTGATCTTTGCCCCTTATCTGGCTGGAAGTAATTTAGACAAGAAGGGGACCTTGCCTGGGGAGGAACAATCTCCCCCAGAACCACGATGGGGGCTGTTTTTTCAGGTTTCAGATGCAGCCTGTGACTGTCTTGGTTACGCTCTTGTGAAAAGGATCCTTCCTGCATCTAGAACTTCTACAGCAGTAGGGCTTTCTGGTCCTCCAGACTTCCAGAAGCAGAAGCCTCAGGAAATGAGGCCACTTATTTAGCTTGTTCATGGCCATTGGTTGTTTGGTCTATGTCTCACCGCATTGGCTGTTGCCTTGCTCTGTGCCCCAATAATACAGAATGTAAATATCTCTACAGCAGTTATTGCGGTTACGAGGATCTGTTATTCCACTTGGGCAATGCAATAGCTTTTAGAAAAGGATCTGCCTAAAGCCACGTAAATTACTCGTCCAGACATTTCACAAGAGTATAAGCAACCTGAGGGCAGACACTTATTTTGCTTTGGGCACTGATGAACCTCAGCACCTAGAACAGTGCCCAGTGCAGAGTAGATGCTCATTAACCATTTGCTGAGTAAATGAATGAAATCCACCTGGTCAGTCAGGCACATTCCCAGGGCCTGAGAAGGACTTCCTGGGCCCCTGTCCCTTTCTGTGGCTTCGCTTTAGTGTTCTGTGTGTCTAGAACACTTCACTGCGCTCTGTGAGCTCGCACAGTGATCACCACTGCTTTGTGAGCACCAGAGGGCAATCCTGGTGCTTACCAAACTGCCTGGCACTTAGGAGGTGTTTAACAGTTTACTATTTGATGAGGGAAGGAAGCAGGAGAGGGCAGAGGGAAGGTGGGAGGGAGGGTCTGGGTAAGTGGTTAATTAGAGATTGTTCTCTTTAGCTAACTCAGTCCCTTCTGGGGTAAGCTAACCTTTTTAGCTTTTGTTGTGACCAGGCCTGAGTTGAAACTTCAGACACAAATGAAGTACAGCCTTGTGGCCAGAGAGCAAATACAACTTTCAAAATAGTGAGTGTTGGCCAGGCGCAGTGGCTTATGCCTGTAATCCCAGGAATTTGAGAGGCTATGTGGGGAGAGCTTGAGTCTAGGAGTTCAAGACCAGCCTGGGAAACACAGCCTGTCTCTTCAAAAAAATTTTTTAAAAATTAGCAGAGCATAGTGGTGCATGCCTGTAGTACTAGCTAATCAGGAGGCTGAGGTGGGAGGATGGCTTAAGCCTAGGGGTTGAAGTTGCAGTGAGCTATGACTGTGCCACTGCACTCCAGCCTAGGCAACTGAGAAAGATCCTACCTCAAAAAAAAAAAAAAAAAAATAGTGGGTGTTTCCTTGGAAAGAGCACTGGGCTCACAGGGAAACATCCTGAATTTAAATAGCTCCCTATCATGTACTATCAAACCTCAGAGTTCACAGTAAATCCTCTAGACCCCCATTTCCTCACCTGAGAAGAGGGAATGGTGGTGCCATCTGCTCTGCACTGTACAGTTAATAAAAACAGAATGTGAAAGTCCCTTTAAAGCACAAAGCCTCAGCATGCAAAGGATCATCAGCAAAACTCCCTCTCCCGCTGTCAGGGTCAGCTTCCAGCCCTTGGGTTCTTTTTCTCCCTTTCTCTGTCTAGCATCTCCCACAAGAAATTCTGCAGGAAATCCAGGGTCCTGTCTGAACCCAAAGGTTGGCTTCCGGGTGGAGCCCTTCTCTTGAAATTACCTGTAGGCTGTGCATGGCCTTCTTTGGTATCTTTGTCTCTTTACCTTGAAGGTGTCTGAGTTGGGGCCATTCCACCGCAACCTGCCCCTGCTGGACTCATCTGTGGTTGCACTCATCATGAAAGCAAAGTCTTTCTGTCTCTCGGCCTTCCTTTCCTCCCTTGCAAGAAGTCAAACCTGACAGAGGTCGGCAGGCGGGTGGATGAGTGAGATGGCTGGGTGGGAATGAAAAAAAGGTGGAGAGCACATTTGTTCCCTCCAAAGGGGATGGTCATGCCTTTGTGCCAGCCCATTGTTGAAATGTGGGAAGGCAAGAACACTAGATCATCTGACATTCAAAAAAAAATCTGGAAATCTGAACTTTTATAGGAGACCTCCTGACTTTTAAACATTGGCAACACTTACAAATTTGTTAACTATGCTGCCTGAGCCAACTAAAACACATCTGTGAGCCCAGCGCAGTCTGTGAGTCTCCAATTTGTGACCTGGGGGCTCTGGGCACCTTTTTAGCTCTGAGAGCCATGGTCTTTCTGAACTGTGAACTCTGCTAAAAAATAAAAATAAAAATAAAATACCCAAAGCTCTTTTCATACTTCCTTTTCTTCTTAGGTCCTCATTGTGCCTCACCTGAGCTATTGTGACAGCTTCTCTCTAACCTGGTAGGAATCTGATTTGGAAATAGGGTCTTTGCAGATATAATCAAGATAAGATGAAGTCCGTGGAGTAGACATTAATTCAGTATGGCTGATGTCTTTCTAAGAAGAGAAGAGACACAGAGACAGGTACAGACACAGAGGGAGATGAGGTGGAGATTGTCATGCGATGGTGAAGGCAGAGACTGGAGTGGTGCGTCTACAAGTCAAGGAGTGCCAAGGACTGCCAGTGACACCAGAAGCTAAAAGAAAGGCATGGAACAGATTCTGCCCTTCAGGCATCAGAGAGAACACTGCTCTGCCAGCACCTTGATTTCAGACTCCTCGCTTCCCAACAGTGAGAGAATACATTTCTATTGCTTTATTTGTTACAGCAGCCCTAGGAAACCAACACATTGGCCAATCAGGGGATGAGCGCCTAGAAAAGAAAGAAGCTCACCCTACCCATCTTCTCACCCCTTCTCACTTCTCCGATAGCATATCCAGACTACGAAAACCTGACCTTCCTCTCAGATTTCCTGTTTCCCAAAATTTTAACAATTTCTCTAAACATTTCCTTGATTTTCCAGGAATTTTCAAATCTAGCTTTGTGCGAACAAGAAAACATGAATTGCATTGATCCTCTTCACATAGAGACAAAAAAATGCCAGCTGCCCGTGCCTGCAAACTACTTCTTCACAGCAATAACTCAGATGCAACTTTTCCTCCTTGGTGAAAGATAGCATGACTTGCAGTCTGTGAGAAGGAAAAGGAAAAACAGTTGATTTGTTTTCCCATGAGAGGGAAAAAGAAGGAGGGGATACAAGCTCACACACTATCAGGTGGATGGATCATTTCCTCCACTGAAAAGATACACAAATAATTTGATCTCTAAGCATTAGCAAGGTCTTTGTAGGGTACGTAGTGAGGATCACATGCATGAAGAATCCATTGCTCGCTGAAAGAAGATCTTGGAATGAGTGCGTGGATCCACAATTCATGTAGATGGCTGCTATTTCTGTCTGCACTGCATGCTGAGCATGAGGGACTCTGGGTAGGAGAGCTCTTCTGGGAGAAGGAGGAGTTTAGAGAGCAAATCTCTTGCCTGTAGATCGCTAAGAATTCTTCTTCTGGAGACCTATATATAAAGTAGAGAAAGTTAAGAACATCAGAGTGGGGAAGGTGCAGGGTGAGGTTTCTTTCTTTTATAATTCCAGACCTGGGGTTTAGTTAGGGAGGGACCGTTAGCAGGTTTCTCAGGGAGACTTGAGATAGGGCAAAATAGCAGCATAGTGATGAAGAACCGGCATGTGTGCTCTGTAGCCAGGAGGTCTGGGTTCACATTCTTGTTGCTTACCAGGTGTGTGACCTTAGACATTTCACTTAACCTCTCTGCGCCTTAGTTTCCTTATCCATAGAATGGGGTCAATGATAACACCTACCTCTTGTCATAGTTACAGGGATTAAATGAGTTAATTCAAATAAAGCATCTAAAGCCATGTCTGACACGGTTATCATTGCATACATCTTACTGTCATTACTAAATACATCTTATTGAAATGGTTAACTGTGCCCCGGTGATGCTAAGTAAGGAATCGCTCCCAAGCTGGTGGCTTAAAACAAGCACCGTTTATTCCTACAGAACCGTGGGTAGGCTCTGTGTGGCTGGGTTCACTCTGGTACATCTAGGTTGGGGTTGGCTGGGGTTGGCTGGGGATAGCTCCGCTCCACAGGGCTTCCACTCTTTTCCTGAGAGCAGCCGGCACGTGCTTCTCATGTCACGTGCTTCTCAGAGGTGCAAGGGCACAAGTAGAAACATGCAGGCTTCTTGAGGCCTGGCTCAGAACTGGCACACCATAGCATCGACCTCACTCTCCTGACCAAAGCAAGCCACATAGTCAAACCCAAAGAGGCAGGGAAGTGGGGAGGGACTGTAAGTTACCTGGCAAAGGGCATGGATCGAAGAGGCTGAAGAGCTGATGCCGATAAAGGAACTACTAGGGTGGGTTTTTTTTTTTTAAATTATTATTTAAACAGGAAGTATTGAATTGAGAACCAAGAATGAGTTAGTGTATCTTATCTTCAACTCATAAGTTGACCTTGGGCAAGTCACTTCTGCTCCCAGATTGAGAGGGATAATTCTAAATGACTCAGGCCTCAACTCAGACCAACCTCTATATAGCCAAAGAAGTTCCTCCCTGGCCACTCTTAGCTCTGGACATTTAGGTAAATAAGTGTGTGTGTGTGTGTGTGTGTGTGTGTGCGCGCGCGTGTGTGTGTTAGAGTTGGAATCTTATCTTTGTTGAAGTCCTCAGACAACCTCCCTATCAGAGCAGCATTTCTACAAGGACTCTTCTAGGAATGACTTCTTAGGACTTTATACTATTAGGCTATGCTAAACCCCACAGTTAATACACAGTGACTAAGGGTGCCTAGAAATGGCAGGATTTGGGAGGGATGTTATCTTAGTTACCCAAGACTGGGCCCAATTACCAATGGGGGAGGGATCTTAAAGAGACAGTGCCGCTTGCTGCAGTCATTAAGCTTTCCTGCTCAAGGTTTTTCTTTCCCCTTCTGCACTCATGCGTGTGTTTAAGGAGAAATCCCCTTGACGACGAAATGCTATTAAAATCCTCCAAGTGGAAGCAGCCTACGAGGGGAGAACACACACAAGCCAGCACCAGGAGCCAGCGCTGGCCTCTTTCCTCGCAGAAGCAGCAGCTAGAAAACTCTGCACAGTGGATGAGTGATGGCAGAGACTCTGGAATCCACTTCGTCTTCATGTGTCTTCATCCCTGCTCTCTTGATCCTCAAAAACCTGAGTGTCAGTCCTCTCTCTGAGGACCCTGGTTCTGTGTTTCAGCTGAGAAACAGAGAGGATAACCATATCTTTTAGAGTCTTTGTCAATAGCTTTCAAACATTTTTAAACGAAGAATTATGTGTAATTAATATTACTGTAGCTTTTATTCTTTAAATGATAATAATTGTATGGGGTACATAGTGATGTTTTGATACATATAATGTATAGCGATCAGAATGGGGTAATTAGCATATCCATCATTTGAAATATTTATCATTTCTTTATGTTTCAAACTTTTTTTTAAAAATTTTTTTGGCACAGAGTCTTGCTCTGTTACCCAGGCTGGAGTGCAGTGGTACAATCTCGGCCCACTGCAACTTCTGTCTCCCAGGCTCAATGGATCCTCCCACCTCAGCTTCCTGAGTAGTTGAGGCTACAGGCACATGCCACCACACCTGGCTAATTATTGTAGTTTTTGTAGAGACAGGGTTTCACCATGTTGTCCAGGCTGGTCTCAAACTCAGACTCCTGGATTCAGGCAATCTGCCCACATTGGCCTCCCAAAGTGCTGGGATTACAGGGCACGAGCCACTGCACCTGGCCCATTTCAAAGTTGTTTTTTTTTTTTTTTTTTTGAGATGGGTCTTGCTCTGTTGCTCAGGCTGGAATGCAATGGCACAATCTCGGCTCACTGCAACCTCTGCCTCCCAGGTTCAAGCCATTCTCCTGCCTCAGCCTCCCGAGTATATGAGATTACAGGCGCGCGCCACCACGCCTGGCTAATTTTTGTATTTTTAGTAGAGACAAAGTTTTACCACATTGGCCAGGCTGGTCTCGAACTCCTGACCTCAGGTGATCCTCCCTCCTCGGCCTCCCAAAGTGCTGGGATTACAAGCCTGAGACACCATGCCCGACTCAAACTTTTTTGATGTCAACTCACGCTAAGAACGGCACCATGCCCAGTGCACACATATATATAACTGAAATAAAAGCTTCACAAGACACCACTTACCCTTACTACATGTGGTATACTCTGATATTTTCTGTTCTATTACATTAAAAAAAATAGTCCTGGCGATTATATATTCTGATTTCATAATGCACCAGTGGGTCACATCCTGCAGTTTGGAAAACTCTAGGCCGGGTCTAAGGTATGTATTGACAGATATGGGCAGTGAGATGGGGTTTAAATAAAACTCTGTAAGACTTACAGACCTCATGCTTGTCTGAAACAAGAGACAGATGGTTAGAAGAGAACCCAGAAAGGGTGTCGATGAGTGAAGCCGTGGGATTTGTTCAGATTACTTTGAATTTGGGGAACGTCACCAGTGTAAAACCATTCTGCACTATAAGGGTTTCTCTGGCACAGGATTAGAAAGACTATTGGAGATAAATGAATTTAATGTTTCCCATTCCTTTTGAAATAAATATACTTAAGTTTTAAAAGGGGAGTCAGCTTAAATTATTAAATAAGTAAAAGTAAAGATGGGATTCCACTAATGTAGTTATAAACATGGCAAGAGTTTGAAGGAAGCTACTGGAGCCTATTGATGGAAGTCTAACCTCTCATGGTACAGTTTGGGGAATGGTACCATTGATCAGGCAATGATTGCCAAATGCCCAAAGTTGGCATTCAGGCTAGTGATAGCTCCAGGTCTCCTGGTGTCCAAATGTTCCTTCTCTGCTCTCAGGGCCTTAGTTTTGTCATCTGTTAAGTGGATTGTTACGATGACAAGCAAGATGAGACATGGAGAATTCCAAATTCTGAATACAGAAGCAGGTCTGCAGGCTGATTAGTATAGTTATGTTTTGTCTGGCCCTAATCTCAGGAGTGGGGTCTACCATGTTTACATGTTTACCCTTGTTTCCAGGTGACTTCCAGGACCTCATCCTGAATGTAGTTGGGATGAGAAGATGATGTGACCTCCTGGTCTCCAGGCATCCATGACCTAACAGACTGCACTGTGTCAGGATTCAGCTATGCCTGGTGCAGCTGGACTAGGTCCCACTCTGGGTCTTATAAGGAAGGATCGACTTGTGTGTGGCCTCCAATGCAGTTTCACTTGTCTTCAAAGCCCTCCGCAGAATGTAAGTAAAAATCTGATCCTGGAATTGCCCTTGGCGAGGTGAGCAGCCAGGGGCCACACACAGAAAACAGTCTGTTCCTGGTGGCGTTCGGAAAGGCCAGTCACACTTGCCACCCCCGTTGTCATCGTCCCTAGCTTCAGAAAGCACTGGAGCCAGGTTGACATGCGGCCGATGAGTCTTTGTTCAACTTGAGCTCAGATGGACACAGAAACATGAGAGGAGCCAAGTCCTATGTTTAAACAGTTAAGAGGAAGCCAGGCTCAGTAAGGAACTACAACCCGGGATTTAGCCTGGTCCAATTTTCCTTCTCTGGGATTTCCTGTCCTTTTTTGTAGATGTTTCTATCTATCGAATGTTCCCTGGTCATTGGTTGAAGGCCATCAAGTCGGCGGTGAAAGTCTTACCCAGTACTTACACAGTACTTCAGCTTAGCTGCGAAAATATCAATGAGCTGCCGAACTGTGTGGACCCCAAGCCAGGCTGATGGGACACACGTGCCAGGCCTCTGTCCATCTGCCCTTCACGGTGGAAAAAGAGCCCAAACTTTAAGACTGGGCTTAAACAAAGCATCCACACAAAGAAGTCCAGCCTGCTACCCCAACAACTGCCAGGGGGGCAGGCCACATTGGGGTTGGTGGGGGACAGAAAACCGGTGGGTCTTTAAGGAATGCAAAAGAAGGGAACCCCAAAGGCCCCCTGCAATGTCCTCAGACTGCAGTTAAAATTTAACAAATTTTTAATGTAAATCATCTGGCATACTCAATTGCATGGGGTACACGGGATGGGTGGGGGTGAGGGGTGGCAGCAGGGAGGGAACAATGGCTAGGATTAGATAATTTACTTAGTGCTAAAATTCCAGGAAGTTTGTGTTGATCTGGGCCTGGATCTTGTTACTTTTTAGCTCAAATCTAAATCTTTATCTTCCTCTAAGAGTTGAGAGGACATTTATTACGTCGTCATTTTTACAGTTGTAATTTTTACTCCCTTTCATCAAATAGAGCTGGTTAGATTAGCAGCTCTTAGCACTGAGATGAAAATATTGGTAGGGCCCAATGGGTCCTGTTTTGTTTATTCTAACAGAGCAGGCTTTGATCTAGACATATTTCCTGGGGTCTGGACGAGATGACCTAATTCCTGTCTTATCCGTCTCTACTTTTCTGTGAATCTCAGATTGCGCTTTACTGTGGAGCCCTTTGAAATTCACTTTATACTTTTTTCCACTTTGTTACCCACTCTGACATTTGTTTCATTTGGGATGGAGTGTGTAACTCCTAGCAAATAATCCATTGCTTTATTTTTCTAACAGGACTGCTAAGTTTTAACAGAGTAGGAGCTTTTTTTTTTTTTTTTGCTCTCTCATTCTTGACATTCACGACATGCCAAAAACAATAAGCAAATAATCTACTGCTAGAAATTTATGTCAACTGCAAATCATTAAGAATTTTCTGTTTGAAGACATTTTTTTCTTGTAATTAAAAAAAAAAAATGCCCTCCCTCCACTCCCTAAAAAGCCATTTGAATAGACCTGGCCTGTGAAGATTGGGATGTAAAAACTCAAAGCGCAAAGCCAGCTTCAGGTATCTCCAGCTGATCTGCAGGACCCCTCCCTTACGCTACCCACCCTTCCCCAACCCAGACCGGGGGTGGGGGTGGGGGGGGAGGGAGGGAGGGAGGGGTCATCTCGAGCAGCTTGGGTTTGTCATTGGTTCTCTCTCTCTTTTTTTCCCCTCCCCAGGTCCCTGTCAATCACCAAACTGCTCTTCCAAGTATATTTTCCAGGAAGAAGGAAGCCCGTGGCGGGGGGGTGGGTGGAAAAGGGAGGGTAGTGGAGATGACGGGAGAAGGAAGAAAGAAAAAGCACGACGGAATATAAGGAAGGAAAGATAGAGAGAATGAGAGAATGACAGCTACCCAGGCAGAGAGGAAGAACAGGAAACGCAGTTCCTGGGGAGGGGTGGGGGGAACAAAAACAACAAAAAACCTCGAATAAACTACAAATTCCTAACGTTTGTAAATTTTGAGTGATAGACACAAAGCGTTTCTTAAATTCTTCTCTGGGCTGTTCTGTATTTTTACAATTCCCCCCTTTTTAAAAAAAAAAGCTGGGGAAACTGTCACCAAAGTGAATATTTTTAGCTAAACAATTCTGTGAACTTAGTTGCAGCAACAATCCTTCCTTAATTCAGTGAATTCGGTTCTCGGTGATTTCAATACCACCACGAGGCACCTCTAGTGAGGCGTAGCGGGGCAAGGGTCGGGGAGTAGGTGAGGAGGGGGTGCGCGCCCGTCAGCTGCCTTCACCTCAACCCTGTTGCTTTGTAAATGTAAATCCAGTTCTGTTCTGCGGGCCGAGCCCAAAGGCTGAGTGTATTTTTCACACTGGGAGGAGAAGCAGGGCAGAGGGCGATTTCTTATTTTGGAAATGGATGGAAAGGGGAATGAATGGGCAGGTAATAATCAATAGATTAGAAAGATAGTCAATCAATAAATGGATAGGCAGGGACAAAAGGAGACACAGAGAGAGAAAAAGAGAGAGAGAGAGAGAGAGGAGGGGGTTGGAGAGAAAGAGACGGAGAGACAGAGAGACCCTCTGACCTTTTCCTAAACTCTTCTGATGGCTCCGGAAAGAGAAGTGACTTTTGCTCCCCTTAACTCACTTTCAGAAACCGCTGGAAGGTGGGAGGTTAGTGATGAGAGGGAAAGGGAACACAGCGCCCCCGCTCCCCTCTCCCCACTGCCTGCCTCTTGGAAATGGACGCGCAGCCCAAGGTGGTGCAGGGCGGTGACCTTCGCGCCCGGCCCGGAGTGCGGGAGCCCCGGGGACTTGGCGGCGGCGGCCATTGGAGAGCGGGGTCCAGCTGCTGGCAGACGCTCGGTGGAAAGTGTCGCGGCGCAGCCCCTGGACACCTTTGGAGAGGGCCGGCGAGGCGCCGGGCATGTGCGGCAGGGTGGCGCTGTCGAAGCCTGCCCCTCTCGGTGGGCGGCAGCCCCCCGGATCACTTCCCTCAGATGTCCCCAGGCCCTGTCCCTGGGCGTAAAGGGCGCGCAGCCCGGGGCAGCCCCTCCTCGCCACGCCCAGCGATGGGAAGTTGTGGACGTCGTCTGTGCAACGGAAACAGCTCCATCTGGCCCGCGCAGAACCAGAGTTCTGGCTGGAACTCCGGCCTTCAATCCGTGTCCCCACTCTTGGGGAAAAAATGTCACTCCTGGAGCGGAGGGGACGGGACAGGAGAGAGGAGAGCGAGAAATCTGTCCCTCTAAATGTTCGGGTGCCAAGCCTTCGGGGTGATTCTCAGCATCAATCACGACGTCGCGCAACCCTCTCCCCTGCCCCCCCCGCCGCCCTCTCTGGCTTTGGGGGCTCCCACCCCCTCCCCTGAACTCTCCCGGCCCAGGTCAGCGCCCACCTTCTGGAACGCCGGACCCGGACCCGGACCCGGACCCGGAGGCCGAGCAGGGGTTGAGGGCGCCCCCTCGGCACAGAGTCTAACGACAGGGTCGGGGGAGTGCGGACCCGAGTGGCCCGCGCCCTGGTGGAAACTTCTGCAGGAAGCGGCCCGACGCTTTCTACCTTACCTGGGCACAACCGCCGGATGCGCGGTTCACCAGCTCCCTGAAACATTAAAAAAAAAAAAAAAATCGGCGACCCCTCTGGACACAGCTTCCCTTCAGTCCGTTTGCTCACCTCAAAACAGTGCTCAGGAGGAAGAAAGCCTGTTCCCCCCTCCGCCCCAGAACAACAGGGAGAGGGGAAGAATCCATTTGAATTTGCTTGATGAAATATTCAAGCTGACTCTACATAACCTTTCTAATAGACTTTTTCTTTCAAATATGCATGTGCGTTTAAATGCCTAAAAGACCAATTAAATAAAGAACATGTTGACCTCTCTGGGTTGAGGCCCAGTTTAAGTCAGATTATATAACCCCGCAGCATCAGGAACTCCCCAGCAATGTGGCTCTCAGCTGCCTGAAAAAACGTGACTGCATTAAGTGAAATAAAACCAGAATAGTAAAAGTGAAATCTAAATCGGCATAAATATCTTGCTTAAAAGAAACTTACCTGTTGGGTTAAAACCTCCAACAACATCTTTTTATGTCATTTCGTTGTTTTGCTTTTCTTGGGGGTGGGGTGGGTAGCGAGTGGAGTCTATAAAATCCATTCCTAAATAAATCATAGATACTGGGAAAATATCTAGGGCCTCCAAATTTCAAAATAAAAGAAAACGCAGGCCCATGCAAAGCCGTTTGTTATGCCTTTTACAATTCCTCATTTAAAGAGGGATACACACTCACATACACAATTGACTGCTGCCTGGGGAAATGTTAAAACGCATTTGGGGCCTGGCTAAATGGAAATGCACTCTAAAAACACAGACACAGTATTTTGTTTTATCTGTTGCAAAAAAAATGTATTTGATTACTTGAGTAAAATTACAGTATCTCTGTTGTTAGTAAGTATTAAATGTTAAAGAAATTGGACCCCCCCTTTCCTTTCAACTTTCCAAGAAAGTGCATGTAACAGTCCAATTTTTTTCTTCCATACCTAAGACAAAATAAACAAACACTATACCTGCTCTCTTGATCAAGAAGAAGCATTTGCTCTTGTAAGGAACATATGTACATTTGAATGAAAGTGATATTTCTTATTGTATATACAAGAGCATCTACATTTTCTCCACTGAAGGTTGTTCAAGATGCTATACTTAGCAGCATTGTGAAATTCCAGCACACATTTTCTATCGTGAATATACCTACAAGGCAAAATGTTACGTCTCAGTTTCAACTACCAAAACAACGCTTGTTTTCTTTTTCTCTAAAGAATTCTGCGTGCTTATTACTGTACAGAAACTTATTAACATTGAAGACGACTCAAGTAAAAAGCACAATACAAATAGCAGTTCAAAATGGAAATGGTTAAATCGACAAAAAAAAAGGTTGAATTTTAGAATAAAAATTAAAAAACCAAACCTTTCAAAGAACCACACTGTTCAGTCTGTACTTTCAGTCCTTTCCTTAAATCTGTTTTGAAAGATTAGACAATGTGTTTGCTGATAAAATTTTCCAGCAGGATCAAAGTGTACATGTATATACAGACTTTATTAGAGATCTAATGCATCACTGAGGCATTGCATCAACACCAGATTCATATTAAACTGGATATAGAAAATAAGTTAATGCCAGATTACAACTGCCTAGCAGGGCAACTTGCAATTGCCATAAATGTTACAGCAAGTTTACAGCACTCTAGTCAATTAGTATTTAGTCCAAAATACAGAAGACCAAAGTTAACGCTTGCATTCTGTTTGCAAAGCAAGGTTATATCGCTAATAAATAAGCTTTCTTAGAACTCTAAAGTTGAACAAGGTACAAAAGAATGTCTTCATAATGTTGTAGTTCATAGATCTGGGGAACAGAAGGAAGGGGCGGGGCGGGGTGGGGGGCAAGGAGTAGGAGGCCACCATAGGTCGCATTCTGAACAGGAATGAATGCTATGTCTCCAGCCCGAGCTGCTTTAACTCGTGACGATCTCCTTGCTGTCCTCCACGAAGCGGGTGAAGCGGAAGTTGGTTCCGTTCTCACTGCTTGCCATTTTCTCCAGGCCGGCCAGGGGAGCATTGGGCTCTGAGTTCTGGAGCCTCTCCAGGTTTCCCGTCAGCCCACTAACAGGTGAGCTGTTCCCACTGCCGAGGCTTCCAGGAATTGGAGGGATGCCACCGTTCTGAATGACGGAGATCTCGTTGGCCTTCATCGCCAGCCCGTTGGAGAGCGCTGCTGCATACTGATTCCAGAAGCTGGAAGGATCCCCACTTCCTGATCTTGCCGCCAAATCCTTCTGGAACATTTCTGGGAACTTGACGGGATTGCCTCCTAGAAATGTCATGGGGCCATCCACAGAGAGCCGCCGACCCCGTCGTGCAGGGGTGCTATTCCACATGTGAGTGCCCATGTGTACCTGAGATATGGGGAGGGCAGGCAGAGAGACAGAGAGAGAGAGAGAAAAAAAAGAGGAGGGGGAGAGAAGCTTAATAGCTGAATCTGTCTCAACTCATATCCCAAATGTCCACAAAGCAAGTGGCCTAAATGTCTATTCTCATCATGTGACAGACAGTGAAGGCAACAGGAACCATCCATTCCTCCTGTCTAGTAATAACGTGTTCACTCTCTGCAGCCCTGGGCTGTCTCCCCTCTTCCAAGGCAAGGATGCCTTACTTACTCTTTTTTTATTAACCATATTTAGCTTATAATGGCCTCAAGCAAGCCAGGCAGTGGCGGATAGCTCCTTTCAGGGTTAGAATTGTTAGGTCCACTCTCATTGCAATGGTAAGTATTGTATCTGACACCCTTTACCCTATAAATGTCCTTTTCAGATGGGGAGAAGGTATCCCTCCCTGATTGCCCATTGGAGGGCCTGCGTATGGAGAGAAAAGCCAGAAAGTAATTATTCATCTCACATTACTGGGAGCAATCTCCAGAGAAATACTCTGTCAACAGAAAAATGTACACACTAAGAGCACTCAACTGTTGCTCTAGAACTTAAGCATATTTGCTTTATTTCCAACACATATCAGTAGGAAATGCTGTATAATCAATTATCATAATACCCATTAGCAGAGCAGTGACGTTATTGTTTTTAGACAAACAAACCATGCTGGACTGCATAGTTATGAAAAATAGATACATACGCCGAGAACCCTAATTATTAAGTGATACGGGCAGCACACAGGCCACGTGGAGGTCTTTAATCAATACCCCATGGCAACGCTAGGCTTTCTTGGTAGGTAAAGCAATTCATTTGGTGCACTTAGCGAGACAACAGAGAGAGGCCGCTGCTTCGCTTAGGTACCAAATTATTCAATGTGCACTGACATTCAGTGAGCTGCAGCTTGCCCTTGTCCCTGCCATGATCCTGACCCTCCCAGGCACCCTCTCCCCCATTTCTCCCCCGTCAACCATGTGCAGCAGGTTCCCTTGCAAGAGCTCTCTCCCTGAATATCTGGGCTGATGACTCTGGGGGCATGCATTATAGATAATCAATGGCAGTGGGACAGGGTTGATGGAGCAGGTATGGTGCAGAGAGAGCAAGGTACCTTAAGATTGCCTTTAGTCGTGAAAGCTCTTCCACAAATAGTGCAAGCAAAGGGTTTCTCTCCAGTGTGAGTTCTCTCGTGAATCTGCAGGGCACTCGATGAGGAGAAGGTTTTGCCACATGTGTTGCAGTAGTGCTGCTTGGGAGTTCTCCTGGGCAGAGCAGGGAGCAGAACTGGGGATGTGGCAGAGGAAGACAGAGGCCCAGACGGGACGTGACTGGTGGGGGTGTCCTTACTGTCCTGAGGAGAAACATGCACGAAGCCGTTGACCTCTGTCTTGATGAGAGATGACAACGAGTTGGCGGGAATCACCGCTGAGTTCTGATTGGGGCCAAGGTTGGAACTGGGCTCAAAGAGCTGGGATGGCAGATCTCGCATCTGATGTGTCAACATGTGCTGCTTCAAATTACCCTTTGTGGAAAAGCCACGATTGCAAACTGTGCAAATAAATGGTCTCTCTTTGGTATGACTTCTATAGTGAATGTCCAAGGCACTCTGACAAGCAAATGTTTTGCCACAAATGTCACAAGCAGTGTTTTTAAATTTACCCCGGTCTCTAAAAGGGAAGAGGATCCCCAAAGAATCTTCTTTGATGATTTTCTCTGCGTGACTAGATGTCAAATCCAAAGCCCCACCATTCACTGGGGTGGGAGACAAACCATTGGCAAACTCGCTTGGGACCGCTCTCTGTGGTTTCTCCTCAATGCTGGGTGACTTGTGGAACTCCTGCGTGCTGTTGGACGGGGACAGAGCCTGCATGGAAGAGGTAGACTCTGAGATGGCTGGGCTGCCAGCACTTTGGCTTTCCATGTCACCACCCACTGAGGATGAATCATTGGTCAGGACATCCCCCTCGATGGACCCATTCTCCACTGACTTCAGGCTGGCCTGTAGCTGCTCTGCCAGGCCAGCATTGATCATCTTCATCTGATTTTCCAAAGCAGCGATGCTCGACATCTCGAGGGGCAAAGGCGAAGAGGATAAGCTGTCTTGGGAGGCGTCTGCAGACTTAGGTGTATCAGGGATGCTGCCCTCAGGACAGTCTTCCATGTTTTCATCAGAGAAGTTGTCTAGGTCATCAAAATTTTTCTCATCAAAGGAACCTGTGTCAGACTCCATGGACTCAGAGTAGCTGTCGGGGACTGGGGTGTTGGGGATCTGGCCTCCCATATGCATTCGGATGTGCTGCTGCAGGACCACAGCGTTCGTGAACTTCTTCTGGCAGATGGGGCAGGAATGCTGGACTCTGAGCGGGGGCATAGCACGATGGACACTGTAGTGGGTTTTAAGATTCCCTTTCGTGGTGAAAGCCCGGCCACAGATCTTACACTTAAAGGGCCTCTCCCCAGTGTGTGTCCTGTAGTGCATTTTCAAGGCGCTCTGGCAGCTGAGAACCCGGTGGCAGATGATGCACTCATTGGGGTCAGTGGCCTTCTTGTCAATGTTTTCTACCAGTTGCTGAAGCTTGGACGTCTCTGATGCCTGAGCTGAGTCCAGGAGTCCCCCAAAAGGAAACTTGGCCTTGAACTGCTCGGACATGAGCGGCAACAAAGGGTTGGTGAAGGTGGTGGCACTGCCCGCGGGGCCGCAGTCTGCCGCTGGGGAGCTCAGGACGCTACTGCTCGCCGTCGGGACTGAGTTGGTGACCATGCCACTCTCTTCGCTTTTGCCACCAGAGGGTGGCAGAGTGGACCCTTCGGCTTCCTCTGGGAGCCCACCTAGGTTTCTTGTGGCTGACTCAGGGCCCCCGGAGTCACTTTTGACTGAGCCTGGGGGGCTGGTGGCAGAATGGCTGATGGGGATGGGGGCTGGCTCTTCCGTCTTGATGAAGGGTATGAGGCTTGGGAGGGTTGGGGGCAACGGCAGGCCGACTGAAGTGGTCAGAGTAGGCAGGACTGGTTTGGTGTCTAGCCAGCTGGTGACTGGCTTCTCTGGAGGGATGGACATGCCATATGGGATGCCAGTACTCGTGGGGATATTGTCCAAATGCTCAGGCACAGGATAGGGGTTCATCTGGATATGAGGGTATTTCTCTTTGTGGCGCTGAAAGTGGACTTTCAGATTCCCCTTGGTGGAGAACCTGTTCCCGCAGATGTTGCACTTGAATGGCCTCTCTCCGGTATGGGAACGCAAGTGGATCTGCAAGGCACTGTCACTCCCAAAGACCTTCGCGCAGAACCTGCACTTGTGTTTGAAGAATGCCTCATCGGAAGTACTTTTCGCTTCAAAGGCAGTGACATTTGGTGGCTTGCTTTTTCTTTGCTGGGCCAAGGCAGACAAGGAGTTTAAATCCTCTGCAGTTGTTCCGATGTTGGGCAAAGGGCTGGGGAAAACCGAGTTAGCGGAGGCTTGCTGAGGTAGAAGTGGATTAGACGCAGGACTTAATAAACTGCTTATTGCAAAAGCTGGTGAGGACGATGATGAGACCGCTGGGTTGCTGACATGGGAGGCCCCAGCACTTGAAGCCACTTTTTCAGAGGACGGGGTGGTAACTGCCGCTGCCAATATGTTCATATTGGGAGAAGAGCCGCTGTTGGATGGAATGATGGTGTTGCCAGAACTGCTCTGAGGTAGCTGGATTGGGGGTAGCTGTTTCACACCACTAATGCTGGCAGATTGGCTGGCGAGGCTCTGTGCCAATCCAGCTGCTGCTGCCAGCTGCTGAGATAAATGGGAACTTAGCGTGGACAAGGGGTTGGCAGATGTTCGTAAAGTACCTTGAGAAGGACTAGAAGATGTTGGCAAGTCTGCATTCTGAGAAGCCAACAGCAATATTTGGTGACGAATCTGTTCGATCAATTGCAGCTGGTGGATCTGCTGCTGCTGCAGAGCTAGGAGTTGTTCCATGAGGGCTGGGACGGCCAGCTTGCCCCCAGAGGCCCCGCCGCACCTCGCTTCCTGGGAGAACTGGGCCACCGCCACCTTGGTGCTCTGGAGGTTCTCGATGATGACGTTGCTGTTGATTACGGAGAAGTTGCCCAGTGTTGTCAGGTCCCCGAGTTGAGGTAGAGAGGTTGTGATCGCTGAGGTACCTGTGGAGGAGCTGCCGCCGCCGCCGCTGCTGCTGCTGCTGCTGCTGCTGCTGCTTGGGGCGGTACTGCTGTGGCTGCCGCTGGAAGTGCCGCTGCCGCTTTTGTTAGCAACCGGGGCCTCCACCTCCATGGACTCTTCCCTGTCAAGTCCGTTGTGTTCTGAAAGGTCGCTGCAGTCCACTTGATCTGTTTTGTTAACTGTGTCATTCATTTGTTCATCAGGATTATCAGGAGGGGGGCTGGGGGAGAAGGTTTCGGGTGGGGAGGCTGGATTTTCATTTACGATTAAAACTAATTGATTTTTAGTACAGTTCTTCTTGTGGAGCAGAAGATCTGATAATTCAAAGAACTCGGCACAGCACCGGCCACAGACGTGGGCATCCTTGCTCTTAGTAGGGCGACTCGGTTGACCCTTTTCTGTGTCTCCTACAAATGTCAAAAAGGTGCAGGATTAGAAAAGGGGCCAGGACACACAGTCACCTATGACTTAAAAAAAAAAAGGCTAATCAATGGTTTTCCACCTGCAAAACTCAAAACTGTAGCCCTTGAAAACCAATCAATATTACCTAAGAACATCCATAATTAATTTGTAAGGGTATGGAGGAATTCCTATCCATCCGGTATTTCAGAGAGTCATGGCCTTCATATAATTCATCAAAATATAAAATACTACAAATGGGAGACATTGGTGCATGATGAAATTCCATAGCAAAATATTGATTTCCAATCTTTTATACACCTTATTGTCTACTTGTCCGGAGAGGGTCCACAAACCATTCTGAGGACTTATTAGGCTCTTGAGTTTCTGTCAACCTTATTCATTTTCAACCGACTCAAAGATATCTGTGACAGTTTGTTCTGTCACTAAACTAATTTGTAGTCATTCAGGTTCCAATCAGTTGTTGACAAGGGGGAAAAAAATGCATATCACCAAGCTGTAGACTGACAACTTGAAAATCACCTCAAGCCCCTACCTCGAACCTGCGCTAAGTCTGATCCCTGACAAACGCACTTTAGTCACATCAGTAACAAATCCTCCAGACCGTTCCTCAAAACTCACTTGAACACAAAGGGATGGCAACACACACAATGAAGAGAAACACAATGATCCTAATCCATTACAAGGCTTGCCTGGCACCTATATATCACCCCATGGCATGTTTATTTTTAAAATTAAAGATGTAACTCCGGCTACCATTCCACTAATCAAAGAATATATGCCACCATGCTCCGAATGGCAACATTATGCCTCTAAATATTTCATCAAAAGTGCTCTCTATGTCTATAAAAACTGGCACAAGATTTACATTTCTGATTAAACATCAACTTCAAGAAGGATGTGCAGTTGAGAAGTGCTCCCATCTCCTAAGAAATAATTCTTGGTTTAGAGTTTGAAAATGCTTTGCAGCTCTCCTTGTCTGAATGCCTTTAAAAACAGTTTGCTCTTAACTGTTATCAATCGTTTAACAGATTGTCCTGAACATTTTATTATAAAAATCCCTTTATTTCATGTTTGTTTCCATTGGTTGCTCAGATGTCTTCTCACTAAGATCCATTTGTAAATTAAACAGAAAAATCTCTAACTCCAAGCTAACATCCTATTCAAAGACAGGATGGCTTCCCATTGTTTGCCCAGCATGGGGAACACCAACTTCTGTTGTACAAATGGTGTGTGGTCATCTACGAAGGCTGTGAAGAAAAAAAAAAAACTGTTTAATTCAAGGATTACCTCCCTGCATGCTTTTCTGCAGAACTGAATCAGATAATAGGTAGTTTCCATGACTTCCAAATTGAATCTCCCAGAAAACTTGCAGAAAACAAAGTAATTGCAGATATGAATAAATGTAAAATCAAAATGCTGCTTTTTTCAGTAAACTTAAAAGTCCGTTGGAAAGGGTCAGCTGTTTGCTTTTTTGTAGTAAACATTTTTAAAAACTTGACTAGTTTTGCATTCCAGAAAATAAAATTAATACCTAAATACTAACTTCTGGAAATTCCTTAACTCTATTTGCCTTGAGTGATGCCGAAGTTGATTAGAATCCCTGGTGAAGTATGCCAAACGTACGCACACTTTATTCACTGGGAGTGTTATTTGAGTAGCTAAGTTATACTTAACAAGCTAGCTTTCCTAATACCCATCTTTTAATCTCCACAAGGGCATAGTGCAAGATGCATTAACACCACCAAACAAATCTTAGTTGCAGCAGAAAATACCAATAATGATTTGGTTTTAATTTAATGTTTAAGCATTCTAATTGGCACTGGATTCCTATGCACATGGAAGGTGCTGTTTTAAGCCCTTTCTGCTTCTCCCCTGCCTTAAAATCATATAAACAAAATATTAGATGAAATTTGCTGAAGTTATATTGCTTAACTTGGGACAAAAATAATGTGACAAAAATTCTCTTTAAAGCTTCTTATTTTGACAATCAATTTTAAATGATGCATCCATTTCAGATGCTTATTTTAAACTAGGAAATGCAATTCCTAATATATTCAACAGAAATGTTATTTCTTTCTCTTTGCACATTTCCATATGTAATGGTTATGTTTCCATCTACTTTTACAGCCAATTATGAAGGAACAAAAGCTATTCTGTTTGTTCACACATTTTCAACAAAATGCATTAAAACTATTATGTCAGCATGTTCTATTAAGCTCTGCATTCAGTGGAAAATACTTTTCAACCAGCTCACATTTATCAAAACATAAAGCCACTTTAAAACACAGTTTTGCTTGGTCAGCTGGGCTTAGACAAATAATGACAGATTCAGAACTAAATAACTAGCAAGGGAAATCAGAAAACTGACTTCATCAATTGTACACATTACAATGTAGTTGCTTCAAATATTTAGCACATCTGTGCTCACGATTAAAAGAGATTTTAATTCTTTATAACTTGCAAACATCTGATATTCTCATAATATACAGAGAAAATAAAAGGAAGGTTACTTTACAGGATTTAGCTGATTATTACTTTCCTGCACTCAAATTCTGCATTTGTGCTGCCTCGAGACTCACTTGAGAATTTTCAAGTTTTTCAATCTAAACATTTTTATATTTAGGATTGTGCTAACTGGATGGAAAATATAGATGTTTAAAAATAAATGCAAATGCCTGCTTGCTTTTAAGAGACTGTGTTAAAAAGTTGTCCATATTTTAGCTTAGGTTTTCACAACATTTTTAATAAGCTGACATTTGATCTCACTGTAGAGTGAACTAATTTAATTTCCTGATGTTTATGAACACCCCCACATCCCCAAAATACTGGTATCTATTTTGATTTATTTCAAAAGCAGGTGTCGCTACACTGCAATAATTCTTAACTTGAAATCTATCTGCATTCGGAACAAAATTCCAAGGAAACAGTCTTTTACTTAAAAAAAAAAAAAGACAAAACATGAGGACTAGTTGGACTCTTTACCAAAGGGAATATTTTAATTTGTAGTAAGATACACACACACACATACACACACATTCTCTCTCTCACACACACATACACACACACACACACACACACACACGTACACACGAACATGTTATAATTAATTTTTCTGATTGTCTGCTATCTTGTATCTCTCTCAGTAATCTGTTACACAAGATTGCAACTGGTGACCCCATTATAGTAAATACAGTTGCCTTGTTCCTTGTACTATGGTGAAAATAACATTCCTGTTCCTTTTCTATGGATTTTGCATACAGATTATTTTGTAAGCAACCCTAGTCAGATAGCAAAATTTAAGAAGCAGTGGTTTTCTAAGTATGTGCACACAAACAGATATTTGGAATTTTCTGGGCCTTTTGTTGGGGGGGCGGGAAGAGTGATCTTATACCTCCACCAAATTTATACTAAAATCCCAGATGCTTTAGTTCCTGTTGTACTATTTAGGTACCTGATGCCTAATTCAAATTTGTCAGTTTTTCATCATCTGAACCAAACTGCAGAGTCGGAAGCAGAAAATTGAAGTGTTCTACCATATCTGTCTACTGAGAAAATAAAAATAAAACTATGTCCCACACAGAAAGGTTTAGCCAGCCAGGAAGGGAAAAAACAAAACAAAAAACAAATGCAACCACCTTACTCTACTAGGTTTAGTTTTCTTTTTTGGAGCTCTTCAGAAAGACACTTCACTGTACTTCCCATTATCTTAAGATTGCATTTACACTCCCTAATAGAATTTCTCATGATAGTGGTTTAGGAGTCCTTAATTTTAACAGCCTGTTCCTTTTTTTATCACAAACATATTTGATTGATTGGTCTTTTTTTTTTTTTTCTTTTTCTTTTTTTTTTTTTCTGCATCGACCTGGGAAAAGTCTGAATCCAAATGGAAAAGTCTGAATCCAACTTAGGATTCCAAAGAAATTTTAAACACTACGACATATGCTGTGCATATTTTCTGTGATGTCTAAAGTTTCCTCTATGTGATATGCCACCAAATGACAAATTTCCTGGTACCCTTCAAGTTCACTCACTGTTCTGACGGGGATTAGAGTATTCTCTTGTGGAAGAATACAAGTGAAATCTCTGAAAAAATAACAACATGGACGAGGCGTTGCTTTTAAAATAGTGATCCAAGCCCACCTAATGTACACAATAAATGAAAGGGGAAAATGTCTTTCCCATGGATGAATCAAACTGAACACTAGATGGGGTTCCAGTTGCAAGGGTTTGTTCAAAAACTTCTTTGTGGCTTTCCTATTGCAGTGACGCGTAAAAAAGAGACTCCTTAAGGCGAGATCTAAACTTTGACTACATAAACATTGGCAAAGGCACAAGAAACTAAATCCCTGTTGTTTGAGGGTAAAACTGAGCTATGGGAACTACCTGTCAATCTTCCCCTTTGGGGGTCTGGCATCTGAGGGTGACAGGGGAATAAGGTTAGGAAAAGACGCCAAGCTGATAAGGTGAAACTAAAATAAACTACTAACTTCCTGCTAAGTGACTAGCAGGATTCAATTTGGGGGTCACTGGGAAGATACTGAAGGACATATTATGATCTGGACCTTGTCACCTTTGCATGGGAGGAGGCTAGCAAAGGTTAAAACAGCTTGACACATCTAGGTTTTCTAAAGCCTGGCACATAAACTTTTTTCTTTTTTGGGGGGAGGGGTGTTAGTTCTTTGGTTAACTTTCCACCTCTTTTGCCAAACTACTTCAGTTTTAATAATCTAAGAATATTTTTGGAATATTCTGGTGCTATCTGCACCAAGAAGTGTCTCAGAAAAACCTAGTTGAGGTTGTAGAAGGAGTTTATTCTAGTTCCTACACAGAGCTTGGCTTTTGACAATTTCAAAAACTTAACCAGTCTGCCTATTTCTGCCCCAGTAAGATCTCCACCATAAAAATGTGGAGTTCTACCTTCTAAAAGGTTCTGTTGGTAAAGACAACTTGCTACCTCCAAAAGTATAAAGAAAACAAATAGAGCCCCCAAAGAAGAACCTATACGTTGGCACTTGTGCCAATGAACTCTAGGGGAAATGTGATGTAAAATAAACCACAAAACATTCAGTATCACATATTCACTTTCACACATACTACCCTCATGCCTAACTAGACTTTGCTCATTTATGTGTTTGTTTTTTAATATTTTACAAAGTATGTGTGGCCTGAAGCAAATCACAAAAAAAACAGTTTGCATTTTCTCATTCAGAATCTTCCATTATGACAAACTTAAAACAGCTCTGATTAAACATGAATTCTTTCCAACTGCCTTATCTTGCAGGTGTTGGTTTTTTTTAAAAAAAGCAATTAATTACAGTTCTCGCTAACCTTTTGGGCCCAGAGATCAATGTGTTGCTATGAAGCTGCTCAAAATGAGCAAATTACTTCGGTTAAATAATAGAATTTCATTATTAATATAAATAAGAGGAATTTTTATGATACTTCATATGATTGTTAGTGTTTTATCTGCAATTCATGGTGTTTCATTCTTCCAATATTATCTTTTCCTTGAAAAAACTGAGCACCAAAATACTTTTTAAATAAATGAATGGAGTCTAAATGGGCCATCCATGTAGAAGTTACAGGAATCTTAAAAACGCCACCAAAGGAAGAACTCCAACACACACACACACACACACACACACACATGCACACATGCACTTACGCACACAAAACACATAACTGAAATCCCAATTTGTAGTAAAGAGCCCACATATAAAATCATTAGATTGTAATATTCCCTTTCCTCAGAATTATTTAACTTGATAAACAGTCTTTCCAGTAGCAGTCATCTTTCTGCAAGTAATTCAAGACTTGTTGAATATCATTTAGGAGACAAGTCATATTTGCCATAATCTTGGTTTCATAAGAAGCAGAAAAATTACCAAGTTTAGAGTGTTTCTGGCATAGCAGCTGTACACTAAAGTAAAATAAAATACCAGCATCCTGAAATCGACCAAATACTCATTTTTGTTTTTGTTTTTGTATTTTGTTTGCATTTGCTTCAGATGAAGCTGTCTGTGTGGCTCCTTAGCATGGTCTGGATTTTCTTTGTAAGCACACACACACTCAAACACACACAGGCAGGACACACAACACCAAGCAGCCCTAGCTGCTTTCAGCTTTGGGAGCTGCTTCTTTAGGGCTCCTGTAACTTAGGTCTACAAACTTTTCTAGGTCTCACTCTGGGTAGAAGTCATACAATCTGAGGTGCTGATAAATGAGAAGTGCATGAACTAGATTTAATTTGGTATGTTTCATATTTCATTTGTCATATTTCAAAGACCATCTCAAGACATAAGAAAAAGTAATCAGAATGTTTGAAAAGGGGCTTGCCTTCTAAAAATATAACAATGTTTCTTTACGTAAAAAACAAAACAAAACAGAAAATCCAGCTACTCCTAGAAGTATGGGTTATATGTGGGGAGAAGAATGAGATTGCTGAACTCACTGCAGAAAAGGTGACTTTTAAAAGGTAACCTTGAGTTATGTCATGAACTTTCAATGCCATTTATTTCAGAACTACTCCCAAATAAAAGAACTGGAGTATGTTAGGCCCTCCTGTATGTCCAGCGTTGGGGGAGGATTACTTGTGTACTAATATTATTACAACACACTAAATCCTGAAACCCTATTACAAAATCTACCCTCTAGGCAACTTCTCCCAAACTTATTGTTCAACCATGTAAAAACAGTCATAACCTAAAACCATTACTACTGAAGAAAAAGAGGAGGGGGTGGGGAGAGGTGAGGAAAGAAGGCTGGGAGGGGGTGTTTCCTAGGGAGCCCCTAACAGTTTACTGCTTCTTTAGGACAATGTACCAGCTTTTGCGAAGAAAAAAGAAAGGAAGGAAGAGAAAGAAATCAAAAGAAGGAGAGAAAAGAGAAAGAAAGGAAACTTGATTGAGTTACTTAACTTACCTCAAAGCTCAAATAAACTAAATTGAAAAAAATAGTACTAATAAAGAATAATGGTAAGAGGTAGTGAACTCCTTTTATATTATTGCTTTATGAGAAGACTTAACTATTAAAAATTCCTGATACTGAAGGCAAAAGGCAAAGATCTTCCACGCATCATTTCTCCTCGAAGGCCGAGACTTTTTTTTTTTAAATGTAGAAAACCAGTACAAATTTACAAAACACACTATATAATGCTCTCTTATCTCTAGTTTGCTTTTTTGTGTACAAACTGTTAACCTGAACAGTTTTCCGGTGCAAAAGGTCTCACCAGAAACTTTAGGAAAGATGAGTGTGACTGCGGGAAGCAGAAGAAACTAAGCTGAGAAAACCCGGAAAAATACTCGGCGCAGCTGCTGCGGCCTTGGGTCATCTCACCTCCATCTACCCCGCGTGCTCGCTTTCGCTTGGGGTGGAAAGCGGGGTTCAGGGGCTCTTTTCAGCGGACTGAGAAATCGCAGAGGCCGTGGGTAAGGATTCAAGCTTGAGGAAACACTGGGGGCCGGGAGGAGGGCTATTGTAAAGCATTTCTTAATTAATTTCAAGTCCTCCATTTTTTTACAGGGACCCCAAGTCAGGATTCCCCTTTCCCGACATCAGGGGTAAAGGGAGCGGGGGTCCCTTCGCTTCACTGTGCCCCAGCTCTACCGAGAGGCAGGCCTCTGGGAAACGAGCCGGGGACCTGGGGGCCCGGGCGGCCGCAGCTTAGTGGGCTGAGGTGCCGATCAGGGTCACGCTTCGGAGCTCTGTCGGGGCCCAGCTCCCTCCTTCACACCCCAAAATGCCGCCTAGGGCGTGGGCATCCCGAGTGGCATCCGGAGCCGCTGAGACCCCGCCGAGATTGCTCCTTGTGCGTCCTCCCACAGCCGAGAGGCCAGCATCGTGCCGGGACGACCCGGGGACCCGAGTCCGGGCGCCGCTACACCGCCTCGGGCGCTAGGCCTGGGAGCTTTGAGGCCGGTACCGTGAAACACCTTTAGGAGCAAGGAGGGATTCCAGGTGTCCTCCCTTTGTACCCCAACTCCCTGCCCGGATCTCTTCCACTCTCTGCCATAGCCCCCACACACAAACTTTGTTCTGGACTTGTTCAGCCCCTTCGGGACCCACAGTTGTCGCCTCCATCGGAGAAAACAAGTGCCCCTGTTTCAGGGGGGATTCCACTCTGGCTGGCCACCCGCAAACCTGGAAAACTATTCTATGACTTCTTCCCTGACCCCCCTGGAAGTAGGGAGCACCACGATCCGCAGAGGGCGCATACCGACCAGAAAGATTTTGGGGGGCAGAGGGTGCAAGTGTTGTGGGAAGAGATGCGGAGATAAATTTTGCGAGCCAGACCCCGACACTTTCCCCGTCCGTTTGCACCGTCTCCGGAACAACTGGCGGCCAGCAGCACTCTCCACCCCGGCCGCAACCCCAGCGGGTCAGGCGCTGGCGCCCCGACACCAGTCCCCATCTTCTTGCAGCTCTGAACCTCCAAAGACACCCGGTTCTGCCTCGCAGGCCGAGGGGGAGTGTGCGTGGGGGCAGGGGGGCGCAGCGAACTCCCCCACGCTCGGAGTTCAGCCCAGCGCCCGAAGTAAACTTCCTTACCGCTGGCAGCAAGGCCGGGCGGCGGAGGCCGGGCCGGGTGCCCTGGGGCCGGCGCCGGGAGCGCTAGGGGCCCCGTGCGGTCAGGCCGGGGCGACCTCCACCCGCACCCACGCCTCATGGGGCTCCCGGGTCTTGGCCGCGGCTGGGATCCCCGGAAAAGCAGGGACGGAGAAGCCAGGCCGGCATGCCCGCCCTCCTTCCCCCGGGAGGACCCAACAACTCCGGAAAGATCCTGCCGGGAGATGTGCTCGCTTTCCCCGGGGCAGCGGGGGAAAGCCCAGCAAAGGCACATTGAAAATTAAAAAGAAAAAAAAAATTACGCCGAGTGGAAGAAGCAATCGGGGCCGCGGCGGCGGTGAGGTAGGGGGCGCGGGGGCCAGCCGCGTGTGAGTGGGTCCGAGTGTGCGTGAGTGTGAGTGCGTGTGTGTGTGTCCACGGCGCGGGCCGGAGCACTCACCATCTCGCCGGGGGAGCGAGGCCACTTCGGGGTCGGATTGGAAATGTTGAGGCTTCGCTTGCTTCCTCCGCGACATGCTGGCTCAAACATCAGCTGGGGCAGAATAAAAAATTACTAAAAAAAAATCTTCTCAAAATTACGGAAATCGAGCGGCGGCGGCGGCGGCGGCTCCCCCCGCCCGCCGGCCCGCCCGCCCCCTCCCCGGCTCCCCGGCCCCGGGCGCAGCGCGCATGTGTCCTGCTATAATTATGATTATCAATAATGCATTGCGATTAATCATAGAGGGGCTCTTTGAAAGGCGATTGGCACCGGGCCAGCGCTATTCAAACCCGCTCGCCTTAATCAATTAGTTCGTGATTTGCTGCAGACCCCTGTCTCTCCGCGCGCTGGCCCAATAAGCCGGCCGCGGGGCTGGCTCTGCGCGCCGCGCCGCCCGACACTGGGTTAACCCTCTTTGCGACCGCCCGGGACTCCGCGGCCCGGCCGCCGGGGGCCGGCCTCCTCTCCACTGCGGGCCCGGCGCCCCGGCAGGCGCCCCCCGCTCTCTCCCTCTCCCCTCCCTCTTCCCTCCCTCCTTCGCCCCCCCCCACAATCCCGGGCTGGGCCGACCCAAATTAGCATGCCCTCCCCGGAATTGAGCCGCCCCGGGTGGGGGGTGGGGCCGGGCGGCGAGGGCTGGGGACCCGGGCTGCCGGCGCGCTGCGAACTTCCCAACTCGGGGGCGAGGCGCGCCGGCCCGCGGGGGGAGGGAGTCCCGCGGCGGGATCAGGGGGGAGGGCGTCCCGTTTCGTGAGTGTTTCTTCGTTTCTTTAAGAGCTACCAGAAAGCAGCCCACCCCCACCCCCATTAAAAAAAAAAATAAGCGAGTGGGGAAGAGCCAGCCCCACGCCGGTCCGCCTCCCGCCCACGGCTCGGCCTCCCTCCCGCCTGGCTCGGCGCTCCTCCGCCCCGAGTTCTCCATCCCCTGGATCCCGGGCTCGCGGGGGCGCGGAGAAGAGGATCCAGGAAAGGTTTGGGAACCTGATGGGTTTGTGGCTGGGGGGAGGGGCAGTTCTCCCGCCACCCCATCCCCTCCCCGCCAGGGGCACTGATCCTCCAGCTTCTTGCTTGCTCCCTCGCTCCCTTTCTCTACCTCGGACATTCCCAGGACAATTAGGGCTGAAGTTTTCGGGAGAAGCAGCCCCGAGCCCGTGGGATAAGGGGGCGGCCCGGCTCCGCCCAGGACCCCTCCCGGACCTCCCCCCCGGCTGCCCCGGTTGGCTGCAGGGCGCGTCACTCCGCGGGGAGGCGGCGGCAGCGGTGGCGCCGCAGAGCCCCGGGCGGGCGGAGAGCGGGGACCGGCCTGGGCTCCGAGTTCAGCTCCGGCCGGGGGGAGGGGAGGGGCTGCGGCTCACACTGAGCGCAGCAGCGAGCACCGGCCTAGGGAGACACAGCCCGGGCGGACCCGGCACTGGACTGGGCCAGTCCCTGGGACCCCTGGGCACCCCGCCCTGGGGAGGGGGCCGCGCCCCAGCCTTCCGGGACGAGGTGGCGGCGCAGAGCCGGAAAGCGGGGTGGGGGGAGGGCGGTGGGGAGGTGTTCTGTCCGAGGCTGCCTGGCGGCGCCGAAGCTCGCCTCCACTTTTTGGGCACTTGCCGAGCGCGGCGCCCGAACTTTTCGCTCTATCACCATCTCCCTCAAGCTGAGATGCAACCTCCCTACCCTCGCCCCAGAGCCCAGAGCCAGGAGCCCGATCCCTCTGCCGGGCTCAGGCGCCCGCGAACCTGAGACTCGGTACGCGGCTCAGCCTAGCTCTTTCCCCTCGCGCCTCGGGGTCTCCTCGCTCCAAGGTTCTCGAAGTCTTGCGCCCGAAGGACTAAACTAAACTAAACTTCGGCTGAGTAATGGGGGAGGAGGGGGGTGCAGATACACAATCCCTGCCCTATCTCACGATCAGGAAAGGAGAGGGCTCATAAGGACGCCCCAATTCGCGAGCGCCCTTGAGTCTGGCCGGTGCCACGGTCGGTTCGCGCGAAGTGGGCACCGGTCTCCCGAGCCGACTTCGTGTACTCCGGACCTGTACTGCGCTCCGGTAGAGGACCCTTCCCTTTCTCTTAGCTTCTTAAATCTTTTCTTTTAAGGTGTAAATGTGTGTGTGTGCCGATGAATGTTTCTGTTTTTCATCTGCTGACTTTATTTTTTTTTATTGGTATAACTTCTCCCTTCTCTCTCCCTGCTCGTC
This sequence comes from Homo sapiens, assembly GCF_000001405.40. NCBI lineage: Eukaryota > Metazoa > Chordata > Mammalia > Primates > Hominidae > Homo > Homo sapiens. The sequence continues at coordinate 51,153,387 of NC_000016.10, forward strand.
CGTTTTCCACCTTTTCTCTTACTTATCTTCTGCCCTCGCTCACTCCCTAACACACACATTCACACCCTCTCCGCCTCGCTCTCCCGTTCTCGCCAGGTCCTGATGGGTACAGTAGATTTTGATAAAAAGACAAACGAAGCTATCAGTGGGGCTGATGTTGAAGAATGAAGATAATAATGTTTCCATAGGTGGTGCTTCAAATGCCATTATTTCTCACTGAATATTTAAAGAGATCCCTCGGCAAAGATGGATCTGCGCACTCCTGGGGTGTGAGCGGCTCGCATCTCCCAGACCCCGGGGAACGTGTACGGGAGCACGTGTAAATCCCGCACCCGCCTCCATCTCACAAACAGGGGTCCTCGCACACCCACCAATCCACACTGTCCCAGGTACACGAACGCGTTTGTGTGCACTTGCACACTCCTTTCCCGGAATGTGCCCGTGTTTGGAGCCGCCCGCATCCTTCTCTAACAATCTTGGCTTCTTGAAAGTCCGGGCCTCCCGGGCACCGCATGCAGCCAGGAACCTAGCGGAGCTGGCGGTCCCGCAAAGCTTTTCTCCTGGTGCGCGCCGCGTGCGCAGCAGGAAGCTCCCGGGAATAACTTCACACGTGTTTGTTACTTGGTCTACGTGTGATTTAAGATTAAGTGTAGGAAAAAAAAAAATTCCCCCCCCCCAAAAAAACACCACAACAAACAACCAAACGAAATGAACATGCGAAAAGCAGCTACGCGATGCTTAATTAAAAATGGGCGAGCAGAGACGAATAAATTGGGGGATCCAAACTTTAATAACTTTTTTCGTTTTTTTGCGTCCTCGACGGCGTAGAGGCGGGCGTTTCGATCTGCGCTTGGCGTCCCCCGCTAATTTCTTGTTTGTTTTCTTTCCCTCGGTGGCCCCGGGAAAGGAGATGGGAGGTGGAGGAGGGGGGGATGGGAGGAGGGGGATGGTCGGAATGGCGGGGAGAGGAGAATTGGTCTTTATTGTTGATGGCAATACATCAATTACGGGCCATTGTCTCGGTCCCAAGTTCCGTGGTTCGCTGGTGCGGGCGCTGCAGTGTCAGGGCGCTGGCGAGGCTCCGCGTGCCGCGATGCAAAGAAATACATCAATAAAAACAGAAGCAGAGTGGGGGTTATTCTTTATTTTTGTGCGGGTCGAAAGTAGGCGGCGAGCGGGAGTGAGGTGCCACTCCTGGAGTCCCTCCACGCGCCCTGCTCACCCCAGAGACCTGCGCGCTCTACGTGCGGTAGCACCCTCCTAACTCTGGGTGGAGGTGGGGTGGGGGGGGGACTACTGGGGAATCCGGGTAGCGAAGTTTGGACTTGCAGGTTCCGCCAGAGGGCCTGGTACTTAGGGGCTGATCCGCAATAGCGAATGGGGATAGCCCGAAGTGAGGCGGCAGCTGCGCCGGGGTCGCGACCTCACTGGCGGAGAGGAACCGCACCCGGGGGAGGCGCTTGGCGAGTTTTGCAAACTCCCATCTTGGGGGATTGATGCTCGTTCCTACTAATACGTCCCCTTAGTTTTCCCAAGTCCTAGAGTATCCTTGGTGGGTTGGCGGGGCCGAAGGTCTGTGCCCCAAGGCCGCAGGCCACAACTGGGGTCCCAGCCATGAGGTTTCCAGGCTTCTTTGCTCAACCTCTGGTCCTACGAAGGGCAACGTGGGGGGCGTCAAGGCTCGCGCATTCTGAGGCCTGGTTCTTCTACCCTCAAAAGTATCTTATTCTGGCCCGATCTGACCTCGGGTCTGGGATGGGGCCTGGGATGAGGCCTTGCCTGGGCCCCAGACCCTCTTTTCCGTTCCGTTGACGGTGCTTGGCCACCCTACCCCAGAAATGGAGGACGTCTCCAAGTGCTCTCCCTGCACCCCTGTTTCCTCAGTCCCCAGCTCAAGGCCCCGCTGGCCCCCGGCCGAGGCTAGAAGGGCAGTAGTGGAGGTTTCGTTTTCTTAAGCAAGGCAAAAAGCGGCGAAAAGGCGGCAGCGGCGCCCCGGGGGCGGGGGACGAGGCACATCGATGGTATCAACATTATTGATGGGGAAAAGTTCGGGGCAGGAGCCCGGAGATCAGGTTCCCAGTCCCTCCCCTGCCCGGAGGTGGGTGGGACAGAGCGGGTGGCCAGCTGTGTGTGTGTGTGCATGTGTGTGTGTTGGTGGGGGGGTGTTCCTGAATGCACCCGCATTAACCACCTGGGGTTTATTTGTATTTTCCTTGTCTGAAAGTTTGCGGGGGCAGAGGGAAAAGGAAGGGTTGAGGTGGCTTGTACCCTCTAGCCCTTAGGGCTCTTAACTAGGGTTGGGGTTGGGGTTGGAGTTAGGGTTGGGGGAGGGGTGCGGGGAGAACAGGAAAAAAATGACAGAAAAAAAGATCAAGTTTGGAAAGCTCTCCGTAGATTCGGTTATTTTTCCAAACCCCGGGACCTTGCTTCCCCGGGAGTTTCAGAAACTCCTTTCCTACTGAACTGCTGTCACTCAATCCTAACCTCTCTTAGAACACTGGAGCGGCTTCGAACCCGAAGTATGGAGCAGGCTTGGGTGGGTACCTCGCCCCTGGCCAAGTCTACACTGTGCGCCCTCGGCGCACTCGCTCTCCAGCAGTTCAATACCAGCAGCAAAACGCAGGTTTTTGGGGGAACTCCCGCCGCCCGCCACCAAGGGCTATCTCCAGACGGGCGCCGGGTGCAGCGCCGTGACCGGGCGCCCTGGCGCCGGCTCGGGCGCGAAATTCAGCGGTGGCAAGCGGAGGGTGGGCTTGGTAACCACCCGCGCGCGCCCGAGCCAAGAGTCGCGTACTGTCTGCCCGCGGCAAAGTTCGTCTTTCTCCGCTTGGAGGGCTGTTCCTACACCGGTATTAAGAAACCGACTTCGCTAGCGACTGCAAGTGCTTGCGATTTTGACTTTCCGTCCACAGTTGAGCGTCTTGCACTTAAATTCACTGCGCCCCGCATGCAACAGTGCCTCGCCAAGGGGCCTCTGGGTATGAAATTCCTCCCAGAGGAAATGTCCCGACGTAGAGAAAGTGGAAAAGGCTAATCGAATTTATAAAAAGAAAATCTTTCCTCCTTTTGGTTAAATCCCTTTGCGGTTTTCTGAGCGCGAAAAAAAAATTATCACCATGTAATAGAGTGTAGCTAATTCTTAGAACCTAGTAGTAGGATGTTCAGGAAGCCCAGCAGGACGCACAGATTCCCATCTGCCGCTCCAGTAGGACCTTAGTTAGGATCCAGCGAATAGTGGTTAGTTCCTGTGTCTTCTGTTGGAAATAGGTGTGAGATCTGTGGAGTCCTGTTCTCGGAGCGTGTGCATTTGGAAGAGACTGGTAGTCTGCCAGGAAACTCACTTTCATTCATAAATGAGATCCCCTCAAACGACCTCCTTATGGCATTCCTGGATGAACTAACTTAGCACATCTCTTGCAACAAAGTTTTATTTAAAAAAAATTTACGCTGCCACTTTTTCAGCAGAACTTCCATTGTTAAAGAACAGATAAAAAATTCTCAGAGATGTGCATCTTGGTTTTTACAAAAAAAAGTTGTGTGCAGTGAACCCTTGCTGGTGAATGGCTTCTCTTCCTCAGTTTTCATGCAGGAAAAAGCACCTTTTGGTTTCTGTTTGGTGGAAATGAAATGGCAAGGTCTGATTTCAGAACTGTGCTGGCGTACTGACACTTGGCTGTGAGCAAGGTCTGCCTGTCACTCACATTATAGATAATTTACAAACCCCTCAAGTCTCAGCTGAGCTATGACTTTCATAGGGAATATTTCTCAGGGTTTCTTGCTACTGACTTTTAAGCAAAGATCATTTTTTGTTTTTTCCCTGATGGAGAGAGGTGCTTCTTGGGGCTGCAGTTTGAATCACATTTGTAGCTTTACCCTGCCCCCACAATGAACTTCAATTCGTCAATCCTGTGCAACCTTTTCAGTTCAAACCCACATTCTTTCCTTTTCAGCTCCATATGTGTGGTCAGTAAGGAAGGGGTAAAAAAAAGGGTGTGGCAGGGATAGCCCACTCTTCTCCCTCTTCCCCTTTTCCCAGATTGACTAAACTTTCTTAATTATTGCACTATAATTTCTTTCTTTCAATTTTTATCTTTGTCTCTTCAGCCACATTAACAATATTGTTCTCTTCAACTCAACATCCAGTTTGACATAGAGTTTTACATTTAAGACACCAACATTTCCCAACCCCAAACCCGTGTCTCCCTGTTTTCTTATGCCTTCTTAAAACAGAAGCAATTATCCCTGAAGCCATAATCCCAAACCCACACACTAATGTTAGCAACTAGTTCCAGTCTTTTCTTCCTCTTCATGTTTATAAATTCTCCTTCTGTCCTGGCCTCCCCTCTTTCATCCTGGCTTTCCTCACTTCCCCAAGACTCTTTGACATGTTTTGTAGTAAATTCCAATCCTCGAGAAGATTCACCCAGAAGTTTGCTCAGGGTGTAATATCTGTAACTTTTGCTGAGAACTGGGCCCAGGTCTTGCTGTGGACTTTGCTCATGCTGTAATGGATGCCTGGGAACTAAACAAGGGAAGATGCCAGCACATTCCTCCTTCTCCAACCAAAGCAAAATGATTTCAAGAGAACTGGGGTGCAGCCCACATTTTCCAGGTTTGTTTTTGTTTCCTCTTTCTTTCCTGGACCCCACAACACGTTCAGTTTGGGAGAACAGTGCTGAATAACCCAGTTCCTATTATCTCCACCCCATGGACAATCTCTCCTCTGCAGATCTCACATATTTGCTGTGGACTCGCTTGATTCCACATGTGCTACTTGGGAGTTGAGCGTGCAGACTCACAGTCAGGTTATTTGGGTGCACATTCTGGCTCTGCCATTTAACACTGGCCAGGGAACGCAGCCCTAAGCTTGCCTCTGCGGATCGGGGAGCCTTGTTCAAATTAAGATCGCCACTTTGGGAGGCCAAGGCGGGCGGATCACGAGGTCAGGGGATCAAGACCATCCTGGCTAACACAGTGAAACCCCATGTCTACTAAAAATACAAAAAGCCTGGGCATGGTGGCACGTGCCTATAGTCCCAGCTACTTGGGAAGCTGAGGTAGAAGAATCACTTGGACCCAGGAGGCAGAGGTTGCAGTGAGCTGAGATTGCGCCACGGCACTCTGTCTCAAAATAATAATAATAATAATAATAATAATAATAATAATAATAAAAATTAAGATTGCTACCCTCCATTTTCTGCTTCATAAAATGTAGCCAAGGGAAAAGAAGCATAGTGCTTAAGAGCATCTAACAAGGATTCGGCTTTGCCTCCTACCAGCAGTGTGACCTGTATATGTCTCCAACAGTTTCTTGGTCTGCTAAATGAAGGTAATAATCATTCGTATTTCATAGAGTTCTGGAGGGTTAAAAGAGTTAATATGTATGAAAAATTTAGAATAGTGGCCGGCATATAATCAGCACATTATAGGTGTGAACTTTTATTGTTATTACTTCTCAAGGTGGTTGTGAGAATAAAATTATATCCTATGGTTAAAATATCATTCTGTATTCACCCATCCATCCATCCATTTATTCATTCACGTCACAGAGGTGCGTGCTAGGCATGGGATATCTTTTCCTTGCTTACAAGCAATTAATCAAACCTTATTTCCTGAGAGCATGTTATTGCCTGGCTCAGTGTTGGGGGTGAAGGGAACAGTGTAGTGGAAAAAATAAAAGCATTGCTTGATCTCAGGTAATTTCTAAGATTTGAATGGGTGGTTCAAGCTAGTAAAGAAATTTGAGACTACAGCAAGTTGTGCATGAGCCAAAGCATCCTTTTGCCTGTGGGTCTCCTGGGCTGGGGACAGACCATCTTCATGCTTCTAGAAGGTTTAGAAGCACCGGTGGACATGTAAGTGGCCTTTTGCTCAGGTGCCAGCATGTATTCACTTGGTTGTTTTATTTGGTTCACTTAAAACAAAAAATTGTGTAGTTTTCCGAATTGTGCAGAAAAAGAAAAAACAAAACAAAACAAAACAGGTGCCGTTTTTTTGGGGGAGTGGGGACCTGTAAGGTTTAAACCACTTACGGTCTCATAGGCCTCACTTTTCTGGCAATTTTACTTCCCATTTTGTCAGATTGTAAAAATTAGTCATGTTTATTACAACAGAGCAATCTGCAGCCAAATCTAAGAGTTGGAATGGAAACTCCTCCCATCAGCCTGTCCTGCCCTTAAAGGTGTGTGTCTCCTGGATCTGCATTCAGACCCTGCAATAGCTGCTGCATGGACCAACTCATTATTGGCATGATAACCATGTTGTGACCAAATGTAATTTAACATTTGCAGGCAGAAGGCACAGTGCCCTTGTGAAACCCCCTCCCTTGTGCTTTCAGATTAAAACACTTTTTATGGTTAGAATCTGGAAAAGGAATGAAAATCAGAGCAAAAAAACCTGTTACCAGCGGAGTTGTATAAAATGAGAGACAATAGCATCTGTGTATGGTTTTCAATGTAATCACGGCTTCCCTGGGAAGCATCTGACAGCGAATGTAGTTTAAGACATTCGCAGATGTCCCAGCAACTGGAGGGTGAGGTTTCTTTTCTTCCTGGTGTTGGGGTAGCAGACTTGATGTAATCTGTCGCTGCATGTCCTTCTCCTCAAAAATAGTGCTTGGGAGCCCTCGGGGGCTTTATTTAGAGGCTCTTAGGAGCTTGGCAGTATGTAAATTACATGTGAGTGTCCTTCAGGGTCCCTAGTGGTCACAATCAGAGGGATTTAAACATGATTTAGCATTTCAAATGATTTGTAGGAGCACCGGAGCCAGCCAGTGTGGTGGGGATCACCAAGGCTGACTTGCTCACCATCATGTTAAATAGATTTTCGTGTCACAGCTGCTGGGTTTGGTCCAGGCCCTTGTGCCAATCCATGAGCAAGCCCGTGTTAGTGGGTGGCCTTCCAGATTTCTTTACTCTATTAGGGAGTTCTGAGATTTTGCAAAAAAAACCTGTTTTATAACTTTTAAAACTATAGTTCAATCCATAGTGGTCTTTCATCTTTTCATACATTCATTCATTTATTCTCTTATACTTTCACTTAACTAATATTTATTGAGCACCTACTATATAGCAGTCAATATTATAGGCATCTAGGGTATAATGGTGATCTTGGAAGACCTCTGAGGAAGTGACTGGAGCATTGAGGTGTGAATGATGAGAAGGTATGAACTATGTCAAGATTTGGGAAACATTCCAGGCCAAGAACAGGGCAAGTGCAAAGATCCTGAGGTGGGAATGAGGGCAGAGAAGTGGGATCCTTTTTTATTTTCCTTTTTCCTTGTTATTATACTTTCAGGAGGATTAAAAAAGTTAAATTTCCTTTTTCAAAACTGGTTTTTGCAATTGCATAGTAAACAGTTTCATTCAGTGGAGTACTACTCAGCAATATAAAAGGAATGAAGTACCGATACTTGCAATGATGTAGATAAATCTCAAAAGTATTATGCTTAGTAACAGAAGCCAGTAGCAAAAGAGTACACACAGTGTAATTCCATTTATGTAAAATTCCTAGAAAACACAAATGAATCCATAGGGGCAGAAATCAAATTAGTGGTTTCACGGTTGCCTGGAGTGGAAGGGGAGGGAGGGAGATTGTCAAGGGTCACAGGGAAATTCTGCAGGGAGATAGAAATGTTTGTTATCTTGATTGTATTCATGTTTTTACAGTTATATACCTATTTCAAAACTGATCAAGCCTGGCATGGTGGCTCATGCCTATAATCCCAGCACTTTGGGAAGCCGAGGCAGGCAGATCGCTTGAGCCCAGGAGTTCGAGACCAGCCTGGGCAACATAGTGAGACCCTATCTCTGCAAAAAATTTAAAAATTAGCTAAGAAGGGTAGTGTGCCCCTTTAGTCCCAGCTACTTGGGAGGCTGAGGTGGGAGGATTGCTTGAGTCCAGGGGGCAGAGGAACTGATCAAATTGTACATTTGACATATGTGTATTTCCACAATATCTTGATAAAATTGAAAAGTTAAGTTTCTCATTTCCGAATCTGTTTGGAAATGGTCATTGTACATAAAGAATTTAAAGGGAAAAGGAAAATTGCCACTGTCATATTTCAGCGTTTGAACGCTAAAAGTTCTCTGGGGCCTGGTTGCATTTGATGTGGGAACAAAGCTAGGGTGGGGACAGGATGGGGCTGGCACTGAGCCACCTACATTGACTCTGGAGACAGCATAAAGTTTTCCTTGTGTTTCTGAGTAGTAGTAACTTATTCTGTTATTCTGCCTGGAGGCAAAAAGACCTTTGGCTGTCAGGTACTAATCTAGTCTCACAATTAGATGACCTGTCTGTGGTGAGAGTGAAGGCCACAGCCCCCAGTGGCAGACATATCCAGGGGGAATTCAAGGTCTGAAGCTGAAACATGACTCAGAACCCCCAAACTGACATAACTCACCATTGGATGATTCTTTTGGTATGCTATGGATTGGTTGTGGTGAAGGACTAATTGGTTTTCTTTTTTTTCCAAATGTATTGTGGACCAATGTTTTGGGGAATACATTAGAAAAATATTACTTGAAAAAAAGTGAAATAGAAAACAGGGTCACAGAAAACATTAGTCCAAAATTGTATGATGGATTTAGCAACCAAGAAATTATTCTGGCAAAATGCCAAAGTAAGTTCTCAATGCTTACTTTCAGTTTCTGTAGTTATGGTGTTGCAGATGGATTACAAACTCATGGATCACACTGGTCCATGGACCAGAGTTTGGGTGGCTCTGAAATAGTCCAGAATCTCACAGCCATTGTACCCACCAGGTGGTTAGTTAGATAATGTTTCCCCTTAGTGCTCAGGGTGGCTGGGTATGACCTGGAACAGCCAGAGTACCCCAGAGCCAGTTGCCTTGGGTCACAGGAGCTTCTAGCTTTCATCACAGTGAGCCACACAGATGTTAATACTTGTCTATGTAGAAAAGGTTAGGAAGCACCAGAGACCAGTGGGTTTTACATTTTAGTGAGCACAACAATTAGAAAGATGGGTAGGGAGAACTTGGGGAAAAAAAAAAAAGCGTGTTTCTGAACTGCAACCTCCAAGAGTCTAAGCCAGGAATCTGCATTTTCATCAATACCCTAGTAACACCATCAATACCCTAGTAACACCATAGTTGACTCCAATGGGTGTGTTCCAAGGGCTTCATTTTCAGAACTACTTCTGTAGACATAGTGGAGTTAGGTCAGTGGTGGGGATTTTCTAAGTGTACACATTTATTTATTTCTACAAGTTACATTTAAGACCAGGAATTAAACTGAGGTTTGCTTCTGTCAGGGTTCTTAGCTTCAGCAACAGAAACTGGTTAATTTAAACACTGAGAGGCTGGATGAATTGGCTCTCGCTGGCAATCCCAGCACTTTGGGAGGGCAAGGTGGGAGGATTGCTTGAGGCCAAGTGTTCAAGACCAGCCTGGGCAACATAGTGAGACTGAGTCTGTACAAAAAAATAAAAATAAAAAAGTAGCCTTGTGTGGTGGTGCATTTGAACGGGGCTCTGCCTCCTTCACACTCCCAGCTCAGCTCAGTTGCATGTGTCAGAGAGTTGCTAGGGAGACTCATCAGGTGCCATCTGCCCTCAGCAGAACCCTGGGATGTTTTCAGAAGAAAAGGGAGGGAGAAGGTATTGGCCTTTTACTGCACACTTTCCAGGACTCCAGCTGAGCACAGTACACCCATTATCTCAACACATTCCTCCAAGAACTCTGTCTAGTGTTTCTGTTTTCCCCATTTTACAGAGGAGAAAACTGAGACTCATGAGCAATTTCCTTGAAGTCATGAAGCCTTGGAGTTGCTTGATGCCTAAAACCAGGTCTCATGACATTTTTACAAGAAAATAAAAACTACATGATAACAAAAAAAGGCTTCAAGTTTTAGGAAGCCCAGGTGCAGAAGGATTTGGGGCAGGACTTTGGAGTTCCCAGCAGTGACCTGATCTGGGTCCCTGTTTTGGTTTAAGATGTTAGGAAGATACAGTATGAGGGTGCAGACTCATTAAAATCTCAGGAGCTGCAGTTGCTTTGTATTTTTTTAAATGGGTGGTCTTTAAATGCCTTTGATTTAGAACTGATGAAACTGATGGAGAGCTTAGAGCAAAGCTAACTCCACCCCAGTGAATGAAACTGTCTCTGAACCTCTGATTCTGGATGAGTTCATGACTGATGCCAGCCGCCAGTCTGTGTGACCCCTATCCTGCAATCCTGCTTTTAGTATGATTCAGTAGTTAGGATATGCAGAAACCTCTGTGTCTTCTTTTTACCCCAATGAGTATGGTTGAAAAGTAGTATGAATATAGGAGAAAGGGGCAGGATTTGGGAAAAGAATGCCTGAGTTAAAACTCTTATTCTGTTTATTAGCAGCGGGATTTTGCCCAAATTTCTTAATCTGGTAGAGCTTCACTTTCCTCCTATGTTGTAAACTGAGTGGCTTTATCTGGGTAGTCACCAGCTGGGCGGGGGTGGTGGCCAGAGGCCACCAGACTGTCAGCCCCACATGGGCAGGACATGTGGTAGGCATTCGAGAAATATTTATCAAATGGGTGAATCCAGAGAGTGAAGGGATGCTACGGTCCATCTGTGCACACTTTAACATGCTGACAGATGCTAGCAGCCTTGGATTCTTACCACAGAGCAGTATCTCAGACTTTAGTGCATTCACAGATAACCTGGAGAACTTGTTAGAATGAAGATTCTGAATTGCAAGGTCAAGGGTGGGGCCCGAGATTCTGAATTCCTTAATGAGCTCTGGGGTGCTGCTGTGGCTGTGGATCACGGACCACTCTTTGTGTAGTGAGAGTATAAATGAGTGGCCAGTGAGTCCACAAGTACATGTGTGGTTGAGTGGGATAGGGCAGGGGTCACCTTGACTAGTGATTTTCCAGTAGGAGCATGACTCAGTTCTCCAGCCCATCCTGTGTCAAGAAACATCCCCAGTCTGACAACACAGGACTGTCAGCGAAGAAAGAGCACACTCTCTGTTTCCCCTGCAGCAGTGAGGGCAGCCTGGCCATGCTACTTCTTGTTTGCCATATTTGGTGAACATGATGGCTGTGGCTGTCTGTTACTGTGAGTCACCAGCCCGTGGCACCAGCATTAATTGCCATGAATACTTGTTAGAGATGGTGGGTGTCCAGTACCAGGCATATGGTTGGTATGTGATAGGCACTCAAGAAACAATAGCTGCTGTGATGAGGATGATGATGGTGATGATGATTATTTTATGAAGTCCTTTCACATCTCATTTAGTGTTCTCAGGAACACAATGACATGGGTAATAATTGTGCAGTGTTTGTTTATCTCTGGATCCTGGATATACCAGGCTTGTTCCCACCTCCACACCTTTGCTGGGAGCAATGGTTTTCAGATGGGAGCAACTTCCATCCCCAGGGACATTTCGCAATATCTGAAGACATTTTGGGTTGTCATGACTGAGGGGTGCTACTGGCACCTAGTGGGTGGAGACCAGGGAGGCTGCTGAACACCCTACACTGCACAGGACAGCCCCCCCTCCAAAGCAAAGAATTAGGCCACAAATGTTAACAGTGCCGAGAGTGAGAAACCCTGGCTTAGATGGTTCTTCCTATAGAGATTACTTCCCCAATTCTACCGTGGAATATTCTATAAGCTTGCTAAACTGACTTTGGAGTGAACACGTGTTATGATGTTGTCTTAATTTTTAAAGCCTAGAGTCTCTTAGTGGTACAAGTTTAAACTAGAGGCCTGCAGAGGCTTCCTCACTGTCCCCTCACCCTATACCCCCCACCCCCAACTTTTACAGTAGGGACATGAGAGGGACAATTTCATATTCCCATTTAAGATGTGAATGGAGGGTTGGAGAAAGGAGCCTCAGTGGGTATATGCTTGTGTCATCAATTTCAGAACTAGACCACAGTTCTTTGTTCGCTATCTACCCTCCCTAACCAAGACCAGCAAGGGATGCCAGCCCAAACAAGGAGGCAGAACTCTTAGGCCCACCTTGGCTGTAACATCCACAATAGTTTTTGTTTTTTCCAAACACAGCAAAAGGGACTAAAAAAAAATTAGCATTGTAAGGAACTAGTTTGGCAAAATAATGCATTTTCCTCTCCAAAAAATAAAGAAGGACTGATGAGGTATGGCCTCCCTCTAGGAATTTAATATGGAATGGATCTTGACAGCACATGGGTTTTTGCACCACCTTCCTGAGAGCCAGGAGCTGCTACAAAACCTCCAGCAGCATTCCCCATTCCACACAATGCACAGGAATAAAATGCAATGATCCTTACAGGTGGCCTGGCTAGTACCGGTGAGCCTGGGAAAAAGGTGGTTTGTTTGTTTGTTTGTTTGTTTTTTGAGACGGAGTCTCGCTCTGTTGCCCAGGCTGGAGTGCAGTGGCGCAATCTCAGCTCACTGCAACCTCTGCTTCCCAGGTTCAAGAATTCTCCTGTCTCTGCCTCCTGAGTAGCTGGAATCAGAGGGACCGCCACCACACCCGGCTAATTTTTGTATTTTTAGTAGAGATGGGGTTTCACCATGTTGGCCAGGCTAGTCTCGAACTCCTGATCTCAAGTGATCCACCCACCTTGGCCTCCCAAAGTGTTCCGATTACAGACATGAGCCACCTTGCCTGGCTGGGAAAATCTTTTGAACAACATAAGGAAATGTCTATTGGGAAGTGGAGTGCAGATGGCAGGCAGGGAGCACGTTGCCTCCTGGAAATGGTTCTTTTGCTGCGAGCTCATGCAGGAGATGTTTGTCAGAGAGGGGTAGATGGCCCACAAAGGGAGGAGCCTCAATTCTGTCTCCAGCAGCCTTTTATTGCTAGTGATAGGTGCCATCAGTGTCTGGCCTGAGGAATGGTCGTGCTCGCAGGCACCTCTGTCAAGTATCCTATTGATCTGTGCTTCCTCTTCCCTGGAACAAAGGAAGAGTAGTAAAAAAGTCAGGCACTGCTGGCTGGGGAGGGTGGTGGTGTGGGCTCCCTGGGGTGAGCTTGTGCTTGGTCATCCTCACAGCTGCCCTCCCTCCAGAACCGCAGATCCTCACCATACTGGTCCCCACAGACATAAGCCCAGCTCACAGTGACCTCTCAGAAAGATGCATGCCTTTTCTGATGTTTCTTTCTCATTGAAGTGGTGGTGGTGATTCATTTTTCTACCATTGGTGCATTAGATATCTGTTAAATAGGATTGAAAGCAATTAATCTGGAGCAGAACACCTGAATATCCCATTCGTAAATAATTGTTTTTCTTGGTGCCCCAGCATTGGTGTGTGAGGGAAGATTTACAAGCCTAAAGCCTATAGGCCAAACTCGTAGAAAAAAAGTGTGGACCCAATCCTCTGACTGTACATATGAGATTAAATGGCCATGATTCATATATTGCCATAAGCACCCAGGGGACATTTTTATGGCATGTTCATAAGAGTTTATAATGTAGAAGAGACAAGATCCACCACTAGCCCCCACCAGGGCATAAAACCCATCTTCCAAATAAAAACACAAAGGCACTTTAGCAAAAGTTCTGTTGCGTGGCTGTTAAAATGGCAGAGAAAAGTCTGTTGAGCATAGGGCAGGCTGAAATTAGTGTCCGAATGTGTAAGTGTGTGTTTGGAAGGAAGGGCATCTCTGGAGCAATATTGCTAAGTTATGGCTGCATGGCTAAGGACCCTGCCAAACCTGGGGGTGAGTCATGGCTCTATTACCTGCTAGCCATGTGACCTTGGGCAGGTCATTCAAGTACTCTATGCATCAGTTTATTAATGAACAGAATAGTACCTGACCTCCTAATGTTCTTGCAAGGATTCCATGAACTCGTGTTTACAAAATATTAAACCTGTCCCTGGAGCATAATAATAGCTCCATAAACGTTAGAGAGGAGAAAGACATGCTGTTGATGATGATGGTGGTAGTGAGGTTGATGGCAATGATCCCTGGTGTCTGGAATGTATCAACTTACAAAGTACAGCCACGTGCCTCAGTCATCTGACTCGTTCCTCTGTCAGTTAAGGAACAGGTTCAACCACTTCGAAACATGCTTGATGGTGCAGACAGCCAGGTAGAGCAGTTGTAGGACATGTCCCTGGGACAGTCACTTGTCCACTGGAGCTGGTCTCGGATCTCTGCCCTCAAGCCCCTGTTCCCTCAGTGCCCTGACTCCCTCGTGCTGCCCATTGGCTGTGTGTCCAGAGACTGTAAAGTGATTTTAACATCAGGACTAGCACACCATGGTTAAGAAGGAGAACTTGCTGCCAGCATTGCCACTCAACATTTTTGTTTGTTTGGATTTGGCTTTTGGAGGGTCTGTGCCTCCATGCTGTTGTGTTCATCACATGTTGCCAATTTGTGGTGAATGTGGCAAGCGTGAGACTCCAAGCAGCCAAAGTTAAGTGTAGAGGGGAAGTTTGCCAATTCAGCAACTGGGATACTGTGTACCCTTTTTGGTCAATCAAAACCTTGTGTTGAACTAAGATCATCCCTTCATGGGGGCCATCTGAATCTGTACTCATCTCAATAGCTAACGTGTATGGAGCCCGGCTTTACAAGAGTGATTTCAGTGAAGCTTCGCCACAGCCTTATAAAGAAGACCCTTTCATCTGCCAGCATTCTTGGCTGCAAGCAACAGAAGCTGACTTGCTTTCTCAAAATGAGAGAGTTTATTGGAAGGAGGTTGTCAGAAGCTGGAGCACAAGGTTGTGAAAAGGAAGGGGGATTCATGGAACCCCAGAGAATCAGGAAGGCTGTTCCATGTGAAACCTCTGTTACTACAATCAACAAAATTTCCAGTCATCTCCACGGCCTGGAGTCCCTCAGTTGGGATTTGCTGAGCTTACTTCAAGACCTGCCATTTGGCTGGGCCAAGGCAGGAAAAAGAGATCTTGTCTGTTAAACAACAAGAGAACTTAGCAGGCTCTATCTTTCTCCAAGACTATATATCATTGGGGGAGCTCCCCAAAAAGTTTTGAAGGTGGGGGACTGGATTCCAGATAGTCCAAATTGACCAATCACCACCACAGTAACATTAATGTCCCTATTTACAGATTAATACACTGATGCTCAGAAGAGTTGGGTAAATTGCTCAATTTCATACCAGCAGCAAGTGGCAGAGCTGAGATTTTCACTCAAAATTGTTGCTCTTTTTTTTTTTTTTTTTTTTTCCACAGAGTCTTGCTCTATTGCCCAGGCTGGAGTGCAGTGGCATGAGCATAGCTCACTGCAGACTTGAACTCCTGGGCTCAGGCGATCCACTCCCGCCTTGGTCCCCCAAAGTGCTGAGATTATAGGCATGAGCTCCTGCACCTGGCCACTGCTCTTCCTTTAATTAGAGAATGCATTGGTTAGGATGAGTTCAGCTGGCAGTAATAGGATGCACTACTCAAACGGACCTAACAGCATGGACATTTATTTGCTCCCACACTCAGAATTAATCCAGGGCCTTCATCATGACATCAGGGACTTGTAGCTGCTTCTTCTGAAGGCTGGGTCCCCTCACGGCTTCAGGGTGGCAGCCACAGGCATCAGAGCTCTTTGCTTCCCTGTTCACATCATGTTGGGGGAAGTGAGAGTGGACTTTCATACTCTCTGTCTCTCTCTTAAGTGCATGAAATACCTTTCTCAGAAGCCTCTGGCAAACCTCTCTTTAAGTCTTATTGGCTGGAATTGGATCACACGTCCACTACTAAACCACTTGCTGAGAGTGATTAACCTCAGACCTACCACAGGAGCTGGATTCAAACCCCAAACTACATGGCCTTTGCAAGGTGACAGGGTGGTTTAGCTGTTGGGGAGTTGACCATGGTCCACTACGAAGAATAACAATGTATATGTTTAACTCCTCTTTTATATAGAACAAGGACCCAGGCCAGTCAATATATTTACCATACTGATACCTGTGGTCAAGTTTAACTCTTTCTCTAGCTAGTAAATGCTTTACCTCATAGCAGTAGTATAAACAGAATGAACATAAATTATTTCTTCATTGTTCTTCCCAGCCTGGACTTTAACATCTCACTGATCTATGGCCAAAAGACATCTATTACAGACACCTTGCTCTGGAGCTTGGCTAACCACCTTCCATTATCATTAAGGCTCATGTTATTTTCTGATGTTTTTAAACATAGTTTGTGACTTGACTTCCTTCTAATATAATGATGGCACCATCTATGGGTGACTCTCGGTTTGAGGTAGGGGCAAGGGTTGGATAGAGAAGAAACTCCCCCAAAGGTGTGATACTTTGTAAGCATAGCGACTTCCCAGAGCAGTATTGCAGAATTCAGAGGCCATGGGTTGCAAGTAACAGAAACTCAAGTTGAGCCAGTTTATGGAAGAGGGAGACTAAAGAGGAAGACTTTTCTGGAATATCCCAGAAAAGATGCAACAGGACCTAATGGAATGAGGGGTTCAAATGGGATCAGGACAAGTGATCTTTTTTTCTGCTTCCCGCTGGGCATCTGCTCATCCTATCCACTTGCACACTGGCTTCTTCCATTTCTGACACCCTCATGGAAGGAAATGTGGCTACCAAGAACACTTCACGCCTTGCTTGAAGGTACTGGAGGCTTTCTTTTATTTTAATTTCAAGGATTCCTGAAAGATCTCTTTTTGGCTCAAAGTGACAGGTGCCAACCCCTGAGGCTGTGGTCAAGAGTCAGGTTGGACTTGCAGGGTGATTCCCCTGATGACCATGTAGAAGATGGGAGATGGGGAGTGATGGGACAATTCCTGGAAAAGAAGTCCTGGGAGGACAGTCCCATAGGCTGCATCATAATCATCTAGTGCCATTGAGGGGAGCAGGTGGCAGGAGAAAAAGAAGGGAATTCCCCTTGTGATTCTGTAGACTTGGCTGTGCCTGCAGTTTTCCAAGGCAACTAGAGAGCTCTGTCTTCTCACCACTTCTTCTGGAGGATTCCCTGAGGAAGCTGCTGGATCTTTCAGAAGGTGCTGATGAACAGAGCTGGGCGAATGGGCATGGCATAGTCCATGCCCTTATGAAGACCAAAGGCTGGCTGGGGAGAGAGATGTGTGCTCAACTCAGGGCCTTCACTGGGCTTCCAGAGGTCCTCTGCTGCCACACTCACTGTATATGGTGACAGCTGTCTATGGGTGGATTTTTTTTTTTTAGATGGAATCTCACTTTGTCACCCAGGCTGGAGTGCAGTGGCATGCTCTTAGCTCACTGCAACTTCCGCCTCCTGGGTTCAAGTGATTCTCGTGCCTCAGCCTCCCGAGTAGCTGGGAGTATAGGCACATGCCACCACACCCAGCTAATTTTTGTATTTTTAGTAGAGATAGTGTTTCACCATGTTGGCCAGGCTGGTCTCGAACTCCTGACCTCAAGTGATCTACCCACCTTGGCCTCACAAAGTGCTGGGATTATAGGCATGAGCCACTGGGCCTGTCCAGTGGGTGGACTTCTTGAGGGTGGGGAGCTGTGTCTGGGTCTCCTTGATGCTCCAGAACTTAGTTATTTTCCTGACACTGCACAGGTATATCAGGTGAGTGATTGAATAAATTCTTTCCCATGCAAGGCCAAAGAGAGACACAAGCTGGTGGTTTTGAGGAGGAGAGGTTGGTTCTTTCCAACTGGTGGACTGGGGCAAGTATCACATATGTAACACCCACTGAGCTGTGCATGAGTGGTCTGCAGAAATGCAGTAGATGGGAAGAGGAGGGGTGATGCATGAAAGGCAAGCCCCAAATTGGGGCTTAGCCTGAGAGGGTTCTTGGCTTTGCCCAGGAAAGAATTCAAGGGTGAGATGGTGGTAAGGTAGAAGAAAACAGCTTTACTGAAGTGTCAGTGTTGCAGTTCTGACAGTGATGCAGCTCTGTGACTGCTCCTGCAGAGCAGGGCTACCCCATAGGCAGTGTGCTGAGAGCTGCAGCTCAGGGCAGGTGTGCAGTCATAGTTATATCTACTTTTAATTGCATGCAGATTAAGAGGTGTTTTTTTGCGGACATTTCTAGGAAAAGGGTAGTAACTTCTGCACCATCAGGTCATTTCTATGGAGAGGAGTGATAACTCCTGGGTGTTGCCACGCAAAGGTAAACTGATGTGGCACACTGGTGGGCATGTCTTATGGAAAGCTGCTTCTGCCTAGTTCCTATTTTAGCTAGTCCTCAATTTGGTCCAGTGTCTGAGCCCCATCTCTGGTATTGAGTCCCACCTCCTACCTCAGTGGTGGGGGTCGGTTCTGCCCGGATGGGTTCAGAGCCTCTTGCTGCTTCTGTCCCTGACCTGGGCTCTGACAACCCATATTCTCTCTAGAACACCATCTAGGTCACAGCAATTAAACCTGAATTGTTCCAAAAAAAAAAAAAAAAAAAAACAGCAACTACCTGATGTCCACTATATCTTTCTGGAGTTCCATGTATTTCCAACTAGACAGAATTTTCCATCTTCATAATAGGCGAGAAGGAGGGGATTGGAAGGGGCCATGGGGAGGAGCATAAGGAGGCTCCATGGGAGGCAGCCTCTGAGGTTTCAGCCAGCCTTCCGCACAGTGCTGCCAGCAACACACCATGTGATCCTGAGCAAGTCCCTTTCCTTCACCAGTTTCCATTCATAAAACAAGGAGATAGGATTCAGTCACTCTTGTGGTACTTTGCAGTGCTAACGTTTCATGCTCCTTTCTGTGCCCTACTGGTCATGCCAAGTGTCTAAGAAGGGCAGTGGTTGGCCTAAGTCACCTAGCAAGTTGGGGAAGGAGGCAGAAAGTGCACCCACTATGAGCAGCAGGAGGGCGTGTTCTGTTCACTCCCAGGATAGTCATAGCACCTTGCTAGTGCCTTGCGCACAGTAGGTACTTGATAGATTTACTGAATGAATGCATGCACATTTCTAGACTCCTGAGTTACTGTAGATTCCAGAAGCTACTGCCTTTCTATTAGGATTCCAGAAATAAGCCCTCAACTTCCCCACCAGGATGGTTTGTTACCAAATGGGGATCTAACACTTTTTTTTATAATTGAGGTCAGAACTGGCCAGGAAAGGAGAAGCTGGGATTTATCCCTAATTTCCCATGGGGATCTGGCACCAGTGCAGCTCACAGGAGAAGCAGGGCTAACCTGCAGAGGAAACTGTCACATAAACTGTCAACAGGTATGTGTGGCAAACGGGGTGCGTGGGCTTGCATCTTAAGGACTGAATGCGGCTGAGTCCTCTGGAGGATGCCAGCACCGTGGAGATGCAACCAGGACCTGAAAGCATTGTCAGAGTGGCTGGAGTGCTCCCCAGCACTGAATAGGGAGGCAGGCAGCTTAGAGTGGAATCCTGGGCTCTATGCCAAAATGCAATCCAATGTTTTTGGAGATTCAGTAGGACAATAAATTAAGGCTGAGGTGAGGCCGTCAACAGGAGAATCTTGTTTTGTATTCCAGCTAGTTATTCTTTAATCTATTATCACATATATGCATTTAGAGACAGCCCGCTACCCAGGCTGGAGTGCAGTGCCATGATCATAGCTCACTGTAGCCTTGAGTTCCTGGGCTCAAGCGATCTCGCTGCCTCAGTTTCCCAAGTAGTTGGGACTACAGGTGCCGGACACCACTACCAGATAATTTTAAATTATTTTTTCTGTAAAGATGGGGTCTTGCTGTGTTTCCCAGGCTGGTCTTGAACTCTGGGCCTCGAGTGATCTTCCTGCCTCAGCCTCCCTAGGTGCTGATTTAGGCATGAACCACCATACCTGGGCCATTCATATATTTACTGTTTTATTTATGTTTATGGAAGTCACAAGATTCTCAGCAGTCAATTACAGCATTCAAGAATGATCTCTCGGCCGGGCGCAGTGGCTCACGCCTGTAATCCCAACACTTTTGGGAGGCCGAGGCGGGTGGATCACTTGAGGTCAGGAGATTGAGACCAGCCTGACCAACCAGGAGAAACCCCATCTCTACTAAAAATACAAAATTAGCCAGGCATGGTGGTGCATGCCTGTAGAAACAGCTACTTGGGAGGCTGAGGCAGGAGAATCGCTTGAACCTGGGAGGTGGAGGTTGTGGTGAGCCGAGATCATGCCATTGCACTCCAGCCTGGGCAACAAGAGGTAAACAAAAAAAGAAAGGATAGTTTCTCTTCTAAAGAAGGATCCTATGTTATTAAATCCAGGTCTTTCAAACTTTTTTGAACCCATCCTTAAAAAATACCTTTTCCGGCCGGGTGAGGTGGCTCACGCTTGTAATCCCAGCACTTTGGGAGGCCAAGGCAGGTGGATCAGGAGTCAGGAGATCGAGACCATCCCGGCTAACATGGTGAAACCCGTCTCTACTAAAAATACAAAACATTAGCCAGGTGTGGTAGCTGGCGCCTGTAGTCCACCAGCTACTTGGGAGGCTGAGGCAGGAGAATGTTGTGAACCTGGGAGGTGGAGCTTGCAATGAGCTGAGATCATGCCACTGCACTCCAGCCCGGGTGACAGAGCAAGACTCCATCTCAAAACAAACAAACAAACAAAACAAAAACAAACAAACAAAAACAACCTTTTCCATCAGGATCCAGTACACATGAACAGATATATTACTGGAACAAGAGTTTCAAAGAAACAAAACTTGACTGTAATATATGTGATGCATTCTTAATATAGTGGTTCTCAAAATGGTCTGGGACCAGCAGCCTCAATATCACCTGAGAACTTATTAGAAATGCAGATTCTTGGCTGGGCGCCGTGGCTCATGCCTGTAATCCCAGCACTTTGCGAGGCTGAGGTGGGTGGATCACCTGAGGTCAGGAGTTCGAGAGCATCCTGGTCAACATGACGAAACCCCGTCTCTACTAAAAATACAAAAAAATTGGCTGGGTGTGGTGGCAGGGGCCTGTAATCCCAGCTACTTGGGAGGCTGAAGCAGGAGAATCACTTGAACCTGGGTGGCAGAGGTTGCAGCGAACTGAGGTCATGGGCGATAGAGGGAGACTCTGTCTTAAAAAAAAAAAAAAAAAAAAGGAAATTCAGATTCTTGGGCTCAACCTCAGGTAAGCTGCATCAGTCATTCTGTGAGATTTACCAGGCCTTCCAAGTGATTCTGATACATGCTAAGTGATTCTGATACATGTATGATACATACATGCTATGTAGTAAGGAGAACTACTACATATCACAGTATAGACTATTATTCTAATCTATTTAATTAAAAAACCGAGCTATTGATTATAAGCCACTACATTTGGGGTTAGCTTAAAGGCTACCTAAAAAACCTCTGAAGTCCTGCCCAGTTGTTTTCCAGCCTCCCTCTCCAAACTCATCTCAGACCATCTGCCCTTCATAACCTTGCTCTAGCCAGCTTCAGCCAGACCCACTGCTTTTCTGGTTCTTAAGCCTCCAGCCCTTTCTGCTCCTGAACCTCTGCCTGCAGTGCAGCCCTGCCTGGAGACCTCTTCTCCCGGCTCTTGGGTGGATGGCTCTTGCTCAGTGAAGAGTCTTAGCTCAGATGCTTTTCTTCAGAGAGACTGCCCTGGCTAAATTGGCCTCAGCTGGTATATTTTATTTTCATCATAGCCCTTAGCACAATTGATCATTGTCTGCCTCCAGTTGAATCTCATTTGCATAGAACAATGCGTGGCATGTAGTAGGTCCTCAGTAAATACAGTCACACACCACCTAATGACGAACCACATATATGACACTGGTCCCATATGATTATAGTTCCATATTTTTACTGTACTTTTTCCCATTTAGATTTGTTTAGATACATAAGTATTTACCATTGTGTTATAATTGCCTACAGTATTCAGCACAGTAACTTGCTGTATAGGTTTGTAGCCTAAGAACATTAGGTACACTACAAATCCTGGCTGTGTAGTAGGCTGTACC
Organism: Homo sapiens; assembly: GCF_000001405.40. Lineage (NCBI taxonomy): Eukaryota > Metazoa > Chordata > Mammalia > Primates > Hominidae > Homo > Homo sapiens. The sequence goes on from NC_000016.10 coordinate 51,175,159, forward strand.
ATCTAAGTTTGGGTAAGTATACTCTATGATGCATTTCTCAGAACGTATCTCCGTCATTAAGTGATGCATAACATGACTATATTTGTCAAAGGAAAAAAATGAATGAATGAGTAATTCTCAACCCAGAATACTCCCCTGATGAGTGTTTTGAATCCACAAATCCTTGGTGACCCCTCCTAGTGACATGGCCTTTCCTCCCTCCAGTGAGAAACCCTGCCACTGGAGGGTTTTTCTTCCCTCCAGAAGAAGGAAAGAAATATTGAGAATTCCCTCTCCTGGATGCGCCTCTCTAGTCCTCCACCATTCCCTGTGTGCAATGTTTAAATCAGAGAAATGTACCACCTGGGTGCAAGGGAGGGTTCAACTGCAGCCTGACTGTTTTTGGCCTTGGGTAACTTACTAAGTGCCTTTAGGCCCAGTACAGCAGGGGTCATAAAACCTGCTCAGGCTCCCTTGTCGAGTTATCAAGGATCACATAGGATAGAGCTTATGAAAATGCCAAGTATTACGAAGAATTCACCAACTTAACACCTAAAGTATTGACCCATAGACCACATTCACAGCGCAGAGGCACAACCTTCCTGATATGGGTTGGGTGTTTGTCCCTCCAAATCTCATGCTGAAATGTGATCCCCAATGTTGGAAGTGGGTCCTCGTGGGAGGTGTTTGGGTCTTGTGGGCAGATCCATCATGGTTTGGTACCATAATGCGTGAGTTCTCACTCTGTTAGTTCATGTGAGAGCTGATTGTTTAAAAGAGCCTGGCACCCTTCCTCTCTCACATGTGATGCCAGCTCCCCTTCCCCTTCTGCCATGAGTGGAAGCTTCCTGAGGCCTTACCAGGAGCAGATGCTAGTGCCATGTTTCTTGTACAGCCTGCAGAACCATAAGCCAAATAAACCTTTTCTTTATAAATTACCCAGCTTCAGAAATTCCTTTCTAGCAATGCAGATGGACTGAGACACCTCCTAAGGAAGTTGAGAGAGCTTGGGCATGCAAGTCCACAATAGAGCATGCAATCACGAAAAAACCTGCGTGAATTCTAAAATGAGCCCCTGAGCCATAGGGAATAACAGGGGGCTTTTAGTGACTTGCATAAGGATTTTCACACTGTTTGCAAGTCATTTAGGGCAGGTGGGCATGCATCATGATCCATAATACTCTTGTGCTCCCTCTTCCAGCCATCTTTGGCCCCTTTACCTTCACATCTTCCCTGCTGGAACCCAGCCTGGAAAAATGGTGAGTTGAGCTCCCCCTGGGGGGCTCCCATGGCTGTCCCCTCCTTCCAGAGGCATATATGGGGGTAAATGTGGGCCTGGAGAGATCCTGGAACATCGTGCTGTCTCATGGATGGCAGGCCTTCAGCGTCACTGAGCGTTCACACCTGAAACCATTAAAGGTTATTCGCCTTTTAATTCTGTATGGTTGCTCTCACTCCTTCCTTAGAGAAACCTCTGATTTTCATTTGCGAGACGCTCGGCTGAGCTTGTCATACCCTAAAAGGTGATTTCAGTTCTCCGATGCCAAAGAACCTCTTCCGCTAATCAAAACACAGCTGCAGAGGCCTGTGTGATCTGCTAATGGGCACCCCAACTCTGGGGTATGTCTGTCTGTACCTGGGAAAATAGATATAATTAGGATAACAGATATCATATGTATATGCAAATGCAGCAGGTAAAAATGACTAGAAATGGCTGGAGTTTGCCAAATCCCATCAGACCAACTATGTAGCTTAACCAGACGCTAACACCATCACCACCAGGCCTTCCCCAGTACCAGCCCTGGTGCCCTTGCTTCATCTTCTTTTCTCCACCGTGCTGGAACCCTCATGCAAGTTATTTTTATTTCTATTTTTTTATAGATAGGGTCTCACTCTGTTGCCCAGACTGGAGTGCAGTGGCACAATCATGGTTCACTGCAGCCTCAAACTCCTGGGTTCAAGTGATCCTCCCGCCTCAGGCTCCTGAGTAGCTGGGACTACAGGCCTGCACCACCATGCCCAGCTAATCTTTAAATTTTCTGTAGAGACAAGGTCTTGCCATGTTGCCCAGGCTGGTCTTGAACCCCTGGCCTCAAGCAATCCTCGCACCTCAGCCTCTCAATGTGTTGGGATTGCCTATTTTTATTTTTTAATATAACAATAGATCCCCATAGTTTTCTGAAGAGGCTCTTTCAAGAGCTTCAGGTCTTATGAGGCTGCAGGGATCCTAGCATCTGAGAAGCCAGTGGGGGAAAGATGGACAATAGAGAGGGCCTCTTCAGTGTTTTTCCTTTAATGAGGGTTTGATCCCCTCAATGACAGCATCAGGATTGGAGAGGACCCAGTGCATCATTACCAAGCCCAAGTTGCCTTTGCAAAGAGAACCACCCCATAAGGATGAGAACCACCCCAAACCTTCTTGTCTGGAGTCAGAAGGCTCAGGCTGAAATTCTGTTTCTGCCTCTTCCTTGTGGTGTGCACTTAGGCAAGTGACTTACCTCTCTGTGTGTTGTGTTCTTCACCCTAAATGGGCACAATAACAGCACTCACCTCAAACGGCCTGCAATATGTAAGCTCTCAGATGATGTTTTCCTTTGTGATAGGTGCATGGGCAGGTGAAGAGAGTCAAACATCAGGCCCAGGGTTCTCACTCCACTGCATTACTCCATCTACCTGCCCACGGATAAATCACTTCACCGTTCTGAGCCTCACTTTCTTCATTTGTTAAGTGGGCTAATAATGGATGGATGTCATAGTGCTGTGTAACAGTAAACAACAACATGCCATTAAACAGAAGCTAGTTATGCATGTGGAGTAATGATGTCTGCATTTTTGGGGACTGCCAAGTCTGATAAGATTGAAGAGCATCTCAGCTGGGCACGGTAGCTCATGCCTGTAATCCCAGCACTTGGGGAGGCTGAGGCGATGCTCTGTGTCTGATAGGGGTTAAGGAAGTCATCACTCCCATCTGGTCTATCAAAAGGGCTGCAAAACTATGCAGGCAAACGACCTGGGCACTGCCTTTATCGAGCTGTGCAGCCATTGAACAAGGGCATCCAACTTCACCAAACTAGGAAAGCCTGCATGTGCACATCCATCTCTGCTGTTGGGATTGGGGCCTATGCCTGTTCCCATTCTGTATGCTGTGTGCTTGACACAGTGCCTGGTGCATTACGTGCTCAAGAAATATGTATTGATTGATGGATGAATAAATGAAATCATCTGCATCCGTGGATGAATAGATGGTCAATTACATTGTCAATTTTCTACCCTGTGGGTGGAGTGGAAAAAGCAGTCAGAATCTTGGTCCTTTTGCAAATGGTGGAAAAGGACAATATTTGTAGAGTGTGTACAGACTTTGCAGTCAGAGCCATGTTCAATTCTCAATATTGCCGTATCTTAGCAGTGAGCTTATTCAAACGTCAGTTTAAGAAAATGTGCTAACCTTCAGCTTCCTCATCTGTAAAATGAGGATAAAAATATTGCCTCCTTTATAAAATTATTGTGTAGATGCTATAAATTTGTACATGCCAGGGCCTGGCATGTTACCAAATAGAAGGTGGTAGAATGGAAATGAATCTCCTTCTTACTTCCCCTCTGCACTACACAGATTTCAAGGATATTGTTTTATACCCAGCCAAGTCTGAAGCACTGGAAGTGGATCCGATCTTTTACCTAACTCTAGCATTGATGTTTTTTATTCTGTTGAAGGCATCAATATTTGTTTAATAGTATAAATCTTAAATAAACATCTAAACTACATATTACAGATGATGAAAGTCATTTCTGCACAGAAGATTATCTCACATGATCATGTTTCCTTTGTTATCTGAGGCCTCTGTAGTTGGCAAATCTCTGCAGCTACTTAAATGATAACATTAGTCCTAATGCCATGTAAAATGACTAGTTCCTCAGGGTAGGTTTATTTTTAATAGTGTATGTCAGCAGCAAATAGCTTGGAAGACCCCAGAGGAAAAAGCACAGCTCAGGCTCTCACTGAAGCGATGATGTAGATATATTTAATATCTATATTAAAAACCTTTTAGGTGCCATGGTGATATTGAATTGGATAGTTAGGCGTGTGCAGGGAAAATCCTGGGCTGTTTATAGAGCATGATGGAGTGTGCATTCTAGAAACCATTTGAGGTTCTTCAAAGTCAAATTTGGGCCTCAAAAATCTTTGAGAGACATTTGACCCCAGTAGTAAAATACTCTGAAATACAAGCTGGGAGAATAAAATCACCTCCTTTTCTCTTTCTTGATATGCCCGTTGATAAATTTGCTGCGCTATTAAAATGTTTAATCACTTGCCTCCAGCAAGAGCAAGCTTCTGTCTGAAGTTGCAATTTATTAGAGTGCCCAGAACATACTTGCTGTTTACCCAAAAGATGGCCAGGGGATTCTTACAGAGAAAACAAACCACAATTTGAAATCAAGCATAGAGTGGCAGATGAATGGATTGAAGGCTAAAATTATTTTGGAGTTGATTTCAGGGGAGAGATGATAAAACCTGCACTGATTTTCTATCCCAAAGGCACAGGGTTAAATCATACAGTGGCCACAGGTCTGGCCTGTGAGATATCCCTGGGACAGTTGGTAAAAGTGGTGCCTGGCCTGTCTTGGGGAGGGGAGAAGAGGCAGCAGAGGAAAGGGCTGCTTGCTAGAAGCATACCTTCCAAGAAGAGGCATTTCTCTCTGCTTTAGGGTTTGGTCAGAGAAGCTCAGCCTGGAAGGACAATGAACAGATAGGTGTCTGGTTTCAGCAGAATGCTGTGCCCAAACCCTCCTCCCTCCTTCTCTTCTATGGACCTCACTCTGGCCTTTCAGACTCATCCCAGGCAAACTGAGTCATGGGGCAGGGAAATGCCTTCAAGACAGTGAGCATCATTCAGTTATGGCACCTGAAGGCCTCTTGCTAGTGGCACAACACCATGGACCTAGCCCTTGGAGGAAGTGGAGTGGAGGGGCCCCTTGGAGGGCCATGGATAATTAACTCCTTCCAGAAACTGGTATCCAGGACTATGCCTCGGAGGGCGCCTACAGATAATGAGCCTACCATCAGGTCACAATTTTCTAAACACAGATGTGTAAAGATATAAGGAATTTCCTGTTTATCATCCTGTCTTTGCCTATACAAATTCCTTTTTAAATCTGCATGATTGTATCCCAAACCGGGTTATAAAGAATAGCAGATATTCTGGCAGAAAAGAATACTACGGCTTAATAAATTTGGGAAATACTGCATGCCTTGAATCACCAGATACAATGGCATATTAATGACTCTCCTATGTCCTGAACTGAAAAACTAGCAAACGAAACTGGTTTCACTCTGTTTCCCCCAGTGTTTCTTCAAATAGTTTGGCTATGAACTGCTTTCTTCACAGAACAGCTATCATCATCTTACCTTTGTGGAAGGCAGTTTGAGAATTGCTGTGTTACGGTAGGCAGAATTCTAAAAATGCCCTTGTTTCCCCCAAGATTCTCCTCTTCTGTTGACTCAATTGAACATTAACACAAATGCTGCTGAGAGGGAATTTTGCAGATGCAAATAAAGCCCTAAGTAAATCGACTTTAAAATGTGGAGAGTATCTGGGTGAACCTGACCCAATCAGGTGACCTCTTAATTGAAAAGGTGAGGATTTGATGTTCCTTCTGTGGCTTTGAAGGTGGAGGGAACCCCATGAGAAGGAATATGAGCAGCCTGGAGAGGCCGAGACCAACCCCAACCCCCAGCTGACAGTGACAAAATGTGGATGTCAGACCTGAAGCCACAAGGAACAGGATTCTGTCAACAACTGTAAAAAATTGGAAGCAGAATATTTCCCAAATCCCCCAGATAAGAACCCAGTTGGCTGACACTTTGATGTTGGCCTTGTGAGACTCTGAGCAGAGTCCAGGTGAGACTGCCTGGACTTCTGACCTATAGAATCGTGGGATATTAAATGGATGTTGTTTTAAGCTGCTAAATTTGTGGTAATTCATTTCGCAACAACAGAAAACTACTACATACTGATTCAGAGAAATCAAAACAGAAGTGGTACACTCTTCTCTACCCTTTTACATTCACAAGGTGTTTCCAATGTAACACTCATATATGGTGAGGGCAGTTGTCTCTCTTTTTACAGGTGATGATATAGACTCAGAGAGATTAAGTTACTTGCCCAGGACACTCATCCAGGAAATGGGGGAAGAGGACTTGAATGGGCTTTTTTGTGTGTGAGTTAGGATGGGGTGGGGGCGTGTTTCCTTTACTGTCTTTTGCATTCAAATAGGAAAAGGCATTTGGAGAGACTGCAATTGGGAGCTTGCAAAGGAGGATGAAAAAAAAAAATTCAGGGAAGAACACATCAAGCAGCAAGTTCAACTGCTTCATCAGAGAGGTCCTTTCTTTCATCTCTTGTGTCTGAGCAGAAAAGCTGTTAGAAAAAGGACCTACAGCTGTGAGCCAGTGACAATGTGTGGGGGCAGGGTCTTATGAGGCCACCGGAAGTGGGCTGCTGGGATGCTTTATATGGACAACTAAGGGCGAAGACACGCAGGCCTGTAATATCAAGAGAAACAGTGTTTGCAGGCTGACCTCCCAGATGGGTGGTTTGCAGAGGTGGGGCTGCCTGCATAATTAATCAGCTCTAGCTTTCTTCGCCACAACTAGCATTCCTACCTGTACCCATAGCCCTTAAGGGGCCCCTCACTCAGTGTCATGGAGCAGCACAAGTCATCTGGGACCACTCCCCACTAACCCCCACGGACAGAAGTGGAGACTGAAGCCCAGAAAAGGAACAGGACTTCCTCAAGGTCACAGTCAAGGATCCCCTAACATATGACAATTCTCTGTGGTGGTTAGTGATGGCTTCCTGATGAGCCAGTGTTCATTACTGAGCAAATTGTGTGTGTGTGTGTGTATGTGTGTGTGTGTGTGTTTTGTGTCCAGTATGAAAGTCAGAACTGTGAAGTGTTACTATTGTCCTAATAATAATAGAAGTCAATACCCATAGAATAGATACCCAGTGCTTGATGCTGTCTTGAAAGTGCTACGTTTTAACTCCATTCTCACAGCAAGCTCATGAGGTAGTCGGGAAATCATTAGGGTTCTTAACAAATGTTTCTGTCCAGAAGTGGATCCAGGTTTTGCCGAGCTTAAAGCTTATCCAATTTGTGGGGACCTCTTGAAAGAAAGGAATACCAACTTACAAATATAAATTAGGCACAGGGTCCCATGAAAGAGAAGAGCTTGGAAGCATTACAGTAAGTCTGTTAGTTGCAAGTTAATGCTCCCTGCCCCTTGTGAAGTTAGGCAAGAGCATGTAACTTACTTTGGCCAATGGGATGTGAATGAAATTGATGTGTGCCACTTCTGGGTGGAAGTCTTAAGACTTAGTGAGTGATTCTCCACTTTGTTTCCTAACCCTGACTCCCATGGTCCCTGGATTGACCACGGAAAAGTGTGCCAAGATGGAACCTCCTTTGCCCTGGAACTCTGAGTCTATGATATCTAGAGCAACCTCTCTCTTAACCCTGCCCTGTGTCAACTGGCATGAGATATGGAGTGTAAGAAATAAACTTTCGTCATGGTAATTCACTAAGATTTTGGAGATTTTTTTTTTTTTAACCACAGTGAACCTCGCTTAACCTAACTGATATAGGCAGGGTCTTATTATTGTTTCCATTTTCCAGATGAGAAAATTGAGACATAGAGAGATTTAGTTACTTGCCTGAGATCACCCAGCTAGTTAATGGTAAAACTGGAATAAATGGCTCAGTGTCTTTGTTTCTAAGTGACATTAGGGAATGGTGGGGACCAGCAAACTGAAGGTATTTGTTTCATCTGAAGACTGCTTCTGACTTCCTGCTGATGGTTGTAAAAGAGGAATGTAGGCCTTCTTTGCCAGATCCTCTGATTTTTTTTTTTAAGCAGAGGCCATAAATCCAGCATTTTAATGTAAAACCAACCGATAGAAATATTTTCTTTTTCTTTTTTTAAACACCATGAAGCTAAGACATCAGTAAGCTAGGCTTGGTTCATCAGTTTGAGACCTTACAACATTCAAGTTTTCATTAAAAACAAAACAAAGCACAAAAAATTCAAGCCAGTAACAGATATGTGCTAGTGACATAGCCATGGTAGTCTGAGAAGGCTTTGGTGGGGAGGTAGGACTGTGGTAAGATGTCCAGTGCCCAGAGAGTTTCCCTGAAGTAAGATGATAGGGGTCGGGGGTGTTCCCGGGCTGGGGATGGAAAGAGAATAGTCACACAGATTTTCAAGGACTCAGTCACATCAAAAATGTTTTGTGGCCAGGCACAGTGGCTCATACCTGTGGCACATTGGGAGGCTGAGGTGAGCAGATCACTTGAGCCCAGGGGTTCGAGACCAGCCTAGACAACATGGTGAAACCCCTTCTCTATAAAAAAATTTTTAAAAATTAGCCAGGCATAGTGGTGGGAACCTGTAGTCCAGCTACTTGGGAGGCTGAGGTGAGAGGATTGCTTGAGCTGGGAGGTTGAGGCTGCAGTAAACTGTGAATGAGCCACTGAACTCCAGCCTGGTCAACAGAACAAGACCCTGTCTCAACAAAAAATGTTTTACTAGGGTTATCCAAATTTTTGCATGAGGCTGTCATACTCACACACAAATACTCCTCAAGGAAACACTAATAGTTTCACATGATGCATTTCTAGAAGCTTTCATATCACCATGCCCTGTGGGATTGAGCAGGATCTAGCTGAATGTCATTGAGCCAAAGAGAGAAGAGGCTGTAACTGAACAAGACTTCCTGAAAACAGGAGATCTCCCTGGATCCAAAGAAAGCAATTCCCTGATAACTCCCTGAAGAGGCCCAGGTATTTCCATCTGCCTCATCTCTTCAGCTGTCTTGTGGGGCTCAGCTCATTCTTGGGGAGTGGAGACAGTAAACAGTAAAGGTTACGTCTAAGAGTCCCTAACATGAAGACTGAAAAGGAAAGTCAAGGTGAGATGAGACCAGTGAACGTTCAGCACACCTGACCTCATGCATTAACCCAGAGGTTCTCAAAGCCATCAAAGGGGACTTGAAATGTCATAAGAATAAATGAACCATTTGTGGAAATAGAATCTTGTGGGCAAAAACATTTGGAAAACACATTATGCAATGAAACAAGGTCCTTTGCTGCAGAACTTCTCAGAACCTTTAAAAAGCCACACGCGCTGCATGTGTCTCTAAGAGGGCAACCCTGCTTTGTTGTGGAATCCCTCTCTCTACCTTTTGTTTTTTTTTGTAGAAGCTTTTGGGAAAGAATGTGATAGAGAACATTATTTGAGACGTGCTGTCTACTTTCCTTTGGGGGTTCTCACCTCTGAATATCTTGGTCACTTCCTCTCCAGGTTTCTTTTAGAATTGCAGTTTTCTCTTTTCAGAAAAGGAGCCATTTCTATTTATTCATTAGTTTTCAAAGTGGCCAGTGGAGATCAGAGAGGTTATTGCATGCCTGGCACTGTACCCCACAAGTCCTTGAGCTCTCTAGGCTGGGCACAAGCATCTACCTTTTCTTCAACTCAGTAGTGACTTCAACAGTTGGAATTTCCAGCTCAAAGGAGGTTCTTTAAGGCAAAGAGACAATGACACTTGGGAGGTAGCAGCCTCAAGGAAACACTCTCTCTGCCTAGGGACACGTACTTGGGAGGAGGAAAAGGAAGAGGAGGAGGAGAGAGAAGCCCCTGAGTGGTTGACCAAAAGGGGCCCCTTTTATGGCCTTCCTGTTTATGGCTGAGAAGTAAACAGCTCGGGAGCCAGGTTGTCTCCTTCCACAGCTGGGGCACTGGTTCAAGCTGGCCGGGGACCCTCTCTTTCTGGGTGGCAATGGGCGGAGAATCTGCCAGTCATGCTCATCTCAGAATGCATTTTTAAAAAGTCAGCATCTTGGGCATTTTTCCTTCACCCCGTGCCATCTGCTTGACCCACACCTCAGTGGCCTTGCTTCTTTCAGGAGACAGTTGGAAATGTGTGTGTGCAAGCTTGGGGGCCAGATCCCAGCTGCAGCACGAAGCAGCTGTGTGACTTCCGGGGAGCCCTGTACCTCCCTTAGTCTCATTTAGAGTGATGAGTAGTAGCCCCTTCCCCCAGGGATTTGGGAGGATGTGCAGACTGTGCCTGTGAACTTGCCTGGCATGTGGTAAGTGACAATACATGTTTACTGCTATGACTATTATTTCAGTTGCCCACTGGGCTCAGCCTCAGCTTCCACGGGGTGGAGAGCTGGGGTTCTGGTTGGGGGCAGGGGCTCAGGCTTACCTCCCAGAGGGACTCCAGGGGCCTTGGTCCAGGCAGCAGCTCTCTCCGGATTAGCGCTGGGAGTGCTTTGCCTCCTGAGAAACGCAGGCTGTGATGGAGCTGGGAAGGTGCCCCAGCTAACATGAGGAAGACGATGCCGGGGGCAGCTAACACCAGGAGAATCAATAAACTATAATTATCAAGAATTGTGTCTGTGTGGGGTGGGGAGTCATGGGGACAGAGGGAAACAGAGGAGGGGGTGGGACAATGCCAGAGAGAAGAAACAGTGAGAACAACACACACACACACACACACACACACACACTGAACAGATGCAGAAAAAGTGTGCAAGCATGAAAAGAGAACAGAAGTGTGTGCTGTGCTCAGCCCTCCTGTCCTGTCCCCTCAGGGTAGGTCTGCCTTTCTGGACAAGACAGAGGGAGTAAGAGCCAGACCTCTATTAGCTCTTTACATTCCCCAAGTCCTTGCCCACATCAGTCCTTTAACTCTTGGATGCAAGGAATAAATGTTCTCATGTCTGCTTACAATGTCTAATATATTAACTTAGTTATGTTCAGAAATTAGAACGATATCTACTTTTTATATTGAGTGTAGTCTGTTGGGCTAGAAATAGTATTTCAACATTACCAGTGCCTTCATCATCCCTGGATTGAAAGCTACTTTTCAGGCCCACTGCTCCTTCAGGGTTTCTTTTTTTTTTATTTTTAAAATATGTTTTTTAGAGATAGGGTCTCACTCTGTCACCCAGGCTGGAGTGCAATGGCACGATCACGGCTCACTGCAACCTGGAACCCCCAGGGAATAAGGGATCCCCCTGCTTTGATGAGTGAGTAGCTGGGATTACAGGCACACACCACCAGGTCTGGCTATTTTCTTTCTTTATTTTAAAAAAAATTTTAGAGATAGGATCCCAATATGTTGCCCAGTCTGGTTTCAAACTCCTGGGCTCAAGAGATCTTCCCACCTTGGCCTCCCTCCCAAAGCACAGCGATTACAGGGGTGAGCCACGGTGCCCCATGCTCCTGTGGTTTTGGATAGAGTACTCTTGGAACCCGTTATGAGGCTGTCACCTGGACGTAAAGGCCAAGCCCCACAAACCCACTGGCTATTCATGAGCTCTATCAAGTTACCACTTACTGTTTTTTTCTAAAAAAGACTTGACTTTTGAGAGCAGTTTTAGGTTCACAGCAAAATTGAGAGGAAGGTACAGAGATTTTCCAGACATAACCTGGCCTCCCATATAACCTTATTGCTTTCAAAAGCCATCTTTTAAAATTTTCTTTTCTCTGATCCTCCAACACTTGCCATTTTGAGGTCTCACCCCTAGAAGGGATTATTACATCTGGTGCTTGTTTTATTGGCTTTCCTTCCCCCTGATTTGATCTGGGAGACTTCACAAGCACAGGAACAGGCATTGATGGAGGTCGTTGAACATGGGTGGGGTTGACTTTTCTCCTGAAGGTATCAAAGAGACCATCAGAGGAGGAAGGCTTTTGTGACACTCAGATATGGTGAGTCCCTGTTTTTGAAGGGTAGTGTTTTGGAAAATGAGCATATATGCAAACAAACTTGTGTTACCTTTGGGCTTTATTGTGTGCCGGGTCACTAGCCACTAGACTGTGTGTGTGTGTGTGTGTGTGTGTGTGTGTGTGTGTGTGTGTGTGTGTGTTTAATCAGCATTATCTCAGTTAGGCAGTCTAATCTCAGTAGTATTCACAGGAAGGATTTCTACCTCCTTCGTAGTATAGAGCTGCTGGCCAGGAGGTGTCCCTCCCTGTCACAGTCACAGAACTTGCAGGTGGCTGAGCCTCCCAGGTGCCCAGGTAGTCCATCAGCACTGCCTTTCCCCTGTGAGGAAACTGAGGCCCTGGCAGTATAACTCTCAAGGCATCCCAGGCTCACTATAGCAATGACCAGCCTAGGTTAGATCAGGTCCCCTGACTCTCAGCCTCTCTGATAGCCCATGGGGAGAAGTTGGTGAGGACAAGATGAGACAATGTATCCTGCCTGGGAGGGGTTCTCCTGGGGCAGCTTTCTCACACATGCCCTTTGCCTCCTGCCCTCTGCCTTGAAGTATGCACACTCTCCTTGTCTAGCCCTGGGTGGCACACTTTACAAGGAGCCTAGCCTCCTGGCCCTTGGCTGGGGAATCACATAGCTTCCCATGTTCCTGGGAGGCCCAGGGTGGGAGACAGAGGCCAGGTCCTAGTACTGGACCAGCCAGGACTTCTCTGTCTGTGCCTGCTACCCCACATCCTATCTATCTGCCTCCTTTCTCCTGCCAGCGACAACCACAAAGCTCCCTCTTGCCTGGAAAAATCTCCCTCTTGCCGGGAAGCAGAAAGAAGATTCTTCGGTGTGCCCACTCAGCTGGGTCAGTGACGTCCCCTCGGTGAGAAAGTTCTTCCTGGGTTTGGGCACAGTTTGCTCTGCCCACAGGTGGGCAGATGCTCCTAAGCCCTTCACCTTGTGCTGGACAGCGGGCAGGCTCCACTGCACAGGGCGGGGTTTGGGTTTCTTTCTCATCACTGAGCCCAGCCTCCATTTTTTTTTTTTTTTTTTTTAAGGAGGATGTGATTTCTACTTTGTTTCTCTTTTTTTGTTACTTCAAATTGACATCCTGACCTTGGGCAGAGTATAGCAGGGAGCTTCCTTTTATTCTTATCTTTTTGTTTTGTGTTTTTGTTGTAAACTGTCTAAAACTGTTGGAGAGTTTAATTTGGAAACAATGAAGCCAGATACCACAACACAAGTTTACCCTCAAGACTCTGAGCTCTTAAAATGCGTAAGAAGGTCAGTTTTCTCCCCCTTTCTAAACTCATTGCAAATTTATGTTTAGTAACTTTTTTTCCTAGTTTGATAAGATATCATTAGAGAAAGGATGGTTCAAAAAAGAAGTGGTCTGAGATGGGAGGATCGCTTGAGCCCAGGAATTGGAGGCTGCAGTGAGCTATGATAGCGCCACTGCACACCAGCCTGGATGACAGAATGAGATATCGTCTCTTAAAAAAGAAAAAAGAAGAAGTGGCATGTGCTTTTTCCACTTTGATTAAAAGAAAAAGTATGGAATGGTGTCTGCTAAGAAGCATGCTTCCTGCTTGGCCAATGCTGCCGGTTATTTTTATTTGCAAGTGTCAGAGCTGGGTTTCTCTACTTTCTTCCATTTCAGACCTACTTCATGCTCATTCTTATATGGCATTCAAAAATACAAATGTGAAACTTTATAAAAGACTCGAAGGTGTGTTTCATTTTAATCAGTTTTTCTTGAAATTGAAGGGAAATTTAGTCGCGTTAAGTGGAATAAATTTTTCTTGCACATTCAGCCTGTTGGTGTCTATTTTACTTGGGAGAAAGGGCTATCTGCATAGCCCCCAACAGGGGAATCATTTTCATTAGACATTTTCTTACTTGCTTTAGATTAAAGGGGAGAAGTCTCGAAGCTCTAGAGGAATAAAAATGTAGGTGGGGTGGGTGGGGGAGCAGGGAGAAACGATGCAAGTAATTACCTCAATGTTTTTTTCCAACCTAGATTTTCCCCTCTTCTTTTGTAGGCCCACACCAGGCATATTGGACCTTGCCCATCTACACCTCAGCCCCACAGAGCAAGGTCAGACGCCCACTGGTTTGGACTCCCATAGGTGGATGGGGTGGTGGTGTTGAGGCGGAAAGGAATTAGGGAGAAGAGCAGAGCAGTTTCCATAAGCAGAATTTGGGGCTGAGCTTAAGCCACCGCAGCAAGGGGAAGATGAGCCTGGTGGTTCCAGACATGTTTTTTTCCCGAATACTGAGTTAAAACTTTCTATATCAGTGAAATCTAACACTCTGGACACCTTATTAAATTGTTGTGTAAAACTATGGCGATGGGTTCTGTGAATTAAAAAAAAAAATTAAAGTACTTGTTTTCTTAAAAAATAATAGTAATTTTTTTGAGACAGAGTCTCTTTCTATCACCCAGGCTGGAGCGCAGTGATGCAATCTCAGTTCACTGCAACCTCCGCCTCCCGGGTTTAAGCGATTCTTGTGCCTCAGCCTCCCAAGTAGCTGGGATTACAGGTGCCCATCACCATGCTTGGCTAATTTTTTTGTATTTTTAATAGAGACGGGATTTCACCATGTCGACCAGGCTGGTCTCAAACTCCTGACCTCAGGTGATTCATCCACCTCAGCCTCCCAAAGTGCTGGAATTACAGGCTTGAGTCACCATGCCTGGCCAAAATAATAATAATAATAATTATAATAATAATAATAATAATAATTATTATTATTATTATTATTTGATGTAAGCCTTTAGTGGGGCCAGGCAGGAAAGACATAGAAGAAGACATACTGTAGCTACTGCCAAAAGTTATTTTGCAAACTGTGGTTTTCTGATTGAATTGCTTATTTTTTTCCCACCTCTTTTTACTACGTTACTCTCTTTTCCATATTGAAATATGCATATTAGAACAACTTTGCTTTCTATTTGGTACTTTTTCTCCTACCTCAAGAGTTTGAATCTCTGCTTAAATGCTCAGAAATGGACATTTTTGCACCCATGTGGCCATGCTCATGCACTTCTTGCTGGGCGATCCTGTAGTCACTGTTCTTTTGTGACTTCCCTGAAAGACCCCACTGTGGTTTGTCCCCTCAAGGTTGCATCCGGGTGGCCCTGACACAAGCTAAAGATTTCAGGCTCGTTCCAAGTTCCAAAAATGTCTCCATCTCAAGGCACCCTGGGTTTCTCACTGTCCTCTTTATTAACATGGACAAAACGCCCTGCTTTGTGGGCTGATTTATGGTTGCATTAGGGAAAACTCCACGGAGGGTATAAAATACAGTGTCCCACGAAAGGGCCTAATCTTACATGTTATCAGTGATTGCAAGTGCATTTTATAACACTGGTGCCAAATCGAAATCAAGGTGATTTGCGCATCAATCTCCCGGATAAAATCAGGGCACGCTCTATTGCAGTTTGACCTTCGTGGTGCCTTTGGCTGGTCCAACTTGTTTAAGTCCCTGGGACAATTACCCAGGGATAGTTGGAAAATGCAGTGATACTGGCCAGAGCTGGATTACCAGCTGTATCAGAAGGCTTAACCGTTCATGCCAGAGACTCCTGAGAACCAGAGGAACAACCCCCAGAGGAGGCTCTGATGGCTTCTAAGAAGCGCTGGTGCTGCGGGCAGAGAAAGGGGAGAACCTAGGGGCCATTTTCATGTGTGTTTAGATGTACCCCGAACTCTATAGCAAATCTAAGAAGCAAAACTTTCAGTTTTACAACAAGCTGGCAGATAACTGGGTCTCAAAAAGCCTGTGTGGGCTTTCCCTGCCTTATTTATCATTCCAAGAGCTCAACTAACTGTGGGTCAGGGAAGTATTTAAGCTTCTAAAACAAATAATAGAGCAAGGATGAGAATGAAGTCAGTGGGAGATGTTTTATTTCTACCACCACCAACTAACTGTGGGTCAGGGAGATACTTAAGTTTCTAAAACAAATAGTAGAGCAAGGATAAGAATGGAGTCAGTGGGAGCCATTTCATTCCTTCTACCACCAACAGTTGGTTCCCCTTATTGATTTTCATAGAAGAAGATCAGAGACTTCCTGAAAAATCTGATAGATTCCCTTGGTAAAGCTCAAATCATAACCCCAAATTTTGATTGATGCCCTCACAAGAGCCTAGGAGGGCTAAAGATATTTTGAGGAGATTCATGGAAATTGTAGATTTTTAGAACCTAAAGGCTCTTTAGTGATGGTCAGAGGGTATATTTAGGATAAATATTTTTAAATCAGGGTTTTATGCCTATAATCTGAGTTTCTCAACTTATATTTAGCCCAGACTTCTTTTTAAAGTAATTCCATCTCTTTTGAATCTGGACCTTTTCATAGCCCAAAGGGGGAACCTTAGATGGCTCTTCAAATGGTGAATGCTGTTTTAGAAAAACCCTTTGAGATATGCTAATGGATATGGGATGATTATTAAGATAAATACCTTGTGTTGGAAACTATAGTTAATTATAATATATATAATTAGTCACTGGTCAGGCTAGAAGTTATAATTTATTGCTCCTTAATTTGCATTTATTATCAAAGATATTTAATTTAAAGGAATTATAAAAAATAGCCTGATTTGAGTGGTTATGGAGATGGTGGGCATTTAGCAAACTTCAAAACTCTCCTTTCAAATTTTTCTAAACCCATCATATACAATTTCAGGAAATAACACACCAACAAGAGGAGATGACTTATGCTTGTTGATTAAAAAATGAGAAAGCCATTTCTGTAAGAAGAAATGATGTAATTTTCTCTTCCAGACCCTCATTTTTGGAACAGTAGGTAAACTTTTATTGTAAGAGGGTCCAAGTTCAAGTAATAGAATTATGAAGCTTTTGTGATGAAGTTGGTGATGAAGTTCTTTTGTGTCTTTTCATGGGGGAAAACAATAAAATAAAATATTAGATTCTTTTCCTTTTAGATAATAATTTCTCTTCGACAGTGAAAAAGAAGCCCCTTTCAGTGAAAAAGTCGTTAGTCACAGATACAGCTTTTGTATAAAAGGAGATCCTGGTTTTTTTTATATAAAGCTCCACTGCTTTCAAACATGGTTCCTGCACTCTCTTTTATGATTCTTGCTCTGTCACAGCCCTGGGTCCCTTCAGCCACACAAGAATGACTTTCTTGCATCCTTGTGTCTCTGAATTAATGTCTGCTAAAGAGGAGCACTTTGGTGCTGTGTGAGAAGCAGCCTTGGTCGTCTTGCCTCCTACGAATCCTCTTTTTAATAAATGCAGCCACTGTTTGACCTGCAGTGATCTGCAATATATCCGCAGGGGAAGCAGCACCACCAGAACGTCAGAATCTTCCTTCTTGAGTTGAAGGGATCATCTTAGGGATGTCTTCATCTAAAATGTCTTAGGGAGACATCTGTGAGAATGCACTGTTGAAATTTCTGTGTCTTCAGATCAAGGTCATCCTGGAGCCATTTTAGCATTATTTTAGAACTCACTGAATATAGAGATCAGATTGTCACTCTCTCCATTCCCATTTCTTCCAGGATCGGAAATGGGGGTATTAGGTGTTACAGTTTTGTTAAGAAAGACGGAAGGATACTCAGATTGGGTGGGGCTTGAACTGTGCTTCCTTCAGAGAGAAGCTCTGTTCTCTTATTGAATGAGAAGTTGGGGGGTGAAGATGGGGAGAACCTTTGAGAACAAGACCTCAAACCTCCCTCGTGAGTGGGTCCTAGTGTGCTCCCGTTGAGTGACGGACAAAGCCGAGTCCTGAGAACATGAAGCCCATGGGACACCTCCTGGTTATTCTGCAGATGGCTCCTTGGCTTCTCCTCCTCTCAGAAGCCCTGTGTCCTTCAGTGTACCAGCAGTGGCATGCATGCAATAAGAGGGTGCATTGATTGTGGAATATTTAAGGTCAGAATACCATCTAAAAGTGTCTTCTGTTTTATTTTCACCATAAGCTAGCAGTTCCAATGTCAGCACTCAGGTACTCGTTTGCTGGTACAGAGGATGCTTCAGTCATGCACACTTGAGCTGTGTATGGGGGCTAACACTGGGACCTGGTCCAGATCCCCTTTGCTGGGTCAGGAGTTAGAACACCTACTCTTTGGCTGCTGAGTGTTGGCTGCCAATGGCTCAGAGCTATCATCTTCTTGGCAGAGTTAGACTCATCCTTACCCGAGCAGCCCACAGCCAGTGAATGGCTGATCCTGTCCCTAAGGAGCAACTTACCTCTCAGAGGCCCCACCTCCCTCAGGCTAAGCTTAACATCACTCAAGACCACAGCCATGCTCAGCTTCTTCCCCATCTCTCCCCTGCTTCTTTCCCTCCCTGGATCACACCTCAACAATTTCTGTGCATTCAGAGTTCTATGTCAAGCCGTGCTTCTACAGAACCTTCTTTAACATGGCTAAAGTAGTATTCAGAGAACAATTTATAGCCTTAAATAGGTTTATCAAAACCTAAGACTGAAAATACATGAACCAAACATTCAACTCAAGAAGTTAGGAAAAAAATAATACCACCAATTGCAACTACACCACACACACACACACACACACACACACACAACCCTGCACACACACAGAGAAAGAAAGGATTTTTTGCCTGAATTGTATCATAGAAGAATCTTATGATAGTGGGATGCATTAGTGCCGGGAAATTTTCTGAAAGTGGTCAACAGTTGACACACTATTCAGTAATCAATAATTGTAATTATATACTCCCCTTATGTAGAGTATGAAGCTTTCTGTAGGCTATAGCCATTCTATAACAGCAAATCATGTTTTATCTGAGTGATCCTTGTAAAAAGAAGAAGAAGATGGAGGAAAACTTGTGGGGAGAGTTGATAGGCAGGTCCTGGAGGGAGCAGAGGGCTCATTCCGGCCTGTGACCACATGAAGAAGTCATTTGACTTCCAGGCAGTAATGCTCTAAGTGGCAAGAAAGCTTGGGCTCTGGTTTTCCCCAGGCCCACCTGAGATTCAAAAAATGTCCATATGTCCAATTTCTTCCTTTTTACCTATGGATGCAAGATGTGATCCCAATACTACTTCGACTTTTCAGGTTTGTTCGATGGCATCTATGAGTCTGTAGAATGCTCCTTGAAGATGTTGGAATTATTTTCTCAAGAACTCTGTTTAAAAGCCATGCCCAGCCTCTGGGAGGCAGGATAACATGCATTTTGTGGACCAAAAAGCCTGGGTTTAATCCAGACTACCATCATTTACTTCCTGTGCAATATTGGGCAAGAGACTAAGCCCGATGCCACCCTCACTCTGTTAAGAAGAAGAACTGGTGTTTAAACCCAAGACATCTATTTTAGATTCCCCACTCTTCACCACTATCCTGAGCAAAGGGCCAATGGATCTAAATTATTTGGGTAGCACAGTCACTGGCTGCTCATAACATAACAGCAATGAAGATGATTATCTTTTGATGAGATTATGAAGTTGATGGTGATGATGATGGCAGTAGGTTACACATATAGATAACAGAGGGTAATAGACCAACCAAAATTCCACAGATTCTTCCCCTAAGGCTCCTTCTGATGAAACCCACCCCACCCCCCCACAACATTAGGGTTTTGGAATGAGCACTGTTCTTGGCATCAGAACACCATATCCTGCTGAGATGCTAACTTTAGGTAAGTTTATTTGCCTGAGCCTTGGTGTTCTCATCAGTAAAATGGGCAGAAATGCTAGGATTACACGAAAAGAGATCCTGAGTAAAAGTGCCGGGGTGTAGATGCCCAGCAGATGTCTGGTAGGTTAGAAGAAGGCCATGTCTTGGGAGGGTGTTTCTGGAGGGAAGCAACGCATGGCACTTCTACCACTAACTTGAGCACCTCCAAGGAGTAGGTGAGACAGGCTTGCAAGAATTATTGGACCCTTTAGGCACAGAGGTGTTGGCTTTTTGAGGAGGACTTTCTGCTTCCCTGACTCTGCAGTAGCTGCTCCTCTGCACCCATGGGTTTTCTTCTCTTTCTGGGTCCTGTTTTCACACTTTGGTCTCATTCACCTGAAAGTAAGCTCCCCAAGAAAATGCTGTTGAGAATAGGGATTTTAATCTGTAAAATTTATTGCTGCACTCCCAGCACCTAGAATAGTAGCTAGCATACACTAGATAATACACTAGATAAATATTTTTGAGAAAAATGAATCTTATTCAGAGCCAGGACCAAATGTGGCAGGAACAAGCACTCTACTAGGAGTCCAGAGGCCGTAGAGTGTGTCCTTTCCCTGCTCTGCCGCTCTGGACAAATCTATAAAATTCATCCATCTGGTATGTCAATAATATTAGATCTACCTTGCAGGTAATGGGATCATGTCAGTTGAATCTTACTGGATCTTTGAAGTTTAAGGGCAATGAAACTGATTTGAAAAGGACAATTCCAGGAAGTTTAACTGGTCCTAGAATTTATAGTAGGTAATATTTCTAGAAAATATGCTACAAATATTCTCTCTTAGAAATTTAAAAACATCTTTCCAAATTAACTTTTGGGTTAAGCAGTCAAAACTGAAATAAGAAACCATTTAGAAATGAATGGCACCACATGCCAGAAATTATGGGATGTGGCTAAAGTAGTATTCAGAGAGCAATTTATAGCCTTAAATGCTAAGGCTCCTTCTGATGAAACCCACCCCACCCCCCACAATGTTAGGTTCTTGGAATGAGCACTGTTCTTGGCATCAGAACACCATATCCTGCTGAGATGCTAACTTTAGGTGAGTGTATTTGCCTGAACCTTGGTGTACTCATCTGTAAAATGGGCAGAAATACTAGGATTACATGAAAAGAGATCCTGGGTAAAAGTGCTCGGGTGGTAGATGCCCAGCAGATGCCTGGTGGGTTAGAAGAAGGCCATGTGTTGGGAAGGTGTCTCTGGAGGGAAGCAGTGAATGGCACTTCTACCACTAACTTGAGCACCACCAAGGTGCTTATTAAAAGATAAGACTGAGAACACACAAACCAAACCATTCAACTTGAGAAATTGGAAAACAAAGAATACCACCACCACCACCAACACACACACATGCACACACACATTAAGGAAGAAAAAGATTTTATCATAGAAGAATCTTATGATAGTGGGATGCATTTGTACCAGGGCATTTTTTTTAAAGGAGTCACCAATTGATAAATTTTCCACTAATCGATCATTGTAATTATATACTGCCCTTATACAGAGTATGAAGTTTTCTATAGGCTACAGCCAATCACGTTTTGTTTTATTGGGGTCATCCTCAGAAAAGTGTCAATCAAAGCAGATGGAGAGGAAGGATTGTGGGGGAACTGACAGGCAGGTCCTGGAGGGAGCAGAGGGCTCATTCAGCCCTTGACCATGTGGAGAAGCATCTTGCTGCATGATGTGATTTGTAGAATATGGCAGTGGCATTGACGAGGACCTGGAGCCCTGAGTGAAATAGGCAGAGTCCTATGGGGATGGGGACCCTAAGCCACCAGCCAGCATTTCCGGGGCTGAGGGAGGTCCAGGGGAACAGTGTGCTGGCTTTCTTTTCTGGTTCCATTTAATAATTAGTCTGATGACAAATCAGGAGACCAGAGTCTGGCCTCCCTGAGCACATCCTCCAGGCTGGATGTTGGTGATGGAAGACCCCTGGGAAGTCCTCTCTGGGCTCCCTCACTGGAGCAAGGAAGGCCTCAAATGCCCCCTTCTTTATGGAGGTGCTGACTCTGGGCTCCTGCTCAGAACAGCAGCCTAGAGAATAGGGTCAAACACTCTCCTTCTGTTTGCTCCATGCTGGTCTGGAGGTCTGGACAGTGTCTGCTCCCTCCTTCTGCCGAGAAGAAGCCAGGAACCAGGAAGATTTCAAAGCCAAAGTCTTCAAGCCATTTGTGGGGCCGCTGGACCATGCGTGCCCTTGATTGGGGTCAAGAGCCCCTGAGATATCTCAGTGTCTCCCCTTGACTGGTGAATGCCTCGAACTGGACACATTGCAGGGAGGTTGAAATCTTCAGACTTCTGTGCTCCATGAAGTCCCCACCAACTTATTTAGTCATCTGAAGCCTTGTTTTATTTGTTTATGTTTCTTAAAAAGTCTGTGAAATGGATACAACCGATAGTGCCTATATCTCATAGGCTGTGGTAGAAAATTATGTAAAGTGTTTAGATTAATGCCTGGTTTATGCTAAAACAAACTAAATGGTAACTGTATGTATCACCCTTTTGTGCCCTTTTCTCATTGGAAAACAGAACAAACACTAACCATCAAATCCTACTTCAGAAGGGAGGTTAAATATATAAGCTTCAGCTATATGAAATTGTCAATATTTGATCATTTTGACCTATAAAACAGCAATTTCATGTGGGTCAACCTGATAAAATGTGGTATGGTGATTCATATCTATAGAGACTTATATCCAATTATAAATATAAATTGCTATTTTATTTCCCCATCGCTTCTAGTTCCACAGTGAAAGCAAACTTCAGAAAAATGACACAACTGGAACTATAGCTTTTTTTTTCTCTCTTTGTTTCATTTTATGCTCTCCCCAACATTCCACCCCCAAGTTCCCATAATAATATCTCACAGAGATTTGTAGGGGCAAGCTCTGTTAATCAGAAATATCCCAAAGAAGAGGGTAGATTTGTTATTTCTGTGTTAAATTGTTAATTGATTTGATAATTGCCTGGGAGACACATACAGACATACACATACACAAAACAAATGTCAGGCCACACACTTTTCTCTCGACAGTAAGATGAAGATGTTTTAGTTATTGGAACTCGATGTCACCTAGAATAAGAGGAGGTACCGGGAAAAAAAGAGGGGAGTGGAGCCGGCGTGGTGGGGGGAGGCAGGCGATCCCTCTTGGTTATCAAATGAAATGACTCCCCAAATATGACAATAAATCACTGCAGGAATCAATCAGACAGGAGGCCACTGCTCCATGCTGATAATGCATCAATCAATATTTAATGTTTACACTTTAATTAATCCACACATGGGAAGCATTCTTTCAGTGACAAAAATAAAAGGATGAGAAATAAAACACCTTTTATATCAAGGAGTGGTGAGTGCACTGTCTACTGGGTGGCTTTGATTGGAGCTGTCATTGATCACCTTGAGCTCACCAGCCTCCGAGTCACATTTGGATATAAAGCTAATGTAGGGGGTGGGGGCAGAGGTTTCAGCATCCCGCCTTCGAAGAGTGCAGCTTGCTGGGAACTGCTGTGGAGCATGGATTCCTGTGAAGGAAGAACAAAGCCAGGGCAAATATTGGATTCTGAACGCCAGTGACATCTTCTCCCCAGAAAAGATTTCTGTCCACAGATGGTGATCTATAACTCTGAGGGAGGCAGTTTCAGCCAGAAAGACATTTTCTCATGTGTTTTCAAGAGTCCAGTGTGTAGTCTTGGACACAGGGATTCCAGTCTGAACCACAGGACTGTTTTATAACACTCATAGCCCATCAGCCTGCCTTTTTCATGCTCTGCCCGGCCTGCTATCAATGATAGCATCCTAAAATACCCACCCCTCGCATTAATTATAATTCATATATAGCTGCTCACGAATCATTTCATCTGTGGTTGACAAGTTGGCCTCATACTACATTTTGTAGACATTTAATCCAACATATGGTACACATGGTTTTGCAGGTTCCCTGGGGTTTTTTATTTATTTATTTATTTATTTATTTATTTATTTATTTATTTATTCTGCCTGTGTCTTTTGTTTGGGGTCTCAAACCATTTCTTGGGCCCTTGAAAAGCTCACAGGCTGTGTGTGGTGTGACTACAGTTTTTAATGGAGAAGATGTCTTGGTTGATAATGCTGGATTTTGACCCTCAAAACCCACCGAGTTCCTTTTTGGAACATAGCAGTGAGGTGAAGATTTGATGTGTTAAAAATGCAGGAGTCTTGGTTTGGGTTCCTCCAGAAGCAGATCCTAAGATAAGAATTTGAGAGCAAATGGTTTGTAAGTGAGATAGGGAAGGAAAGGCAGTCACATAAACAGGGAGTTGTCATGGGGGGAAAAGGGGTTCAGTTGCACTGACAACTTGCGCAGTGGGAATAGAACCTGTTTCAGAGTTCGAGTCATGGAGAGTGAGGAAGGTGGTATTTATTCACCAACTCCTTGTCTGCTGTTGGTTCAGGACTGCTTCCAAGGTAGTAAACGGCCACCGCTCCCTACTTCCAAGGCCAGAAAGAGCCCCCAGACAGAGTCAGGTCTTCCTTCCAAGCAGCATGCAGCTTGTAGAGTTGAATGGTGAAGGGATATGGGCACACACCCACTGGGGCTGCCACACCTGGACAGGTAAAATAACTGACATGGATTCTGCCTATAAAGAGTAAAGAAAATAAAATTCCAAATAGCTTTTTTTTTGTCGTTTTTTAGAGATACAGTCTGTCGTCCAGGCTGGAGTGCAGTGGCTCAATCATGGCTCACTGCAGCCTTGAATTCCTGGTTCAAGAGATCCTCCCACCTCAGCCTCCCGAGTAGTGTGCACTACCATGCTTGGCTAATTTAATTTTTTTTTTGGTAGTGATGGGATCTCAGCATGTTGCCCCTGGGTAGTCTGGAACTCCTGGCCACAAGCAATCCTACCACCTTGGCCTTCCAAAGTGCTGAAATTGCAGGTGTGAGCCATTGTGCCCAGACTACAAATAGTTTTTTCAGTTACTCTTATCCATCTTCTCAGTGAGTCCAACCCTGAGAGAATTTCCTTTAGTGTGGGAAGAGGGAGCATACTCTTTCAGTTGAGCACTAGGTGAAGTAGTTGAGGGGTCCTGTGTGTGTGCATGCTCACTTGTGTGTGTGTAAAATATGAAGTCACACTCACTGGAGCAAGACACACTGTGGGAGGCACAGAGACACTGAGGCCAATAGAGGGGACAGAAGATTAATGAATCTCATCTCACACTACTTCTGGGGCACATGTTCTAATATTTCCCTTTTTCTCCCTTTTCTCTCTCTGTCTCTATCTCTACTGAGTTTGATTAGCTAGATTTGAACGAAGTAAACTCATATGATGCAACTCTTCTGTATGTATTTACAAACTCTACTCCCTAATACAAGAATCACACTGCACCCCATCTGCCCCACCTGAATGAGCATAGAATACCAATGATTATTGTGTAGAATGCATACTACAGTTATTCAATGCAGACTGTATTGATTTAATTTTTTCCTCTCTTACATTTAAACTACATGCTGCCTCTACAAGCTCTCTTGCAATTTTTTAAATTTATTTCCACTGAGGCTGGCCACAGTGGCTTGCACTAGTAACATCAGCACTTTGGGAGGCCAAGGTAAGAGGATTTCTTGAGCCCAGGAGTTTGAGACCAGCCTGGACAACATAGTGAGACCCCTGACTCCACAAAAAATAAAAAAAAAATCAGGTTGGTGTGGTGGTGTGTGCCTGTAGTCCCAGCTACTCGAAAGGCTGTGGTAGGAAGATTGCTTGAGTCTGGGAGTTCTAGGCTGCAGTGAGCTGTGATTTCACCACTGCACTCCAGCCTGAGCAATAGAGTGAGATTCTGTCTTTTAAAAAAATGATAACAAACAAATAAATAAATTTCCACTGTCTCTGTCATTGACCTTAACAAATTTCTAATTGGTTGAGTAGAATTTAATTTTGTTTTTTGAGAAAAAGTTTCGCTCTTGTTGCCCAGGCTGGAGTGCAATGGCATGATCTTGGCTTACTGCAACCTCCGCCTCCCTGGTTCAAGCGATTCTCCTGCCTCAGCCCCCCGAAAAGCTGGGATTACAGGCATGCGCCACCATACCTGTCTAATTTTGTATTTTTGGTAGAGACAGGGTTTCTCCATGTTGGTCAGGCTGGTCTCTAACTCCTGACCTCAGGTGATCTACCTGCCTCGGCCTCCCAAAGTGCTGGAATTACAGGCATGAGCCACCACACCCAGCCAGAATTTAAATTTTTCAACGCTCCTGTTACAGGAAGCTGGTCCAATCTGTGTCACTCTGAGTTTTAAAGACTGTTACTAGATTGTTTGTTTGCAAATAATAGAGACTGGGCTTCACTAATGTAAGCAAAACACAAAAATTGTGGGAGTGGTACTTGCAGCACTCAGAGCATCTCTGGTGAACATGGTAAGCCAGGAAGTCTTGGTCTGTCTTTCTCAAAAGCAGCCAGCACATGGCCACACTCCAAACACCTTCCCTGTGCATATCTACTTAAGAATCAAACTCCTAGGAAACACTGCTTGGCCTTGGTTAGATTCTGTTCTCACCATCCCTGTGACCAAGACTGAGTGAGAAGTCTTAAGTCCCAAAGGAAAGGTGCCTGCCGCAATCTTGTTTCTTGTACCATTTTGTGTAAGGGGCGTCTTTTAATTGGACACAGATGCCCCCTTTTCTCTCCTCCAGTATTTCTTCCTGATTTTGAAATTAGCATATGCATACTCACAGTGATCTTTAAAAGCTCATGGAAGAAAAAGACATGCAAAAGAGCAAGAGCACAGCAAGGAAATTGCAATGTTACTGAGCATTTACTGTAAGTCAGGCCCTTTATATTTATATCCCGAAAGTCTTATTGTAGAAATTCTTGTTTTTCTAGTAAATTTCTTGAGCTCCTGCATCCCCTAGAGCCAAGATATCTAATATTTCCCTCTTGAGAATTCATTCTTTAAATTGTTCAAGAACCTCTTTGGGACGACTTTGACCCAGTTGTTTTTAATCAGGGACAATCCCCGCCAACCTCCTGGGATATCTGACAATGTCTAGAGCCATTTTTGGTGGCTGTGGGTTTGGAAGGTACTCCTGACATCTACAGGTAGATGCTTCCACACATTTTACAATGCACATGGCAGCCTCTCACAGCCCCAGATGCACTCAGTGTCAAAGTTGAGAAACCCTGCTTTTACCCAAGAGGGTCAGCTCTAGTCCAAACACCAAGCAAGGACAGACATGAGTTCTCAGTATCATGCTGCTATTTCTTATCCCCACCACATGGAGTCACTGTTGAAGATGACTGCAGTGCAGTGTGGTAACTGTTCATTCTGACAAGATCTCTGCTGGTCCACAATGATGCCCCATATTGGCTCTTTTACATTCATATGTTCATATGTTTTATCTCAGATCCAACCACTGAGCCAAGGAGGCTGGACCCAAGATGTTTCTACTTTAGCCGCAGAGAGATATGTGCAAAAGGAAATGGCCTTGAACTCTAGGGTTTAGATGCTCTCCTACCCTGAGCTATGCCTCCTAATGAAGAATTAACCCTGCAGACAGATGTGTAACACAGGATCATTGTTGATCAGATTTCAGACTCTTCAGGGCCTTTTCCTTTTACCTCCTTGCCCATCACTGATGATCTATCCTGCTTACACGGGACCTGACTCTGTGTTTTTTTCCACTGCTCATCTCTTAGGCTTGGCTGCATGTATAGAATGAGCCCTGGACGAATTCTGCTACCGAAAAGCAAGTGACCTTAAACTTGGCCTGAGTTCTCTACTGCTAGGATGGTGGGTTGGGTTGGTGAGGGTTTTCTAGACTTAAATCATGTGTGTACATCATTTTTACAACTTTTGCCATGTCTGTGAATCGCTCATACTCTTGGTTATTTAATATTACCCTTTTCATTGGCTCACTACATTTACGTAAATTTTTTTTAAAAAAGGAATATTTTTTCACTCCCATAGATGGAAAATCAGTTAGCATAAATAGAAACTAATAGAAAAAATAAGTATACTGAAAACCATAAAAGCTGTTATTAAGTCATAGCTAGACGCTGTGGCTTGCCAAAGATTCTGAGACCTAGGTTCATCTGTGGTTTCCTAAAAAGGAGCTGACAAGGGTTAGAGAGGGATTAAAGACCCTGGGACCCAGGGACACTTTTTTTTCTATAGCGAATCAAAGGGATAGGATAGGGGCTGCAAGGGTCTCTGTGGGGGCAGGTGGTGATTCCGCCCAAGGGCATACATGTATTGTGTGTAATCCATGCTTTGGGAATTCTGGATCTGCTGATCATCTTTCAGGGCTATTTTGGCTCTAACCACTGGCTCACTCTTCATCCACATCACAAAGCTGCTGAGAAGTCAGTGAGAAAATCAGGTGAGAGAGCTTGCTACACTGTGAAGTGCTGCCCATCTGGGACAAAAGGTGCTCACTTCCTGTGGGTGGGCTGGTGTTTAACAGCAGAGGGAGGGCTCCTGCCTCCCTCAGAACACCTTCCCCCTGATCCAAGGGTATGCTGTGTTCTTCAATCATAGATCATCTTCTTGGTTTAAGGCACTTATTATTTATTTACCTGACAGGGTCTCACTCTATAGCCCAAGCTAGAGTGCAGTGCTGTGATCATCGCTCACTGCAGCCTTGAACTCCCAGGCTCAAGCGATCCTCCCACATCAGCTTCCTGAGTAGCTGGGATTAAAGTTTCATGTCACTGAACTCACCTAATTTTTTTTAATTTTGTAGAGATGGCATCTGGCTATGTTGCCCAGGTTGCTCTTGAACTCCTGGCCTCAAGTTGTTCTTCTGCCAAAGTGCTTGGATTGTAGGGTGAGCCAATACACCTGGCCTACAGCTTTTAGTTTTCAGAAAATGTGGAAATCTTCAGGCAGCAGTGGGGAATGAGCTTTTCAGGGGTCTTATGCATTTATAGTACACTGGGACTGAACTTATTAGTCCTTTCTTGGGAGGAAGGGCAAGGCTCAGGGAAGGTTAAGAAGTGAAAGTATCTGGTATTGGACCAAGGCAACCAAACCAAGAGCAGAGATGAGCTAAGCCCAACTTCACATTCTTAATAATGTCCAGACTTTTCTTCTGGTCCCTCCCTTTCACATGGACAGAGCTCAGTTTGGCCCTCAGTTGTGATAACTAAGGCCCTCACTTGTGATAACCATGGGGGATTGGAAAAATGATCTTACTGTATGAGACTAATAATTCCATTTCTCTAAAAACTCTTCAAGCACGTAATAAGTAGCCCCCAACTGCTATTACTACTATTATATTTTCCTCGACTAATATCAATGAAAATTTCTTCTTTCTGTTGTCTTTCACAGCATTTGAATAAGGCTTGACTTTCTAACTTGGCTGTGATAAGAATAACATGATATACCCCTTTTTATGAAACCCTCATTATTTGTCCCAGGCCCTGTGCTAAGTGATTCACGTGTGAAAAGATATCGTTCTATCCATTCAGCTACTCCATGGAATAGAGGCTATTAGTATCCCCACTTCAGACTCAAGACACTTGGTGGCCAAGGTGTCCACGTGAGTAAGTAGCTGAGCTTGGGTTCAGCTCTAGTTTTCAGCATGGTTCATGTCCAGAATTTTCTCAGAAGTACTTGCATTAGAATGAGAATCCAATCATATTTACACATCTCTGGGACAGAAGTCCCCATGCTTGGCTTTCTTTTACATGCCTTATTGTTCTCAAACTACCAAAACCAGCAGGGAACTCAGAGAGAGACAGAGAGAGAAGAGAGAACACACAAGTGCATAATGTCCCATCTCACTCTTGATTTGTAAAGTCAAGATCTCTGAGTTGGGTTCTGGGAAGGTATATTTTTGATGGGCCCTCCTGGTGATTAAGCCAGACATGGGGAGCTGTGCCCTATGGGACACGGTATTTCACTCTACAAGTAGTAGCTGAAGGCTATGTTCTTCCATAACTTGCCAAGAAAGAAGAAGAGTTTCAGGATAGGAGAAGGTTTATGCTCTGCAACCCCAGTGGACGTTGTGAAGAAACCATAATCTTCAACTCCTTTTATTCCTATTTCCCTTGCTTTCTTCCCACCATTATCTATCTATCTATCTATCTATCTATCTATCTATCTATCTATATCTATCTATCTATCTGTCTGTCTGTCTGTCTGTCTGTCTATCTATCTATCTATATCATCTCTCTATCATCTATCTACTTACATCTATCTATCCATCTATCTTTCATCCATCTATCTATTAATATTATTAATTATTTTTTGTATGATAACTGCCTATTTGCTATGATTCCATTTTCTATCATGAGATGAGGTGGCCCTGGGTGCTTGAGTCCTAGTGGTGAGAAATGACTAAACTTCTTATGGGAAGCAATGACATAATGGTGAAAGGTGTCCTCACCACTTCCTTTTCCTAGTGGAGAGTGTGGCAGGGATGCCCCGTTGATGGAGCTACAATGCTGAAGGATTGGAGAATTAGTGTATGGCCATGCCCCATCCCTTTTATCCCTCCTCCTGGCCCCCAACCCTCACCACATCTGCAGATATTAGGTCTGACTTTGTTCAAAACAGGGTCTTGCTCTGTTGCCCAGGTTGGAGCGCAGTGGTGTGATCACAGATCGCTGCAGCCCCGACCTCTGGGGCTTAATCAATCTTCCCACCTCAGTCTCCCTAGTAGCGGGGACTACATGTGTATGCCACCATACTCAGCTAATTTGTGTATTTTTGTAGTTGTTTATTTTTAAAATTTATTCATCTCTACATTTGACCAGACCTGTGACAACTAAGATGCACACAGATGTTGCCTGCAGAAAACTGCCCCAAACAAAAAGGATTCCTTGGATTTGTTTTTAGGGTTCTCAAACCACTTCCTCGCAGAGGAAGAGACTGGCACAGAAGGGGCAATGGGATAAAAAATGGGGCGAGGGAATCCCCCAAGGTGCAGGAAAGTCATTGGAGGTGCCACTTAGAGGTCCGAGCCACTGTTTCTCTCCATGATTCTGGATATTGGGGCTTGATGGTGCTAATCAACTCTCTGACCTTTTATTTCCCAGACAGCCAGACATTCAAATTCTCCTCTTTAATTTGTACCCAGTCACTTAGTTGGTCAGTGAGAGCACTGGTGGGTCAACACACTAGGGACTCAACTTCTTCTGGCCAGTGACATTCTCAGGCCCCTGGAATGGAATGGACACTGTAGTTACAATTCCGAAAATATGTCCCAAGATTGTCAAACAAATACATACAGTGGTATCCTCTGATGGGCCTGTACTCTTCACCAAATGTGCTTCCATTGATTTGTGATAGCCTCATAGTGAGCTGCCTGAAAAAGCAGAGAAAGAAATCTCTTGTTTTTTCTTTTTAATGTAGTATCCAGTTTTGTCTTTCTCTGTGTGAAATCAAATTATGGAAATGGTAAATCATAACTATATTAAAATTATTAAATTTTAGTTGTCCTTTTTTTCTTGTTAGGAGACAGGGTCTTGCTCTGTCTCCCAGGCTGGAGTGCAGTGGCACAATCACGGCTCACTGCAGCCTCAACACCCCGGGCTCAAGCAATTCTCCTGCCTCAGCCTCCCATGTAGCTAAGACTACACGTGCATGCCACTGTGCCTGGCTTAAAATTTTAGGTTTTTAAATGATGTTTAAGAATTTTTGATAGCAACTGAAAGAAAACACTTCATATAATTATTATAAAATAATGCTTAAAAATACAGATTCAAGCTATAGATTATTTTAACTGTAACATTTCTAGAATAAGAACATAGAAGAAATAAGGCCTGGTGTTGAATAGCACAATTGGGTGACTATAGTTAACAGCAGTATATTGTATATTACAAAATAGTTAAGCGGGGCATGGTGGCTCACGCCTGTGATCCCAGCTCTCAGGGAGGCAGAGGTGGGAGGATAGCTTAGGCCCAGGAGTTTGAGACCTGCCTGCGCAATATAGCGAGACCCCACTCTCCACAAAAAGGTAGAAAAAAAAGCCAAAAACAAAATCAGCATAACAAAATAGTTAGAAAAGAATATTTGAAATGTTCCCAACACACACAAAAAAATGATAAATGTTCAAGGTGATGGATACCCTAAATTCTCTGATTTAATTACCACACATTGTATGCATGTGTCAGAATATCACATGTACCCCACAAATATGTACAAATATTATGTATCAATAAAAAATTTTAAAAGAAGAAAAAAAGAACAGTGAGTTCTAGGAAACCAATAGAAGGATGGCCAACATCCTTACTCTAAAGACTGAATTTTTTCTTTACCTAAAAAGACTATATTCTTTTAGGATGGCAGAAAGAAGAGCTTCTGTCACCCTCAGCTCCCCTGGAAAATATTCCAATGTTGCTGCAATGACAGGATAAGTAAATAATTTCAAGAATATGTGTCCAAATATTAGATTTGAACCACCGTGTTGGCCCAGGCAAGGATGTTAAAAATTAAGTCCTGGTCAAATCTCTTGTGGCTGGAATCAGAATGAGAAATTGAGTGGGTGTCTTGGTCAAAAATAAAAAAGGGCTAAAGTTCAAAAATTAGAACAAGCCATTTACTTTCTGTGTTAAGAAAATCCCTGAGAAATAATCCAGTATTGAACTGGAATGTCTCTGAAATTGAGAGACAAAAAAGTGCTGAGTAGTTCTGTTCTTTGCTGTGGTTATTCAAAAACAATTTCCAGGTTTTACGGGAGGACCCATGATTTTAAATACCTTTGCCCTTTTCTTTTACCCATGTGACTGCCTGTCAAACCTGAGGCATCCCATAAATTCCCATCTACAATGTCCTTTCCCATCAGTAAAAGAAAATGGAATTTAGGGCCAGTTTATAGGGTGACACTGCTGTGGCTGACAAATTATCCATGCCAAAAATCTGTTGTGAATGCCAATTGAGTGCCATGTAAATTTTCTAAGAAAGGGGCTGAAAGGGTACTGAGTTTAAGTTGTACAAAAGTTTTGAGAGAGACAGAGTATTGTGTTTAGGTACACAGTTGGTTTGACTACTTCGTAAGATTTAATGAATAGGTTCGCTAAATTTGGCTTTTAAAAGGCCAATTCCATCAACTGCTAAATGCACTGGACATAGAAGAACCTGCTTAGTCCTAGGATTATAGAGCTGATAAGTGGATGACACTTAGAGATCATCTATTAACACTCACAAGTTTTCCAGATGGCACTGAGGATCTGAAACGGGAAATGACTTGACAAATGCCATATGGGAGGTCATGGCAGAATTGGTGGGGAGTCTCTTGGTTTCTCACTTTAGTGTTTCTTCCTTGATAAGCATATAAGAAACTATACTGCCTCATCAATTTGTGTGCAGGTAAAGATTCTAAAGTCATCATCCATCTATTTATCCATCCATCCATCCATCCATCCATCCAAAATAACATTTATGAAGCATCTTTTCTCTTCTGGGCATTCTGCTGGGTCCTGGGTACAAGAAAGAAAGATGCCATCCATGTCTTCAAGATGCAGATCACATAGTATAGTGCAGTAAGTGTCCTGCTGAAGTTTTGCACAGGTTCCTATGGGAACATGACTGAGAGAAGCTGAAAACAAATGAGAGAATCAAAGACAGCTATACGGAAAACCTGACACCTTTGCTAAGTCTTGGAGAACAAGAAGTAGCAGTCCCCTAATTTCGTTCTTCTTTTTTAGAATTGACTATTTGACTTCCTTGCCTTTCCATATACATTTTAGAGTCAGCTTACCGATATCTACAAAAAGCATAAATACTCCATTTTCCTGTGAGGTACATAGCAATGTTCGCTGTTTCATTCTTGGTTTTAGTAATTTGAGTCTTCTCTGATTTTTCTTGGTCAGTCTAGTTAAGGTTTGTCAGTTTTGTTGATATTTTCAAAGACCTGACACTTGATTCATTGATTTTCTCTATTGTTTTTCTAGTCTTTATTTCCACTTTAATCTTTATTATTTCCTCTCTTCTCCTTGCTTTGGGTTTAATTTGCTTTTCTTTTTCTAGTTTCTAAAGATGGAAGTTTAGGTTGCTGATTTTAGATCTTTCTTCTTTTTAAAGGCATTGACAACTACAAATTTCCCTCTAAGCACTGTTTTACCTGCATCCTATAAATTTTGGTATGTTGTGTTTTCATTTTCATTCATCTCAAAGTGTTTTCAGATTTCTCCAGTGCTTTGTTTATTTGATCCATTGTTTAGGTAGGAGAAGGTCATTTAATTTCCACATATTTATTAACTTTTCAAATATATTTTTGTTATTAATTTCTAACATCATTTCATCATGGTCAAATAACATACTTTGTATAATTTCAACCTTTTAAAGTGTATTGAGACTTGTTTTATGACCTAACATACGGTCTATCTTGGAGAAAGTTCGTTCCACATGCACTTGAGAAGAATGTGTAATTCTGTTGCTTTGGGTGGAGTATTCTACAGATGTCTGTTAGGTCTAGCAGTTTATAGTACTGTTCAAGTCCTCTATTCCTTGTTGATCTTCTATCTAATTGTTCTGTCCACTGTATACAATGAAGTATTTAAGCTCTCATAATTATTGTTGGGTTGTCTATTTTTACTTCAATTCTGTCAGTTACTGCTTCATAAAGTTTGAGGCTCTGTTATTAGGTGCCTATATGTTTATAGCTGTTATGTCTCCTCGTTGGATTTGACTTTTTTTATTGTTTTAAAATGTTCTTTGTGCCTAGATACTGCATTTTTTGAATCTGTGCATGATGTTGTCATTGGAAATTTTATCCTAATGCCCAAGTACTGTTCACTAACCTCATCATTAACAACTTACTATATTGTTTTTTGAACCAATCATTTAAAGGCGTGTACACAACAGCATTTAAAGCTTGCCCTTGTGAATTCATACCCCCAGGAAGAATGACTAAATCTGTTTTAAGTGTCTTTGTCCTCTTTCTTTACTGATTGTGTCAGGTGACCTTTCTTAGCCTTCCAAACCAGCTGGCTGAAGTTATTTTAGGCTAACTTGTTTTCCTGAAATAGTACTGTTTGTTCAAAATAAAGTATTTGAGAAAGTCTTTTACAACATGAAAGACCTCAAGCAGATTCAAATATAACCCATCTCCCTCTCATTCAATAATTAATTTTAGGAAAAAAAGCTTGCCTAATATTCAAGTGTGTGCAGTCTCCAGCTGTATTTGCTGTTTGTTTTTATTCTGCTTCACATAGAGGTTCAGCTGATCACACACCATGCTGTATCTACTCCTTCTCCTCTGGTTTTCTGGTGCTTTGAAAGTCACCTCCGACCCCTGAGGCACTGGAGCTTCCCAGTGCAAAGTCCTGGTGAGTAGCATGTGGGTTCCAGTGAGACATGCAGTTGATGTCTAAGCCTCAGGAGGATGTCAGCTGGGCCTCCTGATCAACACTCCATCCAAACCTTGTCAGATAACTAACAGGCTTGGTCAGTTAAGCAGGAGGCTTGCAAACCAACAGAAGCATAGCCCTGTGTTCCATAAAGATTAATTACCTTCAGGACACCAAAGAGGTGTGGGTCATTCAAGGACAGAATCACCATTCTTGGCCCCATTGCTCCTTGGCTCTGGGCCACTGGGTCTGAACCCTTTGAAAGGCATTTTCAGAGCCATGTGTTTAGGAGAAAAGCCCATCTGTACACTCAAACTCTCTCTCACACACACACACACACTCACACTCACATAGTGGTTGGTGTTCTTCATGGAGTCCTAGAATCTCAAGGCTGGCAGGGCCAAGACATTCTCTCAGTACATAACCAATGGCTCCTTCTGTTTCATTCACATGGAAATGTGGCTAGGGCCAAAGATACAGGCTTATTTTTCAATGTGTGTATCCAAACGTGACTGAGAAATGCACATTTTGAAAAACCAGACCATCTGGCTTTAAAATACATATTGAAAGTAAGAGTGCCAGTGAGGTTGTCAAGTACACACTGTGTTCAGGACTTCTGATTTACCGACTCCTGCTTGTCCTGATTCTGCATCTCTCCTGCTTTCAATCATCATTCTCCCTCTTTAGAAGAGCAACAGGCAGAAATGAACATGTTTTGCCTGAATTAAAATAACAAAACCAAAACCGAAAACTAGACTCAAAGAGACTTCGTACCTGTGAATTAGAGCCTGGGAGTTAAAAGAGGAGGTAAGTTTGGCTTGTGTATCCCCAAGAGATAAAACTCAGGCTAATGGAAATCACTTAAATTTAGACCTGTGTTGGAACTTTCTATCGGCAAAAGTGTCTGATGAAATAATGGATTGCTTTGGGAAGTAGTAAGCTGCATGTCCCTGGAAACACTGAAATATGACCTCGATGATCATTCATTAATTCATTATTTAGAAAATATATCTATCTGGAGCCCTACTGTTCTAGACTTTGTTACAGGAGCTGGGGAAATAGCTGTGAACAAGATAGGCATGGGCCCCATTCTCGTGGAGTTTCCATTTTAGTGGGGTTGAGAATGCAGATGATAAACAAGGAAACCAAAATATTTCTAAATCATAGATTGTGATAAACGCTAAGGACATAGACAGGCTGCTCTGGTAGGGGATAAAAGGCAGCCCAGCTTCTTCCATTTCCAGGATGGTTTAGATGGGAATCGAGCATCCCCTTGGATGTTTGTTTCCCAACGATTCTGAGAAAGTGATTCTATGACTTAGTGTGGGAACTTCTTAATGACATTGATGCCCAGGAATTCAAGATAACCAGGAAATTTGGGATTTAGTTACTTGGAAGGTTGATGAAGTGCAATAGTCAACTCTCGACACAAAGGAGCCAACTCCTGGAAAACAGCAGGATTCTTGTTTACTTTTAGTTTTCAGTCCAGGTTGGACTTCACTGTTTTTGGCCAAAGGTCATCATATTGGTTTTTAGCAGAAAGAGTCAGATTAAAAGAACTGGCCTGATATCTGGATTTCCTCTAAAAATCACCTTCCAAGAATTGGCCTGGATGCAGGCCTTTTTGGTTCCACCATCTACACCTGGTATTGGAGGGGCGGAGTTGAGGACACTGTTCATCCTACACTAATGTTTGCTTAGTCTAAAGTTTCTGTTTTTGTTTTCTTTGGGTTAGCATTTAAAATGAGGATTTTTTAAAAAGCCATATTTCTGGTATTCCTTGGAAAAGCTGAAGCTCTTTCCATAAATGTCCACAGAATGTGGTAACGTCACCTGCAGACATACAGTCACAGCCTCCTTTAGATAGGGTCATAGGCGCTCCAGTTCACCATAATGTCTCTGCAGCCAAATTCATTCATTTCTGTGACCTGCTTGGCCACGGAAAGTGTTTGAGTTTTTGACTACTATTCTGTGAATTTCAAGGCCTGAAAACTGGGAATGTTGCTTAATGATCAGTCCTTTCTGACTCAGTCATCTTGTCAACTTAAAAAGAAAGGGTGCTGTCAAAACTTAAATTTTCAGAGCTGAAAATGCTGTTAAGGAACCACTTTCCATCCCAAGTCCAAATCTATGTTGTATTCATGGAGAAACTGAAGCCCAAAAAGAAGACACTTAGCCATGGGTACAAATGGAGTTGGTGACATCACTGTCACTCATCAGGGAGTTGTCCATACACAGAAATCCCATAGTAACCATTACACTGAATTGAATCTAAAGCAACTTAAGAACAGATTTCCATACCTTGCAGGATTTTTTTTCTTAAATGCATTGGAAATAAAGAAAGAAGAAGAAGGAAATTCTGTGTTTATTGTCAGTCCCCTCTGAATTTTTATTAGCAACCTGAAAAAAATCTTACAGATAAAAATGTCTGAATGTTTGACCCTAATCATTATTTTATCAATCTGCACTTATCACTTAATCTGAAAGCCCAAGAACCATCTTAATCCCTTCTTCAGAGGTCTCAGGGGTGCTGAAGATGATAAGGACATTAAACTCTCTTTAGGTGTTGCCAGGTGCTGGAAAGGAAGAGACTCTCAATACCAAAATGTAAATGTCCTTTGCATACAGAGGGTCCCCTAGACTTGGGCTGTCATCCTTCATCTTTCCAGGTTGGCAACTAAGATCAAGAAGATGGCTTTCGGCCGGGCGCGGTGGCTCACGCCTGTAATCCCAGCACTTTGGGAGGCCGAGGCGGGCGGATCACGAGGTCAGGAGATCGAGACCATCCCGGCTAAAACGGTGAAACCCCGTCTCTACTAAAAATACAAAAAATTAGCCGGGCGTAGTGGCGGGAGCCTGTAGTCCCAGCTACTTGGGAGGCTGAGGCAGGAGAATGGCGTGAACCCGGG
Source organism: Homo sapiens (assembly GCF_000001405.40). Taxonomy (NCBI): domain Eukaryota; kingdom Metazoa; phylum Chordata; class Mammalia; order Primates; family Hominidae; genus Homo; species Homo sapiens. The sequence continues at coordinate 51,212,759 of NC_000016.10, forward strand.
AGGCGGAGCTTGCAGTGAGCCGAGATCCCGCCACTGCACTCCAGCCTGGGCGACAGAGCGAGACTCCGTCTCAAAAAAAAAAAAAAAAAAAAAAAAAGAAGATGGCTTTCAGAGGTTCCTGATGGCTTCCTGGTGAAGAGTGAGTTGCTAGGGGAATAAGGTGTGATTCAAGGAGGCTGGGTAATGCTGAGTCCCATTAATAATAATAACGACAATAATTTTTAAAAAGCAGCTACATTTGTTGAGCCTTTACCAAGTGTCAAGAACTATTCTCAGTGAGCTCCATTTATTATGCCATTTAGTTCTTCCAAAAACCCTGTGAAATAGGTACTATTATTATTATTTCCACTTGACAGATGAGGAAACTGAGGCATTGAGAGGCTAATGGACTTGTCCAGGGCCTCACAACTAGACATGTTAAAGCTGGGATGTGGCTCCTGTCTCTGTAGCCCAAGTGTTTCCCCACTCCTACTATTATTTCAAGACAATTCTAGAGGCAAAATGCACATTTCTAATCTATTTCTCAACATATTATTTGGAAAAGATGAAGCCTCTTAACTCCTCACTTTCTAGATTTATGTAGCTCAATGTGCTAGCCACTAGCCACATGTGGCTGAATTTAAAATAATTAAAATTTTGTAAAATTAGCAATCTAGTACTCAATCACATGAATCACATTTCATGAGTTCAAAAGCCACATATAACTAGTATCTACCTTATTGGACACTGAAGATATGGAACATTTCCATCATCGCTAGAAGTTCTATTGGAAAACATAGTTACAGATAAAAAAAATCAGGACTCAGGCAAAGGGACTTGTCCAAAGACATGCAGAGAGGTCCAGGATTTGAAAAGTGCATAGCTCAGATGCCACGTTTTAGTCCTTTCCTTGGTCTTTTTTGCCTGCCTCCTGCTCATCTCTTTTTTGTCTCTGCAATTAGATTTTAAGTTTGTGAAGGACAGGTAGCATATTCTTCATTTCATTTGTGAACCACACTCCAGCTGCCCAAACCTACCCCCTTCCAGGGCAGAGCACACAGTAGGGCTTTCATCAACCCTCTTGCCTTGCCTTTCCCACTCCTCACTTTTAAAAAGGCAGTGGGAGATCTGGCAAGTATCAAGCCTCAGGTTTTAAGTAAAACATGTTATTATAATTTATTTTTTTTTGAGCTGGCATAGTTAATTGCATAAGGCAGAGAGATGGTTTTTATTTGAAGGCCTCTGAGGACTAATATGTTTGGTGACGGGAGTGGGGGAGGGGAGACCTGTACTGTTTACCTTTCTTGAGGTAAGATTGAGGGTAGCATTCGTGGAGAGCTGGGCCTTGAGGACCTGAGTGCTTGCTTGGTCTTGTAAGAACCTTAACCAGAGGCATAGTTAAGTGTATGAACCCTGGAGACCCAAAGGCCTGGGCTGCTGCTGCAGCTTTAGCAGGTAACAGCTGTAAGCCTGGACAATTTATGCAAACTTCTGAGCTTGCATTTTATCATTTATAAAGTGTGATTTGATCGTATAGTGTTGGGAAGCACCTTTGCAATAACCCATGTAAAATACCTGGTAGCCACAACTATTTTCATCACCTCATTTATTCATTACTTATTTATTATTGTCATTTTCACTAGACTGAAAGCTCTTCAAGCACAGAGCCTATGTCCATCTTTTTCACTGTTGTACCTCAGGGTGCAATTCCCAGACCCATGGTAGATAATAAATATGTGTTGAAGCAAAGAAGGGGCATCATAGTCTCAAAAAAGAAGTCTGTGTTGTAAAGAAACTTAAAGGATTATAGTTTGATTTCCTGTTGGATGCATAAATTTTCATTCCAAACACCTTTGTCAGATAGTTGTTTGGGCACTGCTTTAACACTTCCAGTGACTGTGATCTCACTACCTTATAAGCCCTTTTCATCTTGGACCTCTCCATTGGGCTTAAGGGCAATCCCTCATGCCTGGCTGAGACAAGAACGGGAAGTGTCAATGCTTCTTAGATGCGCCCTGCTATGTTGATCAGTCACCCAAATCTCTTAGCCTTTGTAGAAACAGGGCTGCAACAAAATGAGTCTCTAGCCAGTCTGTGGAGTTTCATGGATATCATTGGGGGTGGGGAGAGAAGTGAAAAAAATGAACCTAGAGAATCTGGCTATAAAACACATTACCTGCATTTATGGTTCTCGTGCCCCAAGGCCTGGGATAAAGTGAAGAAGGAAAAACATTCCACTCTGGCTCTCAGTGACCCCTAAAAGAAACCCCCCATGGAGTCATTTAGGATAGTAATTTGAGTATAAACTCAAGCATACGTTTCTAGCCTTCCCTCCATAAACTCAGGAGTCTCATGATGATCGGCAACAAATTGCTTGAAAATGTGCCCCAGACCCTTCCAGATGAGGGCTGGGCTCAAAGAAATAAAAAGTTAAGGGCATGTTGCTATGGCATTAACGTTAAGGGAATAGACACGAACCTCAAACTGTGCACAGAAAATATATTCTCTCCGTATGCCCTCTCCATGAAAAACCAAGCCAGCGAAGTCATTAAAATGTCAGACAAAGAGCCAGGTGGGAAAAATGCATGTTTAAAAGTAAACATGTAGCCTGTGATAATTGTGTCCCCTGAAAAGCTAAAGATGAGGGAAAGAAAGAAAAAAAGCTTGAAATAAAGAGAAAGGCAGGAAGAATGTGGAGCTGCATAGCTCCTTCCCCCTTTACTCTTCATAATCTTAAGAAATGGCATCATCATCCACTCAGTTGCTTGAGCAAAGCACATAAAAGCCAGCATTGCTCCTTTTTTTTTGTCATTAGCTCCCTGCATTGAATCAACCAGCAGGTCTTAAGTCCAGACTTAGCTCCAAAACATTAGATTGAAACATATGAAGTTGACAAATTTATACCTTCTTTGACATGCAAAAAATGTCAATTCCATATGGTTCAACCTAATTAAATCTCAAATCAGCTCTTTTTTCAGTCTCCACTGCCACCATCCTGGTTCAAGCCACCATTAATACTTGCTTGATCTATGTGGTAGTCTCCTAATATGCCTCCCTGTTCTCACTTTTGACCTCTTTCAGCCCTGTATTCTTACCTTAGAAGGTAAAGTAGATTTTGTCCATCTCCTGCTTAAAATATTTCATGTTCAATCTGATAAAAGACCTATATACTGAAAACTACAAAGCATAGCTGAAAGAAATTAATGATTTAAAGAATTGGAGAAATTGTGACTGTAATCCCAAGTACTTGGGAGGCTGAGCCCGGAGAATCACTTGAGCCTGGAAGGTCAAGTCTTCAGTGAGCCACGATTGCAGTACTGCACTCCAGCCTAGGCAACAGAGCATGATCCTATCTCATAAAAAAAAATTGAAAAAAGCAAGCAAGAAAAAAAGAAATGGAGAAATATACCACATTCATGAGTTGAAAGTCTAAATATTCTTTTCTTCAAGTTGATCTATATATCTATAAATATAGATTTAATACAATCCAATAAAAACTCCAGCAACCCTTTGTTTTGCAGAACTGACAAGTTGATTTTAAAATTTATATGGAAATGCAAAGGGCCTAGAAAAGCCAAAACAACTTTGCAAAAGAAGTGGAGAATTAACACTACTTGACTTCAAGCCTTCTTAGAAAGCTACAGTAATCAAGAGAGCATAATATTGATGTGAAGGTAGATAAATAGCTGAAGGGAATAGAATACAGAGCCCAGAAATAGACCCATAAATAAAAGAACAACTAAAAGAAGGATGTAAAGGCAATTCAGTGAAGAAAGTATAGTTTTATTAACAAATGGTGGTGAAACAACTGGACAGTTATATGCAAAAAACAGAGAAAATATTATTAAAATGAAGGAAATTATAAAAGAGAGTCAAATAAAAATTTGAAGCTGAAAAATAGAATAACTAAATTAAAAAAATTACTAGATGGCTTAACAGCAGGTTTGAGCAGGCCGAAGAAAGAATCAGTGAACTTGAAGATAGGACATTTGAAATTACTGAGTCTCAGAAGCAGAAAGAAATAATGAAGATAGGTGAACAGAGCCTAAGAGACTTATGGAGCATCATCAAGGCACATCAACATAGGCATTATGGGAGTCCTAAAAGTAGAAGAGAGAGAGGAAGGAACAAAGAGAGCTTATTTGAAAAAAATAATGGCTGAACATTTTCCAAATTTGAGGAAATAAACGGACATAAAAAGTCAAAGTCTCAATGAACCCCAAGTAAAATAAACTCAAAGAGGTCCACACCTAGACACATAAGCAAACTGTTAAAAGACAAAAACAAAGAGAAATTCTTGAAACAGCAAGAAAAAATTGATTTTCCATGTACAAGGGATTCTTAATAAAATTATTAACCAATTTCTCAGCAGAAAACTTGGAGGCCAGAAGGCAGTGGAATGATACACCTAAAGTACTGAAGAAAGATAAAAACCTCTAAACCAAGAATTGAACATCAAAATGGCAAAAATGTCCTTCAAAAATGAGAGTAAAATTAAGACATTACCAGATTAAAAAAAAGGCTGACAGAAGTTATTACCAGTAGGTCTGCCCTACATGAAATGCTAATGGGAGTCCTTCAGGTTGAAATGAAAAAATTCTAGATAGTAACTAAAAGCCATATGAAAATAGAAAGATTTCTAGTAAGGGTAAATATATGGGCAAACAAAAATGCAACTATTATTGTTCTTTTGGTTCATAATTCCACTTTTAATTTTTTATGGGATTTAAAAGACATACATAAAATAATTATAAATCTATGTTAATAAGCATACAATATATAAAGATGCAATTTGTGACATCAATAACAGAAAGTAAAGCAGCGACAGAACTGTAGAGTTTTTGTATGTGATTGAAGCCAAGCTGGTGTCAACTCAAACTAGATTGTTATAACTTTAGGATGTTAAGGATAATCTCCATGATAACCACAAAGAAAATATCTATGGAATATACATAAAAAGAAATAAGAAGGGAATCAAAATGTGTTACTACAAAAAGTCAATTAACCACAAAGAAGACTCTAAAGAATGAAATGAGCTTCATCAACTGACTCCCACCCTACACCTTGGCTCTCAGTTCCCAGTGGCTCATGCTGTATTTGGAGCTCAGCCCAATCTGTCTCTTCAACTTCAAGACTCTATTGAAGTGGTCCCTATATCTATGGTCCTGAATAAAGTCTTCCTCACTATGAAAAAAAAGAAAAGAAAAAAGAAGAAAAGAAATGAAAGACAAATGGCTATAAGACATGGAGAAAGCAAGTAACAAAGTGGCATAAAGTAAGCCCTTTCTTATTAGGAATTACTTTATCTTTTTTTTTTTCTTTTTGAAAAAAGACAAGGTTTCACCATGTTGCTCAGACTGGTCTCAAACTCCAGAGCTCAAACAATCTGCCTACCTTGGCCTTCCAAACCTGTTGGCCTCCCAAACCTATAAACCTGTTGGGATTACAGGTGTGAGCCACCACACCCAGTCTCAGTAATTACTTTAAATGTGAATGGATTAAAGTCATAAATCAAAGGCATGGATTGGAACAATGGAGTTAAAACAAGATCCAATTATATGCTGCCTACAAGAGACTCACTTTTGATCACAAATAGATTGAAAGTGAAAGGATGGAAAAAGATATTTCATGTCAATAGCAACCAAAAATGAACTGAGGTGGTTATACTAATATCAGACAAAGTAGAAAAAGAATCAATGAAACCAAATTAGTTCTTTGAAAAAAAAACCAACACAATTGACAAGCTTTTTGCTAGATTGACTAAGGAGAAAAGAGAAAACTTAAGTTACTAAAATCAAAAATGAAACTAGACATATTACTATTGATTTTATAAAAATTAAAAATACTATAATTGCATGCCAACAAATTGGTTAACCTAGATAAAATGAACAAATTCCAAATTCCTACAAAAACACAACCTACCAAGACTGAATCATGAATAAATGGAAAATCTGAATCGACCTACAACTAATGAAGAGATTGAATTAAGAATAAAAAACCTCCCCAAAAGAAAAGCCCTGACTTTGCAAATGGCTTCAACTGGTGAATGCAAATGACTTCAACTGCTGGATTCTATCAAACATGTAAAGATGAATTAATACCATTCCTTCTCAAATTCTCCCAAAAATTTGAAGAGAAAGGAGACCCCCTAGCTCATTCAATGAAGCCATCATTACACAGATAAAAATGAGGCCAGACCGAAAAAATTATAAGAAAACTACAGATCAATATCCTTTATGACCACTGATGCAAAAATATTCAACCAAAAACTAGCAAACACAATTCAACAGCATATTGAAAGGATATATATATATATATATATATATATAAGCATTTGACAAAATTAAGCACCCCTTCGTGATAAAAACACTCAAGAAACTACTCAATATAATAAAGGCCATATATGAAAAACCCACAGTTGACATGATACTCAATGGTGAAAAATGAAAAGCTTTTCTTGTAAATCAGGAACAAGACAAGGGTGCCCACTTTTACCACTTCTATTCAGCATAGTACTGAAACTTCTAGCCAGGGCAATTAGGCAAGAAAAAGACCAGAAAAGATATCCAAATTGGACAGGAGGAAAAAAATTATTCCTATTTGTAGCTACCAGGATTTTATATGTAGAAAACAGAAAAAATCTGTAAAAACTGTTGAGTTAATAAATAAATTCAGCAAAATACAGAGTGAACACAAATAATTAGTTGCATTTCTATAAACTAATATTGAATAATCTGAAAAGAAATTCTGAAAACAATTCCATTTATAGTAGCATCAAAAACAATAAAATACTTAGGAATTAAATAAGGAGGTGAAAGACATAAAAACCACAAAACATTGCTGAAAGAAGTTAAAAATATAAATAAATAGAAATATAGCCCATGTTTATGAATTTTAAGACCTAATATTATTAAGCTGTCAATACTACCTAAAGCAATCTAGAGATCCAGTGTAATCCCTACCAAAATTTCAATCTTGTTTTTTTCAGAAATAGAAACACCCATTCTAAAATTCATATGAAACCTGAAGTTATTCTGAACAATTAAAACAATCTTTAAAGAGAACAAAGCTGGAGGACTATATATTGAATATATATATATACAATACGTATAAAGAATTCCTGTCAACAACAAAATAACCCAGTTAAAAAGTGAGCAAAGAACTTGAATAGACATTCTCCAGAGAAGATATACAAAGGCCAACAAATCCACAAAAAGATGCTAGACATTACTAATCATTAGGGAAATGCAAATCAAACCACAATGAAATCCCACCTGATACCCTTTGGTATCAGTGGAGGGATGGAGGGATACAGGCACACAGGATTAATTAGCAAAAATGTATTATGTTTGATTGTGTTAAATACTAAGGATAAAAATAAAACAGGGCCAAAATATAGTGTGTTGGGGGTGTAGTTTTGCAATTTGCTTGTTATCTGATCTCCTCAGGAACTTTCTCTCTTGTTTACATCCATTTTCCCAGTGTGTAGGACGACTTTCTTAATATTTAAAAATGAATCTTGTGAAGACCAATGATGATTCAGCTAGAACAAGGGGGTCTCAGCAGGGGCGTGCCTGGAGGCTCAACTTCCCCATTCATCCAGGAAACTTTTGTCTAGCAGGTCCCAAGGAGGCTTTCTTTTTCTTTAAAAAAAAAATAGTGGTAAAAATACAAAACATAAAATGTATAATTTTAAACATTTTTAAGTGTAAAATTCAATGGTATTATGTTCACATTGCTGTGCAACTAGCACCACTATCCATCTTTAGAACATTTTCATCATCCCAAACTAAAACTCTGTACCCATTAAATACTCACTCCCCACTCACCCTCTCCTCCAGCCCTAGTAACCATCATTCTACTTTCTGTCTGTGTCTTTGACTATTCTAGGTACCTTATATAAATGGCATCATGGAGTAGACATCCTTTTGTGTCTTGCTTATTTCACTTAGTGTAATGTTTTCAAGATCCACCCATATTGCAGTATATGTCCGAATTTCATTCCTTTTCAAGGCTGAATAACACATCATTGCATGTGTATACCCAAGAAAGTTTCTTGACTGTGTTAATATCCTTGGTCAGGTTTGTGAGCTGCGAAGCTAGAAGAGCTAGATTACACACTGCTAGAGGATGAAGATCACGCTTACCTTGTTCATTGCATGGCCCCAGTGGCCATCACTGGCATAGGGTAGGTGTCCAATATATTGAGAGAGAGACAATATAGAGTCCCTGGATCTCCTGTTGACTTTCTAGGAATTGCCCACAACAGTACTGTGAATCTAACCAGGAAGAAATGTACGGAAACAGACAGATGTTTACCCAATGCTGGACAGACCAGCAAGACCTGGGACTGACCTCCTAATAATTCATAAAGATGGTATTTCCCCAGGGTCAAATGTGTTGTGGGTATTAGAGTCAGATGACCCGAGTTCACACCCTCCTACAGTACTAGCTGCTGTTCACCTCTCTGAGCCTCAGTTTTCTTATCTTTAAAATAGGAATATAGGCTGGGCGCGGTGGCTCACGCCTGTAATCCCAGCACTTTGGGAGGCCGAGGCGGGTGGATCATGAGGTCAGGAAATCGAGACCATCCTGGCCAGCAAGGTGAAACCCCGTCTCTACTAAAAATACAAAAAATTAGCCGGGCGCGGTGGCGGGCGCCTGTAGTCCCAGCTACTGGGGAGGCTGAGGCAGGAGAATGGCGTGAACCCGGGAAGCGGAGCTTGCAGTGAGCCGAGATTGCGCCACTGCAGTCCGCAGTCCGGCCTGGGTGACAGAGCGAGACTCCGTCTCAAAAAAAAAAAAAAAAAAAAAAATAGGAATATAATATTAATATTATGTGTCTCACAAGGTTATTGTGAAGATTAAAAGAGATAATTTGTTTAAGGTGCTTACTGCCTTCATTTTCCCATAAGTGGCGGCTACAGAAGGGAGGTTTCCCTAATGGTATTTGACTCCATCATGGAGAGACATTGGGTGACTCTGATGGATCCCAGTGTATTTTCATTCAGTCACCACTCCAAATAAGATAAAACTGGAATGGATCAATCAGTCTTTTCTCATCATGAAGGCAAAAGGAACACCAGAGATGGGATAAGAAAGAAAAGTGGACTCTTAGGCTACTGGCAGATGTCTGTGAAATGCACATGGCACTGAATTTTGGAGAACTTTTTTTTCTTACCATCCATCCATTAAGAATTGTGTTGTTCTTTCCTTGTCTTTCTCTTTCTCTAGCTCTTGCTCCAAGTTTAGGCTTCTTCTGTCCTTGCCTGTTCTGAGGTTCAGGTGAGGAAGTGTAACTGAGGCTGCCTCATGGTAGAGCCAAGGAGAACAGGATCAGCAAATACATCTGAGATATCATTTCAGACCTGGCCAGGCATGGATGCCCAGCCCGTGGAGTCGGGGACTAAACCAACTCGGAGCGGCTTCCCCAAGTCATGTTTACACTGTCTTGCTGTGCAAATTGGAGAGTTTGTTTCCAGGAACATCTGGGAGGACCAGCTGGACACGTGTTTCCCTTCTCATTAATTTAGGCTCCTAATTAATCGTGCAAAACCCAAACCAAATAAACAGGAACCAGGACTGAAAATAATCATTAGGCCCCCCAAACACACACACATTTTAATGAGAACTTGGCCCAGGTGATTGTGCCTCTCTTGGCTCAGTACTGTGGCTATAGGCAGGGAGTTCAGCAGGGAGAAATACACAGAGGCAGACAGAGACGTACCCTATATGGGCATCAGGAAAGCTAGCAGACCCAAGGGCCTGGAGCCGACTTCCCAATCATTCATAAAGATGGGATTTCCCTCAGGCCAAGTATGCTGTGGGTAGTAGTCAGATGGTCTGGGTTCAAACCCTCCCTACAGTATTAGATCTTGTTTGCCTTTCTGAGCCTCAGTTTTCTCATCTGTAAAATAGGAATATAATATTACCTGTCTCACAAGGTTATTGTGACGATTAAATGAGATAATGTACTTAAGGTGTTTAGCTACCTAGCACACTGTACACTCAGTGAGTGGTAGCCATTATTGTCACCACTGCTACTGATCATTATACTTAATGATAATCTTCTCTGATTATTATGATGAGCCACATAAAAAAAGAAAATCAGAGAAATGTCAGAGACAAAGGACGACCGTATCAATAAAACTCCAGATATATTTCTGAGACCCAGCTCATGGAAATAAGAATTCATTTCCTGCTTTTCTTTGTCATCTGTCTTGGTCCATAAGAATCCAACTGAGAACATAATTGTGGTCATCTAACTCAAGGTACATCTCTTTTTTAAAAAAATCTGATGGCGGCCAGGTGTGGTGGCTCGCGCCTATAATCCAAGCACTTTGGGAGGCCGAGGCGGGCAGATCACGAGATCAGGAGATCGAGACCATCCTGGCTAACGCGATGAAACCCCATCTCTACTAAAAATACAAAAAAGTAGCTGGGTGTGTGGTAGGTGCCTGTAGTCCCAGCTACTGGGGAGGCTGAGGCAGGAGAATGGCCTGAACCCAGGAGGCGGAGCTTGCAGTGAGCTGAGATTGTACCACTGCACTCCAGCCTGGGTGACAGAGCGAGACTCCGTCTCAAAAAAAAAAAAACAAATCTGATAGCATCCTGAATTAACGTTCTTCTCAGGCTTCATAATATCAGAAAAAGAGGTTATTGACGCATACACATGGGCCGTGCCATCCTGGTGAGAGTGAGGCAGGGCATTGGGAGGCTAGGAGCTCCATCATGCCTGATGAGTAGGGTCTGGAAAATGCCGGGTTTTACAGCCTAATCACATGCTGAGGACAAGGCTTCCTGCTTCAAGGAAAAACAGAGTTAAGAAGATTTATTGAAAGTATTCCAAGAGCATCTTGAACATCAAACAGCTGTGAAAAGGGGACTGACAATTGAAGTACAAGGGTATCTGAAACCCACAGCTTATTCTCTTCTGTGGCACATGGGTTTATAGGAAAATATGTTTAGGCAGTATATTGATACTGTTTCCCCTTTTCTTGATCTCCCCAAAGAAGACCTTTGAAAAGTAGTTTAGTTATGTGTTTGGAATAAAATATGAGTAATGGCCCCCTAAAAGGCAAATCTGATCATGTCATTCCTGCCTGTTGAAAACTGCCCTTGAGATAAAATGGGAATTCTTTACTAGGCGGCCATGGCCCTGGGAGATCTGGCCCCAGTTTGCCTCAGCACCTGGAAGATCTGCTTCCTGGCCATCCCCTCTTCAACCTTAACAGACTCCTTCCTGTTCCTAGACATCGGCATACTCCTGCCTTTCACAAGCTCTTTACCTCTGCTGGAGGCATTTTCTCTCCTGTCCATCTTTGTCTGAAGGCCTCCCATCACTCAGGTTTTAGTGTCAATGTCATTTCCTGCAGGAAGTTGTCCTTGAACCTGAATTTGGTTGCTTTCTCTCCTTGTCTTCTCCCACAACACCTGGTGACAACCGTGTTTGTTGTCGTTGCTTGTTGAATTGTCTGCCTCACTTGATAGATAAGAAGGATGAAGGCAAAGGCCATATGGGTTGTATCTATCTTTAACTAAATTTCTGGGACCATTGCAGGCACTCAAAACTAGACATTAGCTAAGCGTATGTGGGATGAGTGAATGTCCAGCCTGACCTGCTGTTTCAAGGTTTGACTAGAGGAAGATGGCAGGGTGACCTGGTGCTTGTTCTTCACCCACTGTATACACCTTGTTCTGCCTCTCTGTCCCAAGGTGCCTCTCCACTCCTGCCACTGTTCTGTTGCTTAGCCCTCTGGTTATGGAAGTCTGTTTACTTCCTGTCAGTGGCCTTGGTCCCTTTCCATCCTGGCCTATGTCCTTGAGTAACCTCAAATAATATTCCACCTTGCTGGACTCAGGGTCCTCCCACCAGACTTCTCTGTAGGGAAAAGCGTAGGACCTTGGAGGGTCCCTCACCCCCACCCCACCCCATTCATGGATGAAGAATACATTCTCTGCTTCTCCTTCCCCAGGAATGAGGTTGCAGCATCCATAGGTAGACACTGGTATGCCATCTCAGATTAGCAGGAAAAGCAATCAACATGAAAGCCTTAGAATTGATCAGAGCATGAAGGCTGCTCATGTCTAGGTAGTGGTGCAGAAGATTCCCATGAAAAAAGCCTGTAAGGAATCTTCCGTGGCAAGCAAGGCAGATAAATCTGGCAACTTTATAAACTGTTATGCTTCTAGTTATAAATAACAGAAACCCCAACTCTAGGTGGCATAAACAATAAAGGACATTTATTCACTCATATAATTGGAAAACATAGATACAGGTTTCAGGTAAAGCTGGATCCCATGGCTCGCTGATGTCATTAAACACCAAATTTCTTCTTTGGGTTTGCAAGATGGCTTTCAGTGGCCCTTGAGGCTTCAGCTTCATTATTTGTTTTGAAGGAGGAAGAGAGAGTACCTTGCTCCTGGCACTTCCAGACTGTGATCTACTTTAAGACTGGCTTAAGCAGCTTGAGGCTTAAATATGAGCTTAAACCAATCGCTGTAGCCAGAGGGGAGGGAATATGCTAATTGCAAAGGTCATAAGTTTCACTCTTAGAAGTGAGGGGTGAAGTTGGCTTCTTTAGAACAGCATGGATTTATTTCCAGGTGGAAACTGGGAAGGGGAAAGTAGGAAAGTATGCTAGAGAGGAAACCAAGCAATGTGCGACAGTGGGCTGCTCGGGGAATCAGAAGTGCTGATTTGGGCTGCTTCGTTTCATGTGATTAAGAGGGAACAATACTTAGCCATCACAGTGGTGGCAAAATGCACACACCAGGAAACTATAAATTTGCTCCAGCCTGGAGTGATCTTTTATTCTGGTAGATGTTTATTTGGTAGATGGTTTGCAATCTCTCTTTGCCAGCACTTGGGCAGGTACACGGTTGGACTGAGAACAGATGCGTGCAGGTGACTGTGCAATGCATTGTGTTGGAAGAATTGAACTCTAGAGCCAAGAGCTGGCACCTTGCTCAGCCACTCCTGTGGCCAGTTTCCCATTGTCCCTGTGGCAGGTGTGGCAGCATGAGTGTCTCTCCCATTACATTTCCTTGTAATCTGGACATTAATCCATGCTCTGTGAGTGTAATGCTAACCCACACAATGGACATATAACAAACGTCTGGCCTTCTTGTTGTCACAGGTTACAGTGCACAATCCCATGTAAGAACTTGTTTACTTATATGCAGTACACAGGTTTAACTTGGTTCAATGTACTGTGTTACAACAACCTAGCAATTTGCATGTTCTTCCTGATTATCTGGTAATTAAACCCAGTAAGTACAAACATACTGTAATTATCATGTAACCGACCATCTGGACAGAGAGTTGGAAATAACTATGTATTTACGCTATAGCTCTATGATAATTATGACGTAATGGAATGATCAGCCATGAAGGGGAAAGATTTGCAAGAGTCATGATTATGCTTTAACTTGTTTTTAGCATTAATTCTAGCATTAATTTTCTAGAAACAGCCGGAAATGTATGGCGACTTGACTGATGAATCCCATCCGGGTGGAGGCACTGAAGGTGTTAAGAACAGTCAATAAGGACTGATGCCTGAGCAGGAAGTAAATGTGCCCACTCATTTATTTGGATTTTGTTTACACTTCATTGGATAACACTAAGCATTTGTTTATTTGAACTGTTCTCCCTTTTGCATGAGAGTTGTCAGTGCCTGTAAGTAAATGATAATGGGTTTAGGTTTTCTTAGTATGTTTTTTTAATAGATCTTAGATTCTCGGAGGATGAAATAGGGTATTCGACCACAGAAAAAGTTTTAATATAGTAGCATTTGTACTGTTGTAAAATTATTTGTAAAAATGCACTTACCCCGGCCGGGCATGGTGGCTCACGCCTGTAATCCCAGCACTTTGGGAGGCCGAGGCGGGTGGATCATGAGGTCAAGCGTTCGAGACCAGCCTGGCCAACATAGTGAAACCCTGTCTCTACTAAAAATACTAAAAATTAGCCGGGCATGGTGTCGGGTGCTTATAATCCCAGCTACTTGGGAGGCTGAGGCAGGAGAATGGCTTGAACCTAGGAGGCGGAGCTTGCAGTGAGCCGAGATCGCGCCACTGCACTCCAGCCCGGACGATAGTGCAAGACTCTGTCTCAAGAAAAAAAAAAAAAAATGCACTTGCCCTTTTGGATAGAACCACAAACAATATCTTGGCCAGTGAATGTGCTAAACATGAAGGCTCATTGTACTTCAGCTGTGATGCATACATACGACGATAAAAAGAAAATAGTGTTTGGTGTATAAGAGAGTGGCCAATAGCAGCTAAAAATAACAATAGCAAATAATAATACAGTAGGGTTGCATCATGTGAGCTCTTATGAGACTTGAACTACTGTGTTTATATCAAATCCAGGATGTTATCAAGGTAAGGTGATCATTTCATATACCACAAGGAAGAAAAAATATGCCCCCAAATAAGTGTCATGCTATGTTTTCCTATTATTAGAATTTTAAAATTAAGTTTATCCAAAGAGTTCTTACACTTATATTTAGACATGTATTTTATATATATAAATCCCTGTTGTACAAACATAAAGAAGAAATAAATTGATAAGGCATTTTTTATCTTCACATTCAGAAAACATCTGAATGTGAATAACATCTTCACATTCAGAGGCTACATTTTTCAAATCACTTATGAATTGAGTTTTCCGTGCCTGTATTCTCCATACAATATTGTCCCCTATGCCAGGGTGCACTGGTAATTCAGCAATTCTTAAGAGTGCTTAGCTATTGTCTCTGGCATTTTCTTCCCAGGCAAGTACACCCATCGCACAGATTACACAGCATTATTTGTGGCTTAATCATTTGTGACAGTTCACAAATTAAGATTTTTAAAGATTTCCTTCACTTGAAAATATTTATATAAATATTTATATGAATAAAAGGCATCTAGTAAAACATAATAACCTTTTTTTTGGTCACAATGACTCAAGATTCCTTCAATATGAGTTAGGCAACAGAATCTTGATTGAAATGGATTATAAGTTAATGAAGCATTATGAAATATATAGGATTGGTATTTTAAATATTTTCTATTACTCCTCATAATTTTACTTAGTACCATTCTTTTAGATCTTGTTTATAATTTACTGTTGATCCTAATAACTGTATTTTTGTTAAATTTGTGTAGAG
Organism: Homo sapiens; assembly: GCF_000001405.40. Classification (NCBI taxonomy): domain Eukaryota; kingdom Metazoa; phylum Chordata; class Mammalia; order Primates; family Hominidae; genus Homo; species Homo sapiens. Next base: position 51,227,893 of record NC_000016.10, read on the forward strand.
GTAAGAATCTTAATCAAGGCTATCTAAACCTCTCTTCATCACCCCAAATGGGCGAGATTTGGATTTCCTTCTTCTCCACTTAAACTGGGCAAGAGTTTCCCAAGAGCTTCCCAGGAATGTTTTAGAATAAATTAATGAAAAGTTTAAAATTAACTCAAGAAAGATTAAGCAAAGAAGAAACATTTATTGAAGCCATAAGACATAGTGCACATGTGTTGGTTGCTTTTGAGATGTGTATCCCTTGCCTCCTACTCCCACCAAAAATGCCTGATTGTTCTTTGGGGACAGTTTCTCTCTCCCACCTTTAATCATATGATGTGGGAGGGATAGACTTCACCTCTGCTTCAAGGGAAAGTCCTGACTGGTTCCATCTAAACAGTATATCCTATCTCCTTATCCAGTGATTGGCTCAGAGTTGGGCAAGTAGCCTAGTTTAGACGAATGAAAGTGAATCCCAGGACTTTTGCAAAACCAACTGGAAGGGAGTCTCTCTTCGTTTGGATAATGTCGGTTATGGTGTGAGGTCTGGAGCTGATGAAACCCTTTTGCTACCACCACAGAAATGCCTAGAGTTGCAAATAACTCTGCGGTCCCTGAGAATAAATTCTACATCACAAAGGAAGGCGAGAGGAGAGTCGAAAGAGGAGAGGAGAGGGGAGGGGGAGAGAAAGAGATAGAGAGAAACTGGGTACTTGATCGCATTATTTCAACCACCAAATCAGCGCTATCTAAAGAAAGAATTACCTCTGGAATTTTCAGCAATATGAATGACATTCATTAACATTTATGTTATATAAAGCCACTTGGGAACTTTTCCTTCACTTATAGCAAAGCTCAAAACAAAACAAAAACTTTACTCTGTTTTATATTTTAAAGAATTTATTTCATTTTAAACTTTTTAAATGTTTTACAATGTATATATATATTCTCTTATATATTTTATATATATATAAATTTATATATATAATATATATATTTATATATATAAATTTATATATAAATATATATATTATATATATAAATTTATATATAAAATATATATATTTATATATATATAAATGTATATATATAAGTATATATTTATATAGTTATACATATAACTTAAAAAATATATATTTATATAAAGTTATATATATAACTTTAAAAAAATCTTAAAAATATATAAGAGAATCCAAAGACAGGGATGGAGCGGGGTCCCAGGAACTGACTGGAAACAGGAACTTAGAAGCTCCAACCTGCTGGTCCTCATGTCTGCTGCTTCTGCGTGCAGGCTT